>NC_000011.10:47029696-47332727 GCF_000001405.40 Homo sapiens | reverse complement strand
CGGTACCAAGTCCTGTCACCAACAGGCATCACCTATGAGCCACCCAACTATAAGGCCCTGGACTTCTCCGAGGCCCCAAGCTTCACCCAGCCCCTGGTGAACCGCTCGGTCATCGCGGGCTACACTGCTATGCTCTGCTGTGCTGTCCGGGGTAGCCCCAAGGTAGGGAACTTTAGGCGCTGGTCCAGGCCGACCAGGAGGCAGGGCTCACAGGCCCCGACGTTGAGCAGTCCTCTCCCCAGCCTGTCTCCCCTGCTTTCTCTCCACCTTGGGGTGTATGGACCGGGTTCCTCCCCCTGGGCAGGGCCATGGTACTCACTCTTGGTTCCATGTTTGTTTCCAGCCTTGGGCATAGTCAGGGACTCTCGTGGGACCCCCCGAGTAGAAACACAGATGTGTCTCCCTGGGTCCCTGCCAGGTCCCCTCTCAGCCTGGATGGCTTCCCTCCCTCTCTTTACCTTATTTATAGCCCAAGATTTCCTGGTTCAAGAATGGCCTGGACCTGGGAGAAGACGCCCGCTTCCGCATGTTCAGCAAGCAGGGAGTGTTGACTCTGGAGATTAGAAAGCCCTGCCCCTTTGACGGGGGCATCTATGTCTGCAGGGCCACCAACTTACAGGGCGAGGCACGGTGTGAGTGCCGCCTGGAGGTGCGAGGTGAGGAGCCCTCGGGGCCAGGGCCTGGGAGATGGGAAGAGCGGGCGGCAGTGGGGACCCTGGGCTTTGCTCCGTTGTCCTCGGCCAAGCACCTGCCCTGGCTGCAAGGGCACGGACCCTGCCACGCCCAGATGGGCAATAGCTTCCAGAAGGCTGGGAGGACACAGTGACATGGCCTCCTCTTCTGCAGTGCCTCAGTGACCAGGCTGGCTCCTGGGGATGGCCAGGTATGTACCACCCGACACCCAGGGCACAAGTCAGTGGCTGAGCCCTGGCCCTTGGTCCTGGGGCAGCCATCAGTAAATGGGAGGCTGTAGGGGCCCTCCATTCACTCGTAAGATAACCTGTGTTGCAGGTACAACCGGATGCCAGCCCCGTGCCAGGAGCCTGGAGGGAAGTTGGGGAAACCCCTCCCTACTGTTGGATGTATGTGTGACAAGTGTGTCTCCTGTGCTGCGATGGGGGATCAGCAGGGCAGTTGTCGGGCAGTCCTGAGTGGGTGTTGCACAGACTGGTCCACAGGGCTCCTGAAGGAAGCCCCTGGATCTTTGGGGTAAAAGGAGGGTGGCCTCAAGAAACAATGTCTGGGGACAGGCCTTTCTGGCCTGCTATGTCTTCCCAATGTTTATTGGGCAATAAAAGATAAGTGCAGTCACAGAGAACTCACTCTTCTCAATTTCGGTGTGCCTGTTTTCATAAAAATGCACAGGGGATGGCCAGGTGCGGTGGCTCATGCCTGTTATCCCAGCACTTTGGGAGGCGGAGGCGGGCCGATCACCTGAGGTCAGGAGATCAAGACCAGCCTGGCCAACATGGTGAAACCCCGTCTCTACTAAAAATACAAAAATTAGCTGGGCAAGGTGGCGCGCCTATAATCCCAGCTATTTGGAAGGCTGAGGCAGGAGAATCACCTGAACCCAGGAGGTAGAGTTTGAGGTGGGCCGAGATCATGCCACTGCACTTCAGCCTGGGTGATGGAGTGAGACCATGTCTCAAAAAAAAAAAAAGAAAAAAGCCCAGGGACATTGATCTTCACAGCAAAGTGAGAGCAGATACTGTTTTTTGTTTTGTTTTCCCGATGATTAAACCAGGCCCAGAGTGGTTTCTGAGTTCATAAAACATTAACGCTAGAAGGAACCTGTCTTCCCCTACAGCATTCACTCTTCAGATGATGAAACTGAGCTGTGACAGCGGAAAGTGCATTTAACTGGTCCCAGGTGCTCAGCGTGATCCTTGTGCCAGGGGCCGTGGTCACAACCGCCTGGAGGTGGGGTGAGGCAGAATCTCAGTGTTGTGATTGTGCTGGGGTGGAGCTGCACTAGGTGGCTTTGGAGTCCCAGCCAGCAATAAGCCAGCAGCGGGTTCAGACCCATATCCCCGGTGGGAGACAGCAACCCAATCCAGTCCAGGACGCTGGGCACCAGAAAGGTGTCAGGGCCAGGGCCCCACTCTGCTCTCACTTCCCCCATGGGGAGCCTAAATCCGAGCATCTGTTTCCTTTTGGGCGCGGGAAGCCAGCAGGTCTCAAATTCCCTGAGAGTGCAGCCAGGTTTTTCCAGGACAGAATTCCATGAAGGCAGCTCCTAGGGGAGCTTCTGGGAGTTCTATGCAGTGGAAGACACTCCTGGCCAGGAGTCCGGGGCCCTGTGGGAGGCCCTGGCTGAATCACCACACCTCTCTCGACCATACCCACCTGTAAGGGAACGGAGAGGGCCAGGGCCTTGGCTTTCTTTCACTTAATCTCAGTTCAGGTGAGGACGCCCAGTCTGGCTGCTCCCTCTAGCAGCCTGTTCATTCATGGCAGCCCAGCTCTCTGCAGGGCCCTCAGGTGCCCAGGAAGGAAAGCTCCTCCCGCAGCCTTGCTCTAGGAGCCCAGAACAGGGGAGCTGGGGCCTCCGTGTGCCAAAGCTTGGACATGGATGACCTCATCTCCTTCCTTCCTTCCAGCCTGAGGTGACTTTTTAGAGTCCAGGGATAGCTTTCCTCAGGCCTGAGCCAAGAGGAGGTGTCATTTAACACAAGGCAGCCAGGGAGCCTGAAGGGAGTTGAGGACATTTATTTCACATTCACACAACTGTACATTTTCTATAAATAATGTGGGGCTGAAATATTTACAGTCATTTCTTGCCCATACCCAGGCTGTCTCTCCCTCCTGACACCCCGTGCCTGGAGAGACAGCCTGCAGACAGATGTGCAAACCCAGCTTGGTCTTTCCTGCCCCCTCCCTGATGCTCAGGCAGAGCAGCCAGCGGTCCCTGGGACTCCACTAGCCTCGACCACTCCATCCTCTGATGCCGAAGGCATGGCAGGCCACAGGGAATTCGCCGCTCCACTGCAGTCACAGAGGCTGTGGCAGGCAGCAGCCAACACTGCGGGCCCTGGGCAGTAGCTGCCGGCTTGGGAATGCAGAAGGAAGCAGGGAGGCTGCCACTCACTCCGGCTGCCCCCCAATTCTTCCCTTCCTCTCTGTGCCCTTCCTCTGAGAGGGTGAGCCCCAGGGTTCCCTCACTCCTCACAGAGTGAAACTGCTCCAGGCGCCCAGTCATGCCGGGTCACAGAGAAGGGAGAGCCAGACTCTTGCAGTGGACAGTTATAACGCCAGGGACAAGGACAAGGAACCACAACACAAATGTCTCAAGGACACAAAATAGTGGGTTCACACCGGCCCCACAGACTGTACACATTCTTGAGCCCTGAGGGGAAGGCAGTTTGGTCTTCTGGGAGTGGAGAGGGAGAAGGTGGACACGCTCAAGACACACTCAGAGGGACACATAACCGGTAACCAAC
Source organism: Homo sapiens (assembly GCF_000001405.40). Classification (NCBI taxonomy): domain Eukaryota; kingdom Metazoa; phylum Chordata; class Mammalia; order Primates; family Hominidae; genus Homo; species Homo sapiens. The sequence goes on along the minus strand of NC_000011.10, from coordinate 47,329,284 downwards.
CAAGCCACAGCAGGGGGCTTGCAGAGGACACACGAGCATCATCCACTCCTCAGTCACAGCAGCATCGTGCACTTGGGAACAGCAAGGGGCCAGGGGCGTGCCCTGGGCTGGGGCAGCTGCGTAGCCCCTCTCCATCAGCTAGAGACAGGCCGGGGCGGGGTTCTGAGATCTTCCTCACTGCTATGAACTGCAGCCACGTACGAGAAGAGACATAATACGGAGTAGCAGATTTCGTGGGCCTAGAGGAGAGAAAACCAGGCGGATCACGATACTGAGACTCCTCCATCTCCATATGTGAAGGATCTGCCAATGGGCAACTCCTGCCCTAACACTGGGCATGGGCCTCTGGGCTAAACGTGAGCTCCAAGCAAGGAAGCTGTCCCCATGGGAGAGGGGATCCGTGTGTGTGTGTCTGTCTCTCAGGGCTCAAGACCTGTTTCAGCCTGAGTTGAACCTTTGGCAACAAAACGAGGTCCCCACTCACCCCTGTGCGCTCAGAGGGCCCTCCCCTCCTCCTGTCCGAAGGTCCCCCAGGGAGCCCTGCGCACCGTGGCCCATCAGGGTTGAGCGGCACACTCACCATTGGTGTCTTGTACTTGTGGCTCACCACTTCTTTAATTTCAGGAACTAAAACCGGACGGGCAAGAGACAAAACAGAAAGTTCAACACTAAGAGCAATCGTGCCATGCTCCCCCAGGCGGCAGCGCCCGGCGTCAGGGTCCCCTTCCCCTCTGTGGCCTCTCACAGTGGCTGCAGCAGCTTAGGCTATGACAGGGCAGAGGCCACCAGAGGCTCTGTCCAGACTCTGCCAGCTGGGAGGACATGGCCCTAGCCTCCTCAGCTAGGCCTCTGTCATCCGCAGTGGCGTTTACTTGATGGCCGTGATTCTACCCACTTCTTTGAAAGCCCTGGATGGGAGGGACGGGCCTTTCACCAGCCTGGTCACAGCTACTGTCCAGGGCCCCTGAGGAGCTGCAGTGGGGAATTCCCAGGTTTTGGCTGGGAGGAGAGAGCTCTCTCTAGCTTGTGTCCAACTTTGCTGAGACACCCGTGAACTCGTCACCAGCCTGAAAATTGGGTCATGTTAAACACAGTTCCCGTTATTCCCAGCCCCCTACACAGAGGGTCTTGAGGCTGGATGAAGAGGTAACATGATATAAACCCACAGGATGTGGCAGTGTCCTTCCCTGAGTGGCAGGAGAAGCCCAGACCTGCCTGTGTGAGGGAGAGCGTCTGAGGGCTCTGGAGCAACACACCCAGCAGAAGACAGGCGAGTACAGCACCCAGGGAGGGAGGTGACAGGGAGCATCAGGCAAAATACACACATGTCCACAGCCCAGAAGGCAAGAGTGAGAGTCCCCCCGCTCCAGCCATGCAGGGGTTCTGCTTGGCCAGAGGAAGGAGTAGGCCCCCCAGGCTCAGCCACCATCATGGCCCCTTGAGACTGGGAGCAGAGGGGCCTGGCATCTCCCTGGGGGCCAGAAAAGGCAGGAGGAGAATTGGCCGTACCTTCTTCTGACCCTGGGAGGTAGAATTTGGGGGAACCCAGGGTCAGCAGGGAATAAACTCATCAAAGGTAGAGCAAGAAGCCCCAGGCCATTCTCCCGAGTTGGAAGATTCCCCCAAGTATCTCTCTGACAGAAGAGAGAAGGGAACACACGGGGAGGAAAGTCCAGTGAGCCGGTGAGAAGGGGGAGGCAAGGTAGGAAGAAAGAGGGTAGGGGAGAAAGGAAGAGACGAGCTGGCAGTGTGAGGAGCTGGTTCGATGGGAGCTACCCACCCAGGGCAGGGCCCAAGGCAGAGACCTGGGGAGAGGCAGCACGAGCCGAGGTCACTTTACCTGCTGGAGAACGAAGGTTTTCATAGCAGCGATGAGGGGCACAAAAGAATGAAGCACAAACACAGCAGGAACTCAAAGCCCCAGGGTGAGAACCCACTACACCACTCCCTAGCGCTGGCTCCCAGCTTCCGGCTACAGCTGTCCCGCTAGACTCCTCTGTCCCTCAAGTGAGTCTGCCTGCGACGCCCGGTGCCCCTTTGTCTGGCACAGAGGCCAGGTGGAGACCAGAGCGGCGCCAGGGAGGCTGGCTAGCGCACTGGGCTGCTAGAGAGATTGCAGCAGGTGACATGGACATAGTGGAGCTTGGGGGTCGCCAGTCTGCTGTGTCCCAAACTTTCTGACCACTGGCTGGCCCAGCACGGGGAGGTGGTGCTACTTCACTGAGCTGCTTCAGGACCACCTCTAAACTCGAAACCCACCTGAGGCCCCATTTGCTCTTCTGCGATCCATTATCTATCTTTCCCTTCCACATCCCGGCTCTCATCTCAGGGGTCCCTTTTCTTCCTTGTCACTCCTGCTCCTCCTGACTTCTCTACAGAGGTTCTTCTTCTCCCTGCCCCTAGACCCTCCTCTGGAGCTCCGAGGTTTGAGTTACTGCCATGTGAGTCCAGACCTAAGAGCAAAATAGTGTAATTACCAAATTCCTCCAGGACAAAGACGCCTCGAACTGTATTGCACTTTTTAATGTGATTCAGCTCTATGAAAACCTGCAAGAGAGGGAGGGAGGCCGGGGTAAGGCCCACAGGCTCCACCCCTGCCCCACACAGCACACTCTCCCAGCTACAGCCCCACCCACACAAAGAAAGTCTATTTCCCAAAGAGAGGACAGAAGAATCCACACGCACACAACTCAAAAGCGCTAAGAAGCGAAGATAGCAGAAAGGGCATGTACCTTCCGCTCCTGGCCGGAGGAGAAAGCATGGGAGAGAAATGAAGGCGTTAGTTTGAATGGTCAAACCCAACCCGAAGGCCCTGCTGCTGGCCTGGGCTGCCCGCCCGTACCCTCTGCCCAGGGCAGTGCTTGTAAGACACAGTGCCCCAGGGGTCCCCACTCAGCCCATTAGGTCTCTACCCTTCCATGCATCCTCCTCCGGCGCAGAGGGCTGGCACGGGCGCAAAGCTCCCCTCAGACTGTCCTCAGGGTGGGAGGTGTTGGTATCCTCCTTGAAACAGGATCCAGGATCTCCCAAGAGGTATGTGGTGATAATAATATCAGCTACCACTTGCTGAGCACCTACTTGGGGTTTTACAAATACGATTTCTAATCTCTGCACCTACTACGTGACACAGTAAATAGTATTACCCCCATTTTCTACATGAGGAAACTATGGATCAGAAAGTTTCTTTGCCCATGAACGTGGAAGCTGGGCTTCAAATCCAAGCATGTCCTCACACCGAAGCCTGTGCTTTTCCCATTTACCCCAGACTGCACAGCTCCACCAGGAGGTCTGCTGCCTCCTCCACTCCAACTGAACACTGTGTGGCAGAATAGGGGGCAGGTCGCTATCTCATTACTAACTGTGAGGTGAGATTGAGAACCCGGGCTTTCCTCCCCTTCTCTGCAGTCTATCTTCTAGGGGCCAAGCCTTCAACCACAGACTGGCTTGGATGGCTGCCCAGTGGGGCTATGCCAAGGGCAGGACGAGGAACAGGGCAGAGCACCTGGGCGTTGCTCAGCAAGATCTCATCTTCAGAGGCCACGGCGCTAAAATGTGGTCAGAAGTCTGCTCCCCAAGAAGTACTGACACCTTTGTGGTCCAGAAAAGCACTTAGGTAGACCCCTCTCTGGGATGGTCCTAAGGTCTTTGGGGTTGGCTACTGCCCTAAGTCCTAAATTGAAAATATACTAAGGGGCTGCTGGCAGCCTGCGCAGCCATTTCCTGTTAAACCAAAGCTGCCCAGCTACGTTCCTGAAAGAGAGCTACAACGGCTAGCGGAGGGAGGGAGACAGCCACGTCAGTCAGGCATCCACCTCCCCTGAGGGTCTGCGGCCTGGCCAGGGTCTGTGGGGCTTCACACATTTGGGTCTGGCTCAGAGCCTCAGGGAGAGGAACCCGGACATCAGGGAAAGAGGAGGGAAGGCACTTGTGTGAGGAGTCAGAGCTGTGAACGGACCTGGGATGATGCGCTGGCCTCAGAAAGGAATTAGCTTAAGGAATGTCCACTGAGAGAAAAAGGTAACACTGTGTTAAAAGACCAAGAGAGAAAAAAAAAAGTCAGCTCCTATGGTGGAATTACAATGAGGGAAAGATGTATCCACAAGTGCTCCCCAATCAAAAGAAAGGGAATGGGGCCTGTGGAGCAGGGGACAGAGTGGGAACACTCAGAGGAAGGAAAAGAACAGGAAGAAGAATCCGCAGAAGAAAAAGGCAAATAAACACACTCCAGAGAGGACAGATACAAGCTACTTACACACAAGCACGCAGGCACGCACGCACGCACACGCAAGCTGCACGCACACCAGAAAGACACAAGGAGATCGGCCAGTCTAGACTCTCAAAGCAAAACCACCAAGCAGAAGCATATCCTGGGAATAGAGGAAGGCAGAGACACTGCAGGGGAAGGGCCAAGTGAGACGCTCCCACTCACACTGTGTGGAGTCCAACGGATGGGGCAGCGTGGCCACCTGGCCTCGCTCCTGCCCAGCCTCCCCCACGGGCTCCCTGGTGCACCTTCACAGCGCCAGGTGGTCGCCAACGTCACTGTGCCCTCCCCTGGGGTTTCTTTCCTGGGTCCAGCTGCTCCAGTTCTCCCTCTAGCTCCAGAGGGCCCTCTCTCATGCTTGCTGGGGAAGTACTGGGGGCTTGGACATTGGTCCTTCTTACAGATGGAACGACAGGGAGCCTCGTGCTGCCGCTCGCACCTACCTGATTGTGCATGAATTTGAGGTTGATCCCTTCCAGGGTCACCTGCAGCAGGCCACCCTCACCAGTCTTCAGGTCCTGCACAGGGAACTCGCCACCCAATTCAGGTCCTGTGGTGAGGGAGGGGGCTATCAGCTCACTGGTGAGGTGGGGAATCCCACCCCTGACTTCCCTGCCAGGCCCCTGACACTCAGAAGGACTGGTAGAAACAGGGAAGACACTCTCAGGAAAAACTCTCCTCACCGGGTTTGATGCTTTGCTGTCGGGCGGCAGCGCGCTCCATGCTGTCCTTCACACAGTAGTACAGCTCCCGACACTGTGGCACAGGGGGAGAGTGGTCCCATCATGAGGGCTGTCCAGGGTTCCCCACCCACTGCTCTATAATGGCCACTGAAGGCTGGAGGTTGAAGTGAGGGGTAAAATTTTAAGTAGTCCTCCTATTTTTCGGATGTCTTATTCATTGTTGAGGTTATGAATGATAGATCCGGAGCATATGAATAGTATGGCTTTAAAGAAGGCATGGGTACAGATGTGTAGGAATGCTAGATATGGTTGGTTAATACCGATTGTGACTACTATTAGGCCTAGTTGGCTTGACAGAGACAGCTTTAGGTACTCCACCCAACAGCTGGAGACAGAAGTGTGGCTCCAGATGTGTGTTTTGGAATTTTAACTTCCCAAAGAGAAATTCACTATTTGGTCTTCAATGCCTACTAGCCCCAACCCAAACACAGATCCTGCGTACCTTTTTAGTATAGAACTTGTTGAGCTGGGTCTCAGAGCCATTTCTACGCCACAAGCACAACACCTTCGTCTTGGGACAGTAGGTCATGTTGATGAGCTTCTCGTACCACCAGCGCTCATACACTGTTCCGATGTTACTACGCAACACCACACAGTCATCGCACACCTGGAGAAGTGCACAAAGCGGCTCAGTGGTTCCTGTCTCTGACAGCCTCTCCCTAGACTGTTTCCTACAGGGAAAGGTGGTCCTGGGGCATCCCCATGGTCAGGTTTTCTGCCTTACGCTCATGGTTTCCCTAGGTGAAGACACAAAACAGAACTACTGACATGCTGCCTGCTACAAGGATTGTTGGAAGAGATGGAGTCATTAGAAGGAACCGATGTATAAGGGAGGAGGCACAAATCAATCAGTTATTTATTACCTCTTTTTTTTTTTTTTGAGACAGGGTCTCACTTTGTACCCCAGGCTTGACTGCAGTGGCGCCATCTCAGCTCACTGCAGCCTCGACCAGCCAGGTTCTTCCTGCCTCAGCCCCCAAAGTAGCAGGGACTACAGGTGCACACCATCACATTGGCTATAATTTTTTTTTTTTTTTTTTGAGATGGAGTCCCACTCTGTTGCCCAGGCTGGAGTGCAGTGGTGCAATCTCGACTCACTGCAACCTCTGCCTTGTGGGTTAAAATGATTCTCCTGCCTCAGCCTCCCGAGTAGCTGAGATTACAGGCACACATCACCATGCTCAGCTAATTTTTGTATTTTTAGTAGAGACAGGGTTTCACCATGTTGGCCAGGCTGGTCTCGAACTCCTGACCTCAAGTGATACACCCGTCTTGGCCTCCCAAAGTGCTGGGATTACAGGCGTGAGCCACCGCGCCCGGCCCAGTTATTTATTACCTCTTATGTGCTCTACGGACTTAAAGTATTTGGAGGAGATCTCATGCCTCCATCTTACAAGCTCAGGAATCATCTTTGTTGACAAACACAAAGGTAGGAGATCATGACAGACTTAACCAAGGAGAAAAATGGAGCTGATGCACTTTCTAATCCTGGGTCTACCCTTTTTCTATAAAAATATTTTTAAAAATTAATTACACAAGTGACACATGAACAATGCTTATTACATAAAAATGATACAATACAGGATGATATAAATTAAAAAGCAAATATCTTTGACACCTTCTTGTTCAACATTCTCTTTCAGGTGAAGTTATCTGTTCTTCTTTTTGAGACGGATCTCGCTCTGTCGCCCAGGCTGGAGTGCAGTGGCGCAATCCCGTCTCACTGCAAGCTCCGCCTCCCAGGTTCACGCCATTCTCCTGCCTCAGCCTCTCGAGTAGCTGGGACTACAGGCACCCACCACCATGCCCGGCTAATTTTTTATATATTTTTTTAAGTAGAGACGGGGTTTCACCGTGTTAGCAAGGATAGTCTTGATCTCCTGACTTCATGATCCGCCCGCCTCGGCCTCCCAAAGTGCTGGGATTACAGACGTGAGCCACCATGCGCAGCCAGTTATCCGTTCTTAAGGCTTCAAATGTTACGGGAGACATTACAGCACAATGGTGAAGGGCACAGGTCTAAAGTCAGCCTGAGTTTAGATTCCAGCTCTGCCATTACTGAGCTGTGCCACCCTGAGCAAGTTCATCTGTGTCCACAATTCCTCACAGGTAAGATGGGGATAGTAACAGTAATAACTTCCTACAGTTACTATGAAGACTAAATGAGTTAATGTGCATAAAGTATTTAAGGTGCACACAAAGCCAGGCACACAGAAAGTACCCTAATTAGCTACTAGATATCAGAACTATGATACTAATGATTATTACCATGTTGATGGTTCTTACCTTTCTCCATCTTAGACCTCTCTTCCTGAGCTCCTGAGCTTCTCAGTGTCTGGATGCTTCACATGTAGCACCTCAAACTCATTGTGTCCAAATCTGAACTCAACATCTCCTCCTGGGCAGATCCTCCTTTTAAGTCTGCTATTTGAGGAAATGGCACCACCATCCACCCAGCTGCCCCAGCCTGAAATGAAGAATTGATGCCCGACTCCTTCCTCTTCCCTCTAACTAACTACACTCCATCACTGAGTCCCATTGGTTCTAGCTCAAATATCCCTGACTGCTCTTCCACTCCCCAACCATTAACTCTTACTCTTTCTTCAAGTCTAAGCTCAAAGGTCAACTTCTCAAAGGAGTTGTCCACAGCTCCTAGGCCCTCTGGTATTTATTCTGCCCCCCCTGAGCTTCTTTCATAATGCTCACCATATTTTATAATACTCTTTAATTATCTGATTTCCCCAATAGCTTGTCAATGCTAAGGGCAATAGAAATCACGTCTGTCTTATTCACTGCTATAATCCCAACACCCAACAAAGTACCTAGCATATAATACGTGCTCCACAAATATTAGGTGAGTGAGTAAGGAACACACAAGACTATCAGGTTTAAGCTACTGTATAAGACTTTACTGGAGTTCTAAAGCCTTTGAAGAATCAGTCAAAGTGGCAGAGTAGGAATGGGAAACTTGAGTTCTAGGCCCAGTCTGACTCTGTGGTTATCTCCAGGGGGAAAATGGACAATACCACTCCACCTTTCATAATCCTTTAAGAACATCATGTAAAGGCAGGCAGAACACATTTAGGAGAACACATGATTTCTAAGCTAGAGCATTCTAGTCTAGAGAAATGCTTGTAATATACTGTTATAGTCGTCTAAGTGGCTGTTGGAGGTGTAAACTGGTATAGTTTTTGGGATGGCAATTTGGCAAAATCTACCGAAATTTTAAACGTATATAAGCTTGACTTGAAATTTTCATGTCTAGGACTATATCCTATAGAAATTCTCATGTGAGGGTGCAAAAATATATGTTCAAGGATATTCAATGAGCAATTATTATTATTATTATTATTTTTTGAGACAGGGTTTTGCTCTGTCACCCAGGATGGACTGAAGTGGTGTAATCAGAGCTCACTGAAGCCTTGACCTCCCAGGCTCAAGGATCCTCCCAACTTAGCCTCCCCAGTAGCTAGGACCATAGGCATGCACTAGCATGCCTAGCTTATTTTAAAATTTTTTGTGGAGACGGGGTTTCCCTATGTTGCCCAGGCTGGTTTTGACCTCCTGGGCTCAAGCGAACCTCCCACCTCAGCCTCCCCAGTAGCTGGTACCACAGGCATACATCACCACATGTATGACTAATTTTTAAATTTTTTATAGAGACAGGGTCTCCCTATGTTGCCCAGGCTGGTCTCAAACTCTGGGCTCAAGCAATCCTCCTGCCTCAGCCTCCCAAAGTACTGGGATTACAGGCGTGAGCCAACATGCTTGGCCTAATGAGTAATATATAAATATATATTTCATTTTTTTAAATTTTTTTTTTGAGACGGAGTCTTGCTCTGTCGCCCAGGCTGGAGTGAAGTGGTGCAATCTCGGCTCACTGCAACCTCCGCCTCCCAGGTTCAAACAATTCTCTGCCTCAGCCTCCCAAGTAACTGGGATTACAAGCACCCACCACCTCGCCTGGCTAATTTTTTGTATTTTTAGTAGAGGCAGGGTTTCACCATCTTGGCCAGGCTGATCTTGAACTCTTGACCTCGTGATCCACCCACCTTGGCCTCCCAAAGTGCTGGGATTACAGGCGTGAGCCACCACACCCAGCATGAGTAATATTTTTTTAAAAAATAGTGAGAGGCACTAGTTAAACCAATTATGGTACACCATACGACATCTAATGGCTAAGCATCCATTAAAGAAAAAAAAAAAAAGACACGGAAAGGTATATCATTAAGTGAAAAAAGCAAATTATTTAACAATATTTGTAATTTTTTTTTTTTTTTTTTTTTTGCGATGGAGTCTCGCTTTGTCACCCAGGCTGGAGAGCAGTGGCATGATCTCGGCTCACTGCAACCTCCGCCTCCGGGTTCAAGCGATTCTCCTGCCTCAGCCTCCCATGTAGCTGGGATTGCAGGCGCCTGCCCAACACGCCCGGCTAATTTTTGTATTTTTAGTAGAAACAGGGTGTCACCACGTTGGCTAGGCTTGTCTGGAACTCCTGACCTCAAGTTATCCACCTGCCTCGGCCTCCCAATGTGCTGGGATTACAGGCTCATGTGAGCCACCATGCCCAGCCCAATATTTGTAATTTGATACCACTTTCGTAAGTGCAAAAACAAAATTCCATATAAATAAATTATATTTGCACAAATATGCATTTTCAATAATCTGAAAGGAGTCACATAAAACTCTTCATTACTGGTTACCTCTGGGACAAAGGATTGAAAGGCAGTGAGTAAAACTTTTAATTATTTTTTAACTTTGGCACGGTTTGAAACATTTACAGCATATACTGTTTTACTTCTGTAACTAAAAAAAGGGCAACAAAGACAATTTTTAAAAATCTTTGGCTGGGTATGGTGGCTCACACCTGTAATCCTAGCATTTTGGGAGGCCAAGGCAGACGGATCACTTAAGGTCAGGAGTTCAAGACCATCCTGGCCAACATGGCAAAACCCCATCTCTGCTAAAAATACCAAAAATTAGCCAAGCGTGGTGATGCGTGCCTGTAGTCCCAGCTACTCGGGAGTCTGAGGTAGGAGAATCTCTTGAAGTCGGTGGGTGGATGTTGCAGTGAGCCAAGATTGTGCCACTGCACTCCAGCCTGGGTGACAGAGCAAGACTCCACCTCCAAAAAAAAAAAAAAAATTATATATATATATATATTTTCCTTGGCCAGGTGTGGCAGCTCACACCTGTAATCCCAGCACTTTGGGAGGCTGAGGTGGGCAGATCACTTGAGGTCAGGAGTTCGAGACCAGCTTGGCCAAAATGGTGAAACCCCGTCTCTACTACAAATACAAAAATTAGCCAGACATGATGGCATGTGCCTGTAGTCCCAGCTACTCAGGAGGCTGAGGCAGGAGAATCGCTTGAACCTGGGAAGTGGAGGTTGCAGTGAACCAAGATTGTACCACTGCACTTCAGCCTGGGCAACAGAGTGAGACTCTGTCTCAAAAAAAAAAAAAAAAAAAAAAAAAAAAAAAAAAAATTCCCAAACTGCTGTCCAGTTGATCATGCAAAAAGCAGGCTATGCTCTGAGAAAGGCTAAATCAAATAGCCTCACAGGAGCCAGGTGATGGCACAGTGACCATGGTGCACTCTTCCCTGGCATGGCACCACTTCGAGGAAGAGGCATCTATTTGGGTAATGGGTCCAGTCCCACACTCCAGAGACTTAGCATGAGGCTCCCTTTGTACGGTGGTGAGAGTAAGAGTAGTTCAAGGAATCTGCTGGAGATATTTTTTTTAAAAGGAAAAGAAAAGGGCAAGAGTCATGTGCCACTTCTGCTGTGGTGCAGATGTCCTAAGTCAGCCCTAGGCTCTGAGAGGCAACTAGCCAAATTCTAACACTTTAAAGGGTGACATGAAAATGACTCCTTCTTGGCTACACTGACATGTATGTTTCTGCTTCAGGGTAAGCCCTTCTTGCGTTTGGTAGACCACCTGTTCAAAAAAACTGTGAATGTGATATTCAAATTCAGCTAAACCACAGGGGAACAGATAACATAGGCAAAATTTTACTACTTTATATATAGGAGTTGTATTTGGTCCTTAAAATTACTTAGGTCTGTTTCAGAATTAAAAACACAGAAATGAAGAAAACACGGCCAATTTCCTTTATAATCCTGGAGAGTAAGGCTTTTTCTAACCATGCCTCAAAATCCAGAAGCCGTAAAAGAAACTATTGATTAATTTAATTATATAAAAGTAGCCAGGCGTGATGGCTCACACCTGTAATCCCAGCACTTTGGGAGGCCGAGGTGGGTGGATCACTTGAGGTCAGGAGTGCGAGACCACCCTGGCCAACATGGTAAAACCCCATCTCTACTAAAAACACAAAAATTAGCCGGGTGTGGTGGCAGGCACCTGTAAACCCAGCTACTTGGGAGGCTGAGGCAGGAGAACTGCTTGAACCCGGGAGGTATAGGTTGCAGTGAGCCGAGATCATGCCACTGCATCCAGCCTGGGCGATAGAGAGAGACTCTGTCTCAAAAAAAAAAAAAAGTTATATACAAATAAAAAATTTATGTGTGTCAAAAAATACCATAGGCAAAATCAGAAGACAAATGAGGAACTTTCTGGTGGGCAGATCAGGTTGCCCACATCTGAGCCCACTGATGTGTAAGAGAGGGACAACCATATGAGGCAATAGGAAGCGTATAGCACCACTCATTAAGTATTCTTCCCAAAAGAGTGAATCTGAAAGTGATCAAACCTCTAAACTGAACTACCAGTCTATGAGAAATATGTGACAGGAAACACGCTAATACAAAGGAGACACAATCAGCAAAAAATCTAGAATGTAGGAGACTCCACAGGGCAAACGATCCAATTTCTTCAACAAAATTAATGGCAAAGGGGGTATTACGTGTTATGAGACACTTAAGAATTATATCAACCAAAATTACAAATGCATTGTCCCTCTGACCCAGCAATCTCATTTCTGGGAATCCTTAGACACACTTGCACATGTATGAAATGAAGCAGGCACAGCATCATTCACAGTATGACTATCAGTAACAGCAAATTTGGAAGCAACCCAAGGATCCATATGTACTGACTGGTTAAATAAATTAAGGCACAGTCACACAGTGGAATACATGTAGCCATAAAACCAATGGGAAAGCTTTCTTGGTACTGATACAGAAGAGGACCAGGACAATGTTAAATGAAAAAAGCAAGGGATAAAGCAATGGATAAGATGTGCTATCTTTCTGAAAGAAAGGAGAAAAATAGGCCAGGCGGGGTGGCTCACGCCTATAATCCCAGCACTTTGTGAGGCTAAGGTGGGCAGATCACTTGAGGTCAGGAGTTTGAGACCAGCCTGGCCAATATGGTGAAGCCCCGTCTCTACTAAAAATAGAAAAATTATCTGGGCATGGTGGTGGGCGACTGTAATCCCAGCTACTCAGGCAGCTGAGGCAGGAGAATCACTTGAACCCAAGGGGCAGAGGTTGCAGTGAGCTGAGTTTGGACCACTGCACTCCAGCCTGAGCAAAAGAGCAACACTCTGTCTCAAAGAAAAAAAAGAAAGGAGGAAAATAAGAATTTGTGTTCATATTTTATTGTTTGCATAAAAGTCCACTGGAAGGCCGGGTGCACCGGCTCACGCCTATGATCTCAGCACTTTGGGAGGCCGAGGCGGGTGGATCAGTGAGGTCAGGAGTTGGAGACCAGCCTGACCAACATGGTGAAACCCCATCCCTACTAAAAATACAAAAAATTAGCTGGGTGCGGTGGTGGGCGCCTGTAATCCCAGCTACTTGGGAGCCTGAGGCAGGAGAATCGCTTGAACCCAGGAGGTGGAGGTTGCAGTGAGCTGAGATCAAGCCATTGCACTCCAGCCTGGGCGACAGAGTGAGACTCCGTCTCAAAAAAAAAAAAAAAAAAAAAGAAAAAGAAAAAAAAAATCCACTGGAATTTACAAAGGAAACCAATAAAAGTGGTTGTCTATAGGATGAAGGGGTGAGGGGAGTGGGAAATTCAGTGGAAGGGGACAAGAATGAGTGCAAGACCTCCCAATGTGTACTATTTTCTGTTATTCTGATTTATGAACAATGTGACTATATCATCTATATATAGATATCTTTATGTATATGTGTGTGCGCGTGTGTGTGCGCGCGCACGTGTATAAAAGAAATGGGGCCGGGCGCAGTGGCTCACACCTGTAATCCCAGCACTTTGGGAGGTCGAGGCAGGTGGATCACTTGAGGTCAGGAGTTCAAGACCAGCCTGGCCAACGAACATGGTGAAACCCCACCTCTACTAAAATACAAAAAATTGGCCGGGCATGGTGGCGCATGCCTGTAATCCTAGCTACTCAGGAAGCTGAGGCAGGAGAATTGCTTGAACCTGGGAGGTGGAGGCTGCAGTGAGCCAAGATCACACCACTGCACTCCAGCCTGGGTGACAGAGCGATACTCTGTCTCAAAAAAAAAAAAAAAAAGAAATGGGTATCATCTACTATATAAAATTTAATTATTTGAATAACAATCTGATAATTTGGCCGGGTGCGGTGGCTCATGCCTATAATACCAGCATTTTGGAAGGCCAAGGTGGGTGGATTACTTGAGGTCAGGAGTTTGAGACCAGCCTGGCCAACATGATCAAACCCCATCTCTATTAAAAATAGAAAAATCACCTGGGCTTGGTGGCTGGCGCCTGTAATCCCAGCTACTTGGGAGGCTGTGGCAGGAGAACTGCTTGAACCCGGGAGGCGGAGGTTGCAGTGAGCCGAGATCAAGCCACTACACTCCAGCCTGGGTGACAGAGCGAGACACTATCTCAAAAAAACACACACGCAAAAAACAAAAAAACCAATCTGATAATTTAATGATAAATAGATCATGAAGATGAATGAGATAAATGAGAAAAATATCCTGGCATCGGTCCTATGAGTTCCCTGTGACTCTCAATAGCCCTTTGGGCCCCCAGCATGAACCAGCACCTACCTCCATGAAAAAGATATCTCCGTTTGTATCTGTCCCTGCATGTACCACAAATGTCTGCTTCTTCATGTGCCGGCTGCCACTGGACCAGATAGAGAGATCGCGTCCATTCTGATGAAAGAGAGATTTTTTAGGGACAGTCATACATCCCTCTCAGAGGGCTCTGGGCCAAGAATTCCCCATCCAGCAATCAAATTCATATCGGCTTCCTCAGCACAGTCTCATCTGCTGGCCACTGGTCACCAGGGAAGTGGTTTCAGATGTTTTGGTCTCAGAGGCCCTATATCTCTTAAAATTTATTGAAGATTCCAAAGAGCTTTTGTTTATGTGAGTTATATTTATAGATATTTACATACTAGAAATTTAAACAGAAATTTCTCAAATGATTAATTATAAAAACAATTAATGATTAATATAACCCATTACATAGTAATATAAACATTTTTAATAAAATAACTATATTTTCAAAAAAAAGGCACTGTTTCACATTTTTGCAAATCTCTTTAATGTTTGGCTTAGAATCAAATAGTTGCATTCTCCTATCTGCCTCTGCATTGAGTCTGTTGCAGTATGTTGCTTTGGTTGAGGTATATGAAAAAAACTTGACCTCAGAGATACGTATTTGGAAAATGGAAGAGGATTTTCATAGCCTTTTCAGATAAATAGACGTATTCTTCTTTAACACTACACCAGAACTTGGGAAGCAGAAGCTTCTTTTTTTTTAGAGACAAGGTTTCGCTCTGTCATCCAGGCTGGAGTGCAGTGGCATGACCATAGCCCACCACAGCTCTGAACTCCTGGGCTTAAGTGACACTCCTGCCTCAGCCTCCCAAGTACCTGGAATTACAGGCATAAACCACAACACCCAGCAAAAGCAGCTTTTGAAAGTTAGTTGCAGTGTGGAATCTGAAAGCACATCAATGAACATTTTACATTGTTACATTAAAATCCATTTAGGCCAGACATGGTGGCTCATTCCTATAATCCCAACACTTTGGGAGGCCAAGTCAGGAGTACCGTTTGAGCCCAGGCAGGAGTTGGAGACCAGCCTGGGCAACAAAGTGAGACCCTATTCTCCATACACTTTTTTTTTTTTTTTGAGACAGGGTCTCATTCTGTCACCCAGGCTGGAGTGCAGTGGTGCTCACGGCAGCCTCAACCTCCTGAGCTCAAGTGATCCTCCCACCTCAGCCTCCCAAGTAGCTGGGACTACAGGTGCATGCCACCATGCCTAGCTAATTTTTTTATTTTTTGTAGAAATGGGGTCTCCCTTGGCTGGGCGCGGTGGCTCACACCTGTAATCCCAGCACTTTGGGAGGCCGAGGTGGGCGGATCAAAAGGTCAGGAGTTGGAGACCAGCCTGACCAGCGTGGTGAAACCCCATCTCTACTAAAAACATAAAAATTAGCCGGGCGTTGTGGCGGGCACCTGTAATCCCAGCTACTCATGAGGCTGAGGCAGGAGAATAGCTTGAACCTGGGAGGCGGAGGTTGTAGTGAGCCGAGATCGCGCCGCTGCACTCCAGCCCGGGTGACAGAGTGAGACTCCGTCTCAAAAACAAACAAACAAACAAAAAGAAATGGGGTCTATGTTCCCCAGACTGAAAAAAAATGTTATTTAAAAATTAAGATCCATATCTCTGCCTTGCATTTTGAGTAGATCTTTTATCCATACTTGAATTTACAACATCATACATTGGTATTTAGAAAATACTGTTGGCTGGGTGCCTGTAATCCTAGAACTTTGGAAGGCCAAGGTGGGCGGATTGACTAAACTCAGGAGTTCAAGACCACAGCCTGGGCAAGATGGTGAAACCCCGTCTCTATTAAAATACAAAAAAAAAAAAAAACTAGCCAGGTGTGGCAGCATACGCCTGTACTCCCAGCTGCTCAGGAGGCTGAGGCAGGAGAATTGCTTGAACCCAGGAGCCCAGGAGGCGGAGGTAGCAGTGAGCCAGCATCCTGCCACTGCACTCCAGCCTGGGCCACAGAGCGAGACTCCGTCTCCAAAAAAAAAAAAAGAAAGAAAATAGTGTTTCACTGAGTTACACAGCTCTTCCAAATGTTGACATATTTTGTAATATTAAATCAATGTTTAAAAAATCACATTCATTAATATCACCACCAATCTCATTAGAAAAGTCTTTAAATATTGGGAAGCTTCAAGTTCAAAACTCTGCCAAAATTCTTATTTTCACTTAAAAGCTGAATCTTATCATTGGCAACAAATACTGTCAGTTGTTTTCCCTGAAACAACAGGCTCACTTGATTAACTGAAGGAAAATGTCTGCCAGTTGGGTACTCTGAATAACCATGGTTTATTAATTGTCCTTTCCAGTAAAAATGATGTTCAATGAACAAAGCGATTAAGTTCACTTGCAACTCAAGGTGAACAAATCAAGGCTGCAAATTGCTTTTCTTCAAAACAACCATCATACTGGGTTTGCAACAGAGATGCTTTATGTGTACTTCCCATTTTGTCACAAAGAATATTAAAAACATTTATAATTAATCAATCTAATAAGAGTAACAGTCTTCACTGCTTCTTCAAGGACATTTACAAGCACAACTGGCATTTTTAAAAAACTAAGAGTGTAAGCCAGGTGCGGTGGTTCACACCCGTAATCCCAGAACTTTGGGAGCTAAGGCAGGCAGATCACTTGAGGTCAGGAGTTCAAGATCAGCCTGGCCAACATGGGGAATGCCCATCTCTACTGAAAATACAAAAATTAGCTGGGCGTGGTGGTGCATGCCTGTAACCTCAGGAGCTTCAGCTACTCGGGAGGCTGAAGCAGGAAAACTGCTTGAACTCGGGAGGCAGAGGTTGCAGTGAGCCAAAATTGCGCCATTGCACTCCAGTCTGGGCAACAAGAGAGTGAAACTCTGTCTCAAAAAATATATATGTATATACAAAAATTAGCTGGGTGGGCGGGCACATGCCTGTAATCCCAGCTACTTGGGAGGCTGAGGCATGAGAATCGCTTGAACCCAGGAGGTGGAGGTTGCAGTGAGCCAAGATTGCGCTACTGCACTCCAGCCTGGGCGACAGAGTGAGAGTCAGTCTCAAAAAACAAACAAACAAAACAAAAACGAAAAACTGAGAGTATATGAAGGCAAGGAATGCAATGGCTGCTGGCATAGTTTGGGGCCATTGTCTTCACTTGGGTTACAGTGCCAGCAGTTTTACCCATCACTGCGTTGGTACCATCAGTGCAAATGTAACCCCGTGAAAACAGCAAATAACATTTTAGAATCATTTGAAATCGTTTTCACCTTCTGAACCCTCAGCAGTTCACAGACCACACATCAAAACTGATGCACTACGATGGTTTTATACAGAGAATCCCATCACAGAACACAGGGACTAATGCCTCATTTACAGTCAAAGACAACTGCTCCATTTTCAAAAACGGGGTGAACTGGACTGCAAGTGACACAAACCAAGAAATGACCCATGGGGAAGCCTAAGGGGTGGCCAGACGTGCTTACCAGGTTCGCCAGCTGATCAAGCACCTCATTGATTTGCTGGCTGTACACAAGCCCAATGTGCGACTTTCCCATTAGGCGCCTCACCTTCTTGCGGATGTCATTCTTATTTACCTGAAAAGCCAACACATGACTCTTAACAAGGGATCTGCTCTCCTCCCGACTGAGGTAGAGAAAAGAGAATGTACAAGTGGGCTTCCCACCATCTGAGAGAAGTGGAATTCTGAAAGACCACATCACTGAACATGGGAGAAAACTTTCAACTGTGTATTCTGCCACCATGAGGGGAAGAAAAGTCCTGGCTCTGTCTCTAGTTAGCTTCTGCAGAAAAGTGGCTCTTAGAGCGGTTCTGGTTCCAGGGGACACTTTCTCCCTATCCCCACTCAATACCACAACATTCACCCCTACAAGGGCTCTAAAAACACCCAAGGCTCTTCATAGTGTAATTCAGAAACAATGACTTAGAGTGGCAACACCAGACTGGGTAGCCAAGACATCTCTGAAGGTTAGGGATCATCATCGTTTCTCAGCCAGAGTCAACTGGTACCCTCCAAATTCCACAGAGTACAGTGCAACTTACACCAGGAAATGAAGCACACCAAGAGGGGCTGGGGGCATTCTCTGCATTTGATCAACTGATCCCTTCACACTTAGGGAGGTTGGGGAGAACAGAAGGAGGAGAAACCCAGTGGCTCGTTCTCCAAACAATTCTCTTCTACCCATCAACTCCAGATTTATGTTTCCCTTTCAGAGCAGAACTCTTCTACTTGGTAACATACTTCTTCCACAGCTATAAAACCAAGTACAACCAAATCAAGTTAAAATCTACTATTACTTTGTTAATGAGTGGCTCTTTTTATAACTATAGAAAATTCTGTAAGATATAGGGCTGTGCTGAAAAACAAATTCTGAGCATCATTTCTTTTTTTTTTTTTTTTGAGATGGATTTTCGCTCTTGTTGCCCAGGCTGGAGTACAATGGTGGAATCTCGGCTCACTGCAACCTCCTTCTCTCAGGTTCAAGCAATTCTCCTGTCTCAGCCTCCCAAGTAGCTGGGATTAGAGGCATGAGCCACCATGCCCAGCTAACTTTTGTATTTTTAGTAGAGACAGGATTTCACCATATTGGTCAAGGCTGGTCTCGAACTCCTGACCTCAGGTGATCTGCCCGCCCTGTTCTCCCAAAGTGCTTGGATTACAGGCATGAGCCACCGCGCCTGGTCCTGAGCATCCTTTCTAAGGTTTTAAAATCTACTATTGTAAAAAAAAAAATTAATTCATTGTATTTTGTGGGAAGCTCTATTGGCACCCTAAAACTACTTAGTAAAGAGAGACCACATAAATCTCAAAATAAATAAATAATGGCTGGGTGTGGTGGCTCCTGCCTGTAATCCCAGCACTTTGGGAGGCTGAGGCAGGAGGATCACTTGAGGTCAGAAGTACGAGAGACCAGCCTGGCCAACATTGTGAAACCCCGTCTCTACTAAAAATAGAAAAATTAGCCAGGCATGGTGGTAGATGCCTGTAATCCCAGCTACTTGGGAGGCTGAGGCAGGAGAATTGCTTGAACCCGGGAGGCAGAGGATGTGGTGAGCCAAGATCGTGCCACTGTACTCCAGCCTGGGTGACAGAGTGTGACTCTGTCTCAAAAAAAAAGAAAATGAAAATAAATAAATAAATAAATACTATGGAATCATCAGTTCTTGGTCGGGCGCACTGGCTCACGCCTGTAATCCCAGCGCTTTGGGAGGCCAAGGTGGGTGGACCACTTGAGGTCAGGAGTTTGAGACCAGCCTGGCCAACATGGTGAAACCCTGTCTCTACTAAAAATACAAAAACTAGCTGGGTATGGTGGTGTGCGCCTGTAATCGCAGCTACTTGGGAGGCTGAGGCACAAGAATCACTTGAACTGGGGAGGCAGAGGTTGCAGTGAGCTGAGATTGCGCCACTGCACTCCTGCCTGGGTGACAGAGCAAGACTCCGTCTCAAAAAAAAAAAAAAAAAAAAAGAGAATCATCAGTTCTTCCTACAACACTCCTTAGTAAAACTGGCTGGCAGCTTCAGATAAATGGAACATTTGTAAGCTGGCAGAGAGGCCTCAGACTTTCAATCAAGAAGATAGCCCTAAGTTAAGATACCTTGATAGCTTCCCAGCTACCCCGAAATTTAGGCGACAGGAACAAGCCTTGCCCCTCTAGGATCAGCGGAGCTGGACACAGCAAAATTGACATTACCTTC
This sequence comes from Homo sapiens, assembly GCF_000001405.40. NCBI lineage: Eukaryota > Metazoa > Chordata > Mammalia > Primates > Hominidae > Homo > Homo sapiens. The sequence goes on along the minus strand of NC_000011.10, from coordinate 47,309,608 downwards.
ATCAGCAGCATGTAGGAGATGAGGTTGTGCAGAAGTGTGGCCAACAAGCGATCTTCATCATCTTCCAGGCGCTTCCGGTCATGTTCTCCAAGGGACAGGTACCTAAGGAGAAGACCAAGCACAAGTCAGCCCTCAAGTGGGAGACCACAGAACTAACTGGGAGGAGGCTGAGTTTGCTGATTCCCAATGGTTTCCTAAGCCCCATACCTGTCGATCATTTCCTGGGGACCCTGGTCCATACCCATCCCTTCTCTCTCCAACATCACAGCATCTAAGAAGGCATCTTCCCAGAATTGCATTTGGTCCCATAAAGTAGAACGCTCTTTGCCTGCATAGAATAAAGGTTTCTTAGGGGGCCTATTTAACATTTAAGAATATAGCTGCCAAACAAAAATAAAGAGTAAAATCCAGATAAAAGGGAATAATTACAAATTCCAGGGCAAAGGAAACACAATCTTTCTACCCCAGATCTAACATGCCTGCCACCAGCCCCAGATGCCTCCAAGTAAGGCCCAGTCCCTCCCAAGGAGGAGGGATGAACACAGCACACAAATAAATGTGGTTACTTATAGAAAAGGTCTCCATAGCTGCATCCTCTAACTGGTCCCACATGGATCCTTTGTCCCTTCCTGCCAATTTGAGAGCAGGAAGGACCATGGTAGCAAGAAAGGAAAGAAAGGAAGACAGAAAGGCAAAGGCTGTTGATTAACACCAAAACCCAATCTTGTCCAGTTTTCACCCACTGCTTGTTCTGGACCCAGTAAGTCGCTTGCTTCAGGTATAAAACTGCTATCTAATGTTAGCATTAAGATCAGCAGAAAGACAACCAGCTACTTGTTCAGTGTGACCCTCTCCCCTGGCTGAGTCAGCTTTCTCCAGTGCAAAGGGCCTTCCCAGTGTGTTTCTCACCTAGGAGTCCCTCATAGAGATAGACTCGCTGGCTCACATCTTCAGAAGTACGAATGGGGCTGCCTGCCAGCTTCTCCTTTATGCTTGGCTTCAAGCTGTGGGCTTTACCCTAGAGAGAAGAGGTGATAGGTCAGTGGCCAGAGGTAGCAATGAATAGAGACAAAGGAAACCACGCACTTCACTAAGAGGCTCTCACACCAGTCACCATCCATTAGCAACATAAACTCCAGTACCCCTGCTTCTGCAAGTCCACTTACGCTGCTTTCTGTTACTGCCTCCTAAACTATACAATAAAGTTTTCATTTTTGACTTATCTTTACTCCTTAGTCTCTGTAAGGTTATTTTCTCTTTAAAGCAACAAAAACAACAATCAGATTAATTCTCTGTGTAGCAACATAACACAGCAGAAAGAACCCAGGGTTTGCCATCAGACTGACCAAAGTTCAGATCCGTGCCTCTTATTAGCTGTGTGACCTTAGGTACAGAAATCAGCTTCGCTGAGCCTCATTTTCCTTATCTGTCAAAGGAAGGTTATAATACCTACCTCATAGGACTACTTTACAAGAATTAAATTTGAAGATACATATAAGGCACCTAACAGTGCCTAGCACCTGGCCAGTAACTGAGAAATGTTCATTTCTTCTTTCCTATCAACTCTTACTGACCCTAAAAAATATCACTAACTTCATCTGCTACTTCTGAGTAGATTTTCTATTCATTAAAAGATTTTCAGCTGGGTGCAGTGGCTCACGCCTGTAATCCCAACACTTTGGGAGGCCAAGGTGGTTGGGATCACCACGTCAGGAGATTGAGACCATCCTGGCTAACATGGTGAAACCCTGTCTCTATTAAAAATACAAAAAATTAGCTGGGTGTGGTGGCATGCACCTATAGTCCCAGCTACTCGGGAGGCTAAGGCAGGAGAATCGCTTGAACCCTGGAGGCGGAGGTTGCAGTGAGCCAAGATTGCACCACTGCACTCCAGCTTGGGTGACAGAGTGAGACTCCAACTTGGGTGACAGAATGAGACTCCATCTCACAAAAAAAAAAAAAAGATTTTCAACTAGATCAGAGGTAGGTAATATCATGCCATTTCACAACACATGAAATAGAGTAAGTAGAGAGGCAACTGATCAAAGGTTATTGGGTAAGACCTAATCAGTGTGACTAAATACCAGTCTCCTGGTTCACAGCCCAATATTTTACTAAATGGATCACGTGACTTTATATAATTTATTTCTTATTAAAACAGCCTTGTTTGAGCAAAAAAATTTAGGTCGCTACACTCAGCAGCTCTGTATAAAGAGCCCTTGCTCACCAGCATAGAACAAATACGAATTTGTCCCAGAAAGATGCCAGAAAAGGTAGCACACTGAAGCTGAATGGCTTCCTGCAAGACCGATACTCCATCATACCTATTTTAATACATTTGGAATTAAAACACACTGGAATAATTTCAAATACTCTTATTAAAGCAGCTCACTTTGGCCAGGCATGATAGCTCACATCTATAGTCCTGGCACTTTGGTAGGATGAAACAGGAGGATCACTTAAGCCCAGAAGTTCAAGACCAGCCTGGGCAACATAGCAAGAACCTGTTTCTACCAAAAAAAAAAAAAAGTATAAAAATCTCAGCCAGGAGGGATGGTGCATGCCTACAGTCCCAGCTACTTGGGAGGCTGAGGTGGGTGGATTGCTTGAGCCCAGAAGTTTGAGGCTGGAGTAAGCCATGACTGCACCAAGCCATGACTGCACCCTGCACTGCAGTCTGGGCACCAGAGCAAGACCTTGTCTCAAAAGTAAATAAATAAACATTTTTAAAAAGTTACAACAAAAAAAAACAGCCTAGGGGAGTAATGTCAGCAAGATGGCCGAGCAGCCCCTAAAGCACATCCCCCTCACAAAGAGAGGTAGAGTAATAAACAGCTATACTTTTAACAAAAATAACTGAGGGAGACTGTGGGGGTGTATCAGAAGGGTGACAGGAATGCTGATGAGCACAGAAACTCAGGATGGCCACATAGAGAACAGATGGCAATATCAGGCCTCCCCCCCATCCCCCTTCCCCCATCTAGGATCAGCTGGGAACAAGGAGGAACTTCTCCCCACAGCAAGGAAGTAAGCAAGACAATTCTAGAAACTGCCACCAGCACCTTGGACACCTACAGACTTCACCACTGGCTTCCCTACAGTCCTCTAGGCACTAAGCCCAGCTGAAGGAGCTGCCTGGAGTCCATACAGCTGTGCTCCCTCCAGAGAAGGAGCCAATACTATGCGCCAGCCCCTGTGGCCTGTGCAGCTACTGTGCTATGCCATCTTGGAAGTGGAGCTACAGTGGGATTGTGTTTTGCTCTGGGGACAGATGGCCACAGCTCCCCTTCATTCCTGAGGCTAAGCCACCAACAAACCACTCTAGCCTGATGTCTTGACAATCTAAGCCAAGCTGTGAGCAGCTATTACATGATTCCCCAAGGGGCCAAGTGGAGGCAGAGCCACTCCACCTACCCCTCCCCACTCCCCTTGGGCTGCAGCTGAAGCAGTACCCTATCCACTATGAAAACAGTACTTAGACTGCTCAGAGCAGTCAGGCCTCCCTGGTGCCTAAGGTGAAGAAGCAATCTGTATCCCAGGAAATGGTGCCTTGGCCACCCAGGGCAGTCATGCATCCTAGCACCTAACTTGAAGCGGCACCCTGCATTCCAATGATACTGTGCCTGGGTCACCCAGAACAGTCATGCCCACACTAGGCCTGTGCTAAAGCAGCACATTGTCCCCAGGGGAATTGGTGGCTGGCCAAGCTGAGCAGCTACGCATTCCAGGGCTGAGCTGACACAGTACCCCATGTCCCAGGAAACAGAGCAGTGGCTGAGCTGAGATACCTTGCCCTAGCCAAACAACTCCAGTACCCTGCTTCCCTGGAACTGGACTTGCCCCTAGAGTCTGAGCTGCTAAGATACCCTCTTCCTGGGGAGTGGAGTCATTGCTGTGCTGCTCCCTGACCCCCAGGGCCCAAATGACAGCTGTGCTCTGCCACGCTGGGGTATTCGCTGCCATTGCACTTGGCTTCACAGAGTCTAGGATACAGCCAAGCCCCACCATCCTGGAGTCTAGAGTCACTACTACATGGTGCCTCATTCCGTGGGACCTGAGCTGCCACTGAGCCCTATTGGCTCAGATCCCTGAATTGCAGCTGTACCCTGCTCCCTAGGCCCAAACCTCCAGAGCACCCCTTCTTCCACAGAGTAAGGCCAGTGCTATGGCCTATCCCCCAGTATTAGAATCACAGTTATGAGCCAGTCCCCTGGGCCTGAGCTGCTAGCGGGTGCCTCAGATCCTGGCTCTGTGGGCAACCTACATCCAACCTTGCCACAGAGAGCAAATCTGTACCCCAATACCCAGGTGCCACAATAGGTTTGTGAGACCCTAAGCCTGGAAACCTGACTCCACAGCTACTCCACGCATCTGTACCTGGAACCCAGTGCCTCTGCAGCTGCTTGTAGGCCATGTCAGTCAGACCTGACACCAAGAGGGATTCTCTTGGCTGAGTCACTCCATTGTGAGGAAAATGAGAATAGGAGGACTCCAAAACTCCTTGACACCAAGGATATTAACAACATATACCACCACTGCCACTGCCACACTTCTATAGCCTAGGACTCTTGAGGCACCCATAGTTATTGCTCATGTTGAATGCAGCTGAAGAAGCTACACAGAAAACATACCACTACATCTATCCAGAAACAGAGTTGCCATACCCTTCCCAACTGGCACACTAAAACCCAACTGCATGTGAAAGTCTTTCTCTATGAAAGCCACTCCAGAGAGTTTGGAAGAAGTGACTGTTCTGCCAGATGTGGGGTATCAACACAGAGACATAAGAAACATGAAAAAAACAAGGACATATGACTCCACCACAGGAACATAATAACTCTTTGGTAATAGACCCCAATGAAAAGGAAATCAATTAATTGCCAGAAAATAAATTAAAAGTAATGATCTTAAGGAAATGCAATGAGATACAAGAAAATACAGATAGATGATTCAACAAAATCAGAAGAACAGTTCATGATATGAATTAGAAATTCAACAAAGAGATAAAAATCATAACAAAAAAACAGAAATCTTGCAGCTGAATAATTCAATGAACAAAGTTTAAAAAATACAATAGAGGGCCAGGCGTGGGGGCTCACACCTGTAATCCCAACACTTTGGGAGGTGAGGTGGGTGGATCGCCTGAGGTTGGGAGCTCAAGGCCAGCCGAAGCAACATGGAGAAACCCCGTCCCTATTAAAAAATACAAAATTAGCCAGGTGTGGTGGCGCATGCCTGTAATCCCAGCTACTTGGGAGGCTGAGGCAGGAGAATTGCTTTAACCCACGAGTCAGAGGTTGCGGTGAGCCGAGATAGTGCCATTGCATTCCAGCCTAGGCAACAAGAGCGAAACTCCGTCTCAAAAAAAAAAAAAAGGAAAAAATACAATAGAGAACTACAACAGCAGACTTGATCAAGCAGAAGAATGACTCTATATTTGAAGATAAGTCATTCGAAATTAGTCAGAGGGAAAAAAGTTAGAATGGAAAACAGTCAAGAAGGTCTACAACACTTAGGGGATCTCATTAAGTAAACAAATATTCATATTATTGGATTTCCAAAGAGAGAAGGGGAAAGGCATAAAAAACTTATTTAATGAAATAATAGCTGAAAACTTCCCAAGTCTGGGGAGAGAGATGGACAGCCAGATCCAGGAAGCTCAAAAGTCCCCAAACAGATTCAACCCAAAAAAGTCCTCTCCAGCCAGATGCGGTGGCTCACGCCTGTAATCCCAGCACTTTGGGAGGCCAAGGCGGGCAGATCATTTGAAGTCAGGAGTTCGAGACCAGCCTGACCAACACGGTGAAATCCTATCTCTACTAAAAATACAAAAAAATTAGCCGAGCGTGGTGGTGCATGCCTGTAATCCCAGCTACTCAGGAAGCTGAGGCAGGAGAAAAGCTTGAACCCAAGCGGCGCAGGTTGCAGTGAGCTGAGATCACACTACTACACTCCAGCCTGGGTGACAGAGTGAGACTGTCTCAAAAAAAAAAAAAAAAAAGGCCTCTCCAAGGTACATTACAGTCAAATTGTCAAAAGTCAAAGAGAGAATTCTAAAAACAGCCAGAGAAGGCCGGGTGCAGTGGCTCACGCCTGTAATCCCAGCACTTTGGGAGGCCGAGGCAGGCAGATCACGAGGTCAGGAGATCGAGACCATCCTGGCTAACATGGTGAAACCCCGTCTCTACTAAAAATACATAAAAATTAGCCAGGCATGGTAGCAGGCACCTTAGTCCTAGCTACTCAGGAGGCTGAGGTAGAATGGTGTGAACCCAGGAGGCGGAGCTTGCAGTGAGCCGAGATTGCACCACTGTACTCCAGCCTGGGTGACAGAGTGAGACTCCGTCTCAAAAAAAAAAAAAAAAAAAACAGCAAGAGAAAAGTGTTAAGTCACATTTAAGGGAATCTCTATTAAACTAACAGATTTCTCTGCAGAAACTTTACAAGCCAGTAGAGAATGGGATGATATATTCAAAGCGCTGCAAGAAAAAGAATCTCAGTCAAGAATACTATACCCAGCAAAGTTGTGCTTCAGAAATGAAGGATAAACTAAGTCTTTCCCAGACATGAAAAAAAAAATGAGGAAGTCATCACACCCTTACAAGACATGCTCAAGGGAGTCCTACATCTGGAAGTAAAAAGATGATAATTACTATCATGAAAATACACAAAAGTATGAAATCCACTTGTAGAACAGACACACAAAGGAGAAAAAGAAAAGAATCAAACCTTATCTCTACAGAAAACCACCAAACCATAATGATAAATGAGAGGAAGAAACAAAGGACATACAAAATAATCAGAAAACAATTAACAAAACAACAGAAGTAAGTCCACACTATCAATAACAACCTTGAATGTAAATAGATTAAATTCCCTCACTTAAAAGGGGTAGACTGGCTGAATGGATTAAAAAAAAAAAATACTTGACCTAACTATATGCTGCCTACAAGAAACTCATTTCACTAGCAAAGACACATACAGACTGAAAGTGAAGGGATGGAGAAAGATATTTCACACAAATAGAAACCAAAAGCAAGCAAGAGTAGCTATAATTATATCAGATAAAACAGACTTTATGTCAAAAACTAAAAAGAGGCTGAGCACGGTGGCTCACGCCTGTAATCCCAGCACTTTGGGAGGCCGAAGCGGGCAGATCACAAGGTCAGGAGTTTGAGACCAGCCTGGCCAACATGGTGAAACCCTGTCTTTACTAAAAATACAAAAATTAGCTGGGCATGGCAGCAGACACCTGTAGTCCCAGCTACTTGGGAGGCTGAGGCAGGAGAATCGCTTGAACCCAGGAGGTGGAGGTTGCAGTGAGCGGAGATTGCGCCACTGCACTCCAGCCTGGGCGACAGAGTGAGACTCTGTCTCACACACACAAAAAAAACCTAAAAAGAGACAAAGAAAGTAATTATGTAATAACAATAAGAGGATATAACAATTGCAAATATATATGCATTCAACACAGAACAGCTATATAAAGCAAGTATTATTAGATCTAAAGGGAGAGATACACACCAATACAATAACAGTTGGGGACTTCAATACCCCACTCTCAGCATTGGACAGATCATCTAGACAGAAAATCAACACAGAAATACCGGATTTATACTACATTTTACATTTAGATTGCATTTTAGACCAAATGGACCTAACAGACATTTACAGAACATTCCATCCAACAGGTGTAGAATACACATTCTTTTCATCAACACCCAGAACATTCTCTAGGACAGACCACATATGAGGCCACAAAATAAGTATAATGAGAAATTTAAGAAAACTGAAATCACAGCAAGTATCTTTTCAGACCACAAAGGAACACTGTGCTCTGAAAATTAGAAATAAATAACAAGAAACTTTTAAAATCATACAAATAAATGGAAATTAAACAATATGCTCCTGAGTGACCAATGGGTCAACAAAGAAATTAAGAAGGAAATTTAAAAATTTCTTCACACAAATGAACATAAAAACACAGCATACCAAAACCTATGGGATACACCAAAAGCAGTATTAAGAAAGAAGCTTATAGCAATAAACGTCACATCAAAAAAGTAGGAAGATTTCAAATCAACTTAATGATGCAGCTCAAAGAATTGTGAAAGCAAGAACAAACCAAACCCAAAATTAGAAGAAATAATCAAGATCAGAGCAGAAATAAAACTTGAGACTTAAAAAAATAGGCCGGGCGTGGTGGCTCATGCCTATAATCCCAGCATTTTGGGAGGCTGAGATGGGTGGATCACCTTAGGCCAGGAGTTTGAGACCAGCCTGGCCAACATGGCAAAACCCCATCTCTACTAAAAATACAAAAAAAAATTTAGCCGGTTGTGGTGGTGGGCACCTGTAATCTCAGCTACTTGGGAAGCTGAGGCAGAAGAATCACTTGAACCTGGGAGGTGGAGACTGCAGTGAGCCAAGATTGCACCACTGCACTCCAGCCTGGGCAACAAGAGCAAAACTCCATCTCAAAATAAATAAATTAATAATCAACAAAATGAAAAGTTCATCTTTGTAAAGATAAACAAAATCCACAAACCATTAGAGCTAGACTAACCAAAAAAAAAAAAAGAGAGAGAGTGAAAAGACCTCCACCAAGAAAACACCAAAAACAAAAAAGTAAACATTACAATTGACATCACAGAAAAACAAAAAATCACTGGAGACTATAACTATATGCCAACAAATTAGAAACGGATAAATTTAGACATAGACAACCTACCAAGATTTAACCAAGAAACAGAAACCTGAATAGTCCAATTTCAAGTAATGAGATTGAATCTGTAATAAAAAGCTTCCCATCACAGGGCACGGTGGTTCACGCCTATAATCCCAGCACTTTGGGAGGCTGAGGCGGGCAGATCACTTGAGGCCTGGAGTTCAAGACTAGCCTGGCCAACGTGGTGAAACTCTGTCTCTACTAAAAATACAAAAATTAGCCAGGCATGGTGGTGAATACCTGTAATCCCAGCTACTCAAGAGGCTGAGGTATGAGAATTGCTTGAACCTGGGAGGCAGAGGTTGCAGTGAGCCAACATCACACCATTGCACTCCAGCCTGAGCAACAGAGCGAGACTCTGTCTCAAAGAAAAAAAGCTGGGCGCAGTGGCTCACGCCTGTAATCCCAGCACTTTGGGGCGGGCGGGGGGTAGATCACTTGAGGTCAGGAGTTCGAGACCACCCTGGCCAACATGGTGAAACCCTGTCTCTACTGAAAATACAAAAATTAGCCAGGCGTGGTCGTGGGCGCCTGTAATCCCAGCTACTTGGGAGACTGAGGCAGGAGAACTGCTTGAACCCGGGAGGCGGGGGTAGCAGTGAGCCGAGATCGCACAACTGCACTCCAGCCTGGGCAACAGAGCAAGACTCCGTCTTAAAAAAAAAAAAAAAAAAGAAAGAAAAAAGAAAAGAAAGCCTCAGGACCCAATAGCTTCAATGCAGAATTCTAAAAACATTTAAAGAAGAACGAATACCAAATACAAAAGTATTTGATAAAAGTCAACATTCCTTCATGATAAAAGCTCTCAACAAGTTAGGTACAGAGCGAACATACCTCAAAACAATAAAAGTCATATATGACAAACCCACAACCAACATCATACTGAATGGGGAAAGATGAAAGTTTTTCCTCTACAATCTGTAGCAAGACAAGGATGTCTACTTCCACCACTTTTATTCAACTGGAAATGCTAATCAAAGCAATTGGCCAGAGAAAGAAATAAAGGGCATCCAACTTGGACAGAAGGAAGTCAAACTGTCCCTAAAATTAGGCTGGGTGTTGTGCTTCACACCTGTTAATCCTAGCACTTTGGGTGGCCAAGGCGGGTGGACTGCTTGAGCCCAGGAGTTCTAGACCAGCCTGGGCAACATGGCAACACCTTGTCTCTACAAAGAATACAAAAATCAGCTGGGCACGGTGGTGCATGCCTACAGTCCCAGCTACTCGGGAGACTGAGATGGAAGGACTGCTTGAGCCTGGTTCCATCTAAAAAAAAAAAAAAAAAAAAAAAAAAAGCCCTAAAATCTCCACTAGAAAACTCAGAACTAATAAGTGAATTCAATAAACTTGCAGGATACAAAATCAACATAAAAATCAGTAGTGTGTCTATATACCAACAATAAAATAGCAGAAAAAGAAATCAAGAAGGCAATCTCATTTACGATAGCCACAAATTAATGCCCTAAGAATAAATTCTTAGGAGAAATTTATCTTTTATGAAGGAGGTAAAAGATCTCCATGAGGAAAAATAAAAAACACTGATGTAAGAAAGAGTATAGGGAAAAAATGGAAAGATATACCATGTTCATGGATTGGACGAATATTGTGAAAATGACCATACTACCAAAAGTGATCTACAGATTCAATGCAATCCCTACCAAAATACCAACGGTATTCTTCACAGAAATAGAAAAAAAATCCTAAAATTCATATGGAACCACAAAAGACCCCAGATAGCCAAAACAATCCTGGACAAAAAGGAATCACACTACTAGACTTCAAAATATAAGACAAAGCTATAGTAACCATAACTGCATGCTACTGGCATAAAAAACAGACCCATAGACCAATGGAACAGAATAGAGAACCCAGAAAGAAATCCATATATTTATAGCCAACTGTTTTTTGACAAAGGAACCAAGAATATTCACTGGGGATAGGGACAGTCTCTTCAATAAATGCTGCTCGGAAAACTTGATATCCATTATTCAGAAAAATAAAACTAGACCCCTTAGCTCTCACCATATACAAAAATCAACCCAAAATGGATTAAAGACTTAACTGTAAGACCCAAAACTATAAAACTACTAGAAGAAAACGTAGCAGAAATGCTTCAGGACATTGGTCTGGGCAAAAAGTTTATGGAGACCTCAAAAGTACAGGCAACAAAAGCAAAAGCAAAAACAGGATTATATTAAACTAAAAAGCTTCTACACAACAAAGGACACGATGAAATGAGTGAAGAGACAGTCTGCAGAATGGGAGAAAATATTTACAAACTATTCATCTGACAAGGGATTAATAGCCAGAATATACAAGAAAGAAAAAACTCAACAGCAAAAAAACACAAATAATCTATTTAAAAATGGGCAAATGAGCTGAATAGATCTCTCTCAAAAGAAGACATACAAATGGCTAACAGGTGTTTTGGAATAATGGGCCTCTACACAGGCCTTGAAGCCAAACTGCTGTAGACGGTTCTCACTGCCGCTTCCATTTATGAGAAACTGATGGTTGCTATCTTCACAGTTATGCGGCTGAAGAGTACAAGCAAGCACTGAGATGTCTTATAGTAAAAAGTTCAGAAGATGCTCAAGGTGGAGGATTTTCTTCTAAGCGAAGAGAAGTAATTTTCCTATTACTCTGGCTCCTTCCACCACAAATGTCATCCTTATTGGTTTGAAAAGCATCTAAAAGTAAACAGGAAGTATAGCAGGCTAGCCCCGTTGCCAATTTAATTTTTACGATCCATGGTTAGATTTTGTGGTGAAGGTTGAACTAATATGTAAAGAAGGCCGGGCGCGGTGGCTCATGCCTGTAATCCCAGCATTTTGGGAGGCCGAGGTGGGCAGATCACAAGGTCAGGAGATTGATACCATCCTGGCTAACACGGTGAAACCCCATCTCTCCTAAAAATACAAAAAATTAGCCGGGCATGGTGGTGGGCGCCTGTAGTCCCAGCTACTCGGGAGGCTGAGGAAGGAGAATGGTGTGAACCTGGGAGGTGGAGATTGCAGTGAGCAGAGATCGCGCCACTGCACTCCAGCCTGGGCGACAGAGCAAGATTCTATCTCAAAAAAAAAAAAAAAAAGAAAGAAAGAAAGAAAAGAAAAGAAAACATTATTGAAAACCCTTGGCCGGGAGCAGTGGCTCACGCCTGTAATCCCAGCACTTTGGTAGGCCAAGGCGAGCAGATCACGAAGTCAGGAGATCAAGACCGTCCTGGCTAACATGGTGAAACCCCATCTCCACTAAAAATACAAAAAATTAGCTGGGCGTGGTGGCGGGCACCCGTAGTCCCAGCTACTTGGGAGGCTGAGGCAAGAGAAGAGTGTGAACCCAGGAGGCGGAGCTTGCCGTGAGCCGAGATCGCACCACTGCACTCCAGCCTGGGTGACACAGCGAGACTCCATCTCAAAAAAAAAAAAAAGAAAAGAAAAGAAAACCCCTAATAAACTGTCAGCACAAAAGAAAAATCAATCACTCAATCAGCCAATCAGTCTGTTCAGACTGAGAGAGAGTTAAGGCCCATTAACTTGAGTAGCCTCTCAGTCCTATTCCCAATCTCCACTCTGGGAGGTCACTGACTCTATTAAAAACACACATACAGAAGGCTCTGGGGGTGGGAATGATAACCAGTTTTAAATAGTTGGTTTCATTTAACTTTTATCTTCCTTTCTCCCCATAGGCCTTAAAGATAAGGACCTATGCGTATAAGCTCTTGTAGAGAACATCCATTCTCATCTCTGTTTAATAAAGTAACAAGTCTATCAGTGTTTTAACACAGCCTATAGAGGCACATACACATTAAAAAGCAGAGGCTGGGCACAGTGGCTCATGCCACTTTAAGAGGCCAAGGCAGGAGGCTCACTTAACCCAGGAGTTTGAGACTGGCCTAGACAACAGAGGGAAACCCCATCTCTACAAAAAACTAAAAAATTAGCCAGGCATGGTGGTGTATGCCTGCAGTCCCAGCTACTTGGGAGGCTGAGGTGGGAGGATCACTTGAGCCTAACAGGTCAAAGCTGCAGTGAGCAGTTGAGCAGTGACTGTGCCACTACACTCCAGCCTGGGCAACAGAGTGAGACCCTGTGTAAAAAAAAAAAAAAAAAAAAACAACAAAAAACAGATGTCTACGGCAAGGACTAAAAAGAATTCATCTCCTTCCAGCTGATCATGGGCTTACTGTGTGATCTAGGGAAGTTCTTTTTTCCTAAGGCATTGTTCCCCTCACCTATTAGAAGAGACTACTCACAGCAATATAGTGAATCACAAACTTCTTGAGTAGAAACCATGCCTTTTTCATCCCTGTTTCTTTAGCACAAAATCTGGCACTTAGTAAATCACTTCATGGATGTTTATTAATGAATGAAAACTTCAAATAACTGTTAGGAATATACTAAAATAAAATGCTATTTTATTTATAAATAGAGCAGTGACCAAAATAAAACTGGATAGTCCATAGAAATAGGCAGACTGGTACTAAACGAGAGCTGTAATTGTCCTGACATTGCCACAAAGGTATTACTTTGCCTGTGTTAAACCTGGGGGTTAATACTACATAGGATTCAAAGCCCTTACGTGACTGGGCACGGAGCCTAACTCATCAATGATTCAGGAGAGGGTTCTAAAAGCCCCAGATTGTGAGTCAAATGACTCTGAACAAAGCCTTAAGAAATGTTTTCCTTAAAGCCAAATATAAGAAGATTACCTCTTCCTTATTTAACCTTTACCTCTTTAGCGTCTCTTAACTTTCATTCTTTTCTTGCCTGCTTCCCTCCCCCATTAAAGAAATGGTTTTCTTTTGTTAATAAACAAAGCTTACAAAGATGGTGCTTGTGGCAGAGTTGGTCTCAATTTCACTATCAGACAAAGTGCCCCGAGAGCTTGCCAGGTGAACACTGCCCTCGCCACCTGGTCCATCACCTGCATTGCTGCTCAAGTCACTGTCAGCTCCAAGGGTCTCTCCAGAGCTATTACTCACCTGGAAAGGAAAAAAGGTAGTAAGAGACAGTCCCCAGGGATGGGCCCCAGAAATACCAAGCTGTTAGAGCTCCCTGCCACCATAAAAAAGTATTAAATTTCAAAAGTGTGTCAGATAGCCTCTGGAAGTACCTTCTTTATAAGATGAGAAGCTCTGGGTGAAATCTCGTATACACACACCTATGATGGTAAACATCTCCACCATGAGAACCATGCTGACCTGAGACTCAGAGCAGCCTCCAAAGAGAAAGTAGCACCCTTTTCCAAAGGGGAAATCCACACCCCACCCACCAAGATGCCAGTGTGGTGTTCCCCTACCACGGTGCTAACTTCAGAATCCTGACTTGAGCTGCGGATCATAACAGCTGGACTCACGCCGATGACAGAGTCTTGATCAGTCCTCTGAAACAAGACACAGGAACATTAGGGGAGGTGTCCAATCTCCTCTCAGTTTCCCACAGAAATACTGTACCTTTTTCTTTCTCCTCATCCCCACCCTTCTGTTATCATCCTTAGAGAAGTCACGAGCAACTTTTGTTTCCAGAATATAAAATATGTACAACTTATGTAATAAAAAAAAGAAATAGGCCGGGCACAGTGGCTCACGCCTGTAGTCCTAGCACTTTGGGAGGCTGAGGTGGGAGGATCATTTCAGCCCAGGAGTTGGAGACCAGGCTGGGCAACATGGCGAAACCCCATCTCTACAAAAAATACACAAACTTAGCCAGGCATGGTGGTGGGTGCCTGCGGTCCCAGATGCTCAGGACGCTGAGGTGGGAGCATCACTTGAGCCCAGGAGTTTGAGGCTGCAGTGAGCAGAGAGCACACCACTGCTCTCCAGCTGCAGCGACAGAATGAGACCCTGTCTCAAAAAAAAAAACAAAAAAACAAAAAACAATGCGTTAAAGAAGTACATGCTCACTGTAGAAAATACATGAAAGAATAAGGAAATAAGAACAAGCTGTAAATCTACCTCCCACGTTAACCACTGTTTTTAGTATATTTCCTTTCAGTTTTTTCTCAATACATTTTAAAAATAAAATTGGAGTCACACTATAGGTAGCTTTGTTAAACAGTTTCCCATGTCACTAAATTTTTGAAAACACAATCTTTAATGGATACTAATATTGCATTACATGGATCTATTATACTTATTTAATAATTCCCTTATCATTAGTTATTTATATTGTTTTGAGGTTGTTCATTTTTTTTTTTTTTTTTTTTTTTTGAGACGGAGTCTCACTCTGCGGCACAGGCTGGAGTGCAGTGGCGCAATCTCAGCTCGCTGCAACCTCTGCCTCCCGGGTTCCAGTGATTCTCCTGCCTCAGCCTCCTAAGTAGCTGGGATTACAGGTGCCCGCCACCACACCCAGCTAACTTTTGTATTTTTAGTAGAGACGGGGTTTCACTACGTTGGCCAGGCTGGTCTCCAACTCCAACTCCTGACCTCAAGTGACCCACCTGCCTCGGCCTCCCAAAGTCCTGTGATTACAGGCATGAACCACCGCACCTGGCTATTTTATTTTTATTTTTATTTTTTTTTTTTTTTGAGATGGAGTTTCACCTTTGTTGCCCAGGCTGGAGTGCAACAGCACAATCTCGGCTCACCACAACCTCCGCCCACCGGTTAAAGCATTTCTCCTGCCTCAGCCTCCCGAGTAGCTGGGATTACAGGCATGCGCCACCATGCCTGGCTAATTTTGTATTTTTCATAGGGGCGGGGTTTCACCATGTTGGTCAGGCTGGTCTCGAACTCCCGACCTCAGGTGACCCACCCGCCTCGGCCTCCCAAAGTGCTGGGATTACAAGCATGAGCCACTGTGCCCGGCTGTCTGACTGTTCTATTTTAACTTAAAGAAGTATTCTGAGACAGCATATTTAATACTTGCAAATTTCAACAAGGTTGTCACAAACCTGGGAACTAGACGTCAGGCTCACACCACTGTCTGCGCTGATCTGGGACTTTTTCTCCTCTGTCTCACCAAGGTCAAAGACAGGTTTGATTACTTCAGGCCCTGAGTAGGGGAAGACTTCTGTTACTCCGTGCACAAAGGCTAGGGGCAGGCTGGTAAAGGGGGTGGGACGGCAGCACAGGCTGTTCCCAGACCCGTTCAGCCCATCCTAGTCACCTTTCCAAGGACTACCCCCCACTCAGGACCCACTGGAAAAAGAGGACCCCAGATGCCTTAAGAACCAAGTAGGACAAATCAGACCTGGTCTCAATGGGTTCTCCAGCCATCTTCTCAACCTGAGAAAATTCTGAGCAAATCATCTTAAAACAGAGAAGCTCCACAAGGCTGGGCATGGTGGCTCACGACTGTAATCCCAGCACTTTGGGAGGCTGAGGCAGGTAGATCACCTGAAGTCAGGAGTTTGAGACCAGCCTGGCCAACATGATGAAACCCTGTCTCTACCAAAAAATACAAAAATTAGCCGGGCGTGGTGATGCACACCTGTAATCTCAGCTACTCGGGAGGTTGAGGCACGACAATTGCTTGAGCCCTGGAGGCAGAGGTTGCAGTGAGGCAAGATCGTACCACTGCACTCCAGCCTGAGCAGCAGAGCAAGACTCCATCTCAAAAAAAAAAAAAAAGAAAAGCTCCACGAACAAATGTCTAAACCACATTCCATGGCACTCAAGAGTCTGAGCTTCACTGGTACCTGAAACCATTTAATGGTCCCCAGGTCCCTTAATGCTTCCCAAACAAATGTGTCTAAAGGAGGTAGAAAAGGTTGGGCCCGATGAGATAAGAAACACCAGCTGTTTTGGTGGGCACTGCCTACCTCCATCCTACAACTTCTATGTTTGAGATGAAAACCACCCCCCTTGTCCCCCACCCACCCACAATGGTATGGCAGAAAGACAGAATGACAGAAAGCAAGAAAGCGTGCCTAGGCAAGCCACCAGAGAGTGGGGCAGCTACAGACTCAACATGGAGGGACAGCAACCATCTCTGCCAACTGTGCCCACAGGCCTTCTAACAGGTGTGGGAGATATCAGCCAATGGGGGGCACTAAAATAGGCAAACATTCTCCCCACCAACTCTGAAGCAACAGAGAACCAAGTTCTGGGGAGTTGTATTCAGTAGACACCTGGTTATAGCCTGATTGACACGAGGGGAGGGGGAAAGAAGCGGCCTACACACACCTAGGAGTCACATGCTACCTACCTGCTGCCATTCCAAACACGCTCTAAGAGCAAATTTGGGGTGGGGCTGACAAAGGGAGCCTGCCCCAACTGGGCCTGGGGAGTTGGCAGGTATGGAGGACTTGGGAACAGGAAAGGGCATTTGTTCCTTACTCTGTTTTTCCAAAGCTTTTTGCTTTTTCACTTCCTGGTGCTTGTTCCACAATTCTACCCCAGATGCAATGCAAGCAGGAGAGAAAGACAGAAAGTCAGAGGCTGGTCAGACAGACGAAATGGAAACCCACCCACCCAAGTCGATTCAGTCTCAGGCACTGGATTACCAACCAAGAGATACAAAGATATCTTCATGGGGAGAAGGGGCAGAAAACAAGAGATCTAACCCCTCCACCCAAACTCATGAACAGATTCCAAATTTCTAATTCCAATCCCAATGTGGCAGTAAAAACCCTGCAGAATGTTAGAGCTGGAAGTGCCCTTAACAAAGCTCCTTCATTTTTGCATGAGGAACTGGTCCTAAAGAGGCTGGAGCACTTGATCAAGATCATGTAACTTAGGATCCATTTAAACTCCCACCATGCCACACACTCTCTCTACCAAATGAGCTGGGGAAGGGCAATTTTTCAGATTCCAGATGAGACAGATGAACACCTCAAGCAGCCAGAGTTTCAGAAGGAAGAACACCAATCTTTGCTTGATTCACTGGACTGAACAAAGGCCAATTCATGCAGGCAGTTAGCATCCCTCCTCATTGCTCCTCAAGAAACCAACTCACCCCTACCTGCCCTACCCACCAGTGATCTGGAAAAATGCCTCCAGTTGAGGTGACAGAGAACATAAAATGGTCAAGACCAGCATCTTCATAGGGAAAAGCAGACAGAATGGCAACCACAGCAATTCTTTTCCTGGAAGGAACTTCAGAGTGTACTTAGTATGATTTCCTCATTTCCCAGATGAAGAGACAGATACCCTGAGAGGTGAAGTTATTTGCCCAAAGTTGCATTCCTAGTTGGAGGCTGATATGGGACTAAAACTCCAGATCTCCAGACTAGCAGGTCAGTACATTTTCTACAACATCACATGAGGCAGGAGAAAGCCAGGAGTTGACTGCTACTAGAATAATATTCTGCTGGCTAGGGAAGTGTAGCTCCCCTAAAAAGGAATCTGGTTCCATGTCACCATTTATGGGAGCATATGGCAACTGCTAATGGCCATGGCAATGAGATGTCAGCTGGAAGCAGAGTGCCTAGGGACCTAGAACCAGAAAAAGAAAGATCCAACCTCGATGACTCAAGGTCAAGCAGGGAGTGAGCCAAACAGAGGTGATGCCTAGAAAGCTCACTAAGGCACTGCCTTTGTGGGAACGGAGAAACACCAAATGTAAACGAGATTATAATCAAGTCCAGTGAAGAAGCATTTAAAGAACTGACTTGGAAACCTATACCTCAAAGATCCAGAACCCAGGGAAATGGGGTTGCCAGGCATGCCCCAGAGGAGCACATTCCAGAGGAGTATAATGGTTGGATGGGAGGACACTGGCTTCAGAGACACAAATGTCATAATTTTATAGCCCAAAAATGCATCTATAAACTTCCTGAGCACTTCCAGGAATTCTCTCCACTATGTGAAGAAATGCAGACGTAAATAAAAGGAGGGGCCAGGAGTACAGCTCACACCCCCTGCAGTAAGCCTCATTGGGCCCTCTAAACAAAACTTACCATTCTTCATCTAAGATACGGGGTGGGGGGTGGCTGTGGATGAAGCATAAAGACTAGAGAAGTACAAAGAAACACCACCAGAAATGGACACAGGCCCCCTTCCCTCTCTAAGAAGCAAAGCATGGGGCAGAGAAAGGCAGGATTCTGGATGAATTGAGGAGAAAGGGATATTTAAGAAGCCAGGACCCCTCCACCACACCAAACACACTGATACGTACCAATAGATGCTATAAAATTTTCTTCCTTTAAACTTCTGGTGTCCAGTTCCTTAGGACCCTTTCCTGTGGCACTTGGTGCCCGAGGTCCCAGTTGTGGAACTCTCAGTTGTGCCATAGCCTTTGGGTCCCCCCGCCCAGCTAGGCCAGGATCCTTGCCAACTGGGGTATTTACACTTTCTGTTGGACTTCTCTTCCGCTTGTCTGGTTCTGAGGGAAAAATATCAAGAGGTCAAGAGAAGTAGTGAGTAGGAATCAAGGCGCAGATATGAGGTGGGAGGAGCCAGGATACAGGAGGGTGCGGAATGGAAGAAGTTCAAGGAAAGATGAGCTGATGTCTTATTTTTCGTAACAAAGAATACCCACTGCGTATAAACATGCATTAGAAAATAAAATCCCAAAGCCTAATGGGAAGCAGCGTGGCACTGGGAAACGTGTCCTGGGTACACATATATTTTCTCTTCAGGAGACAAGTGGCAGAGTTAGGGATGGCGTGGTGCCCAGCAAGTACGATCCCTACCTTTACTATAGTAGTGGGTCTGGGCAATCTCCAAAAGCCCAAAGATGCTGGCCATGCCACCCAGACCCGCGTGGGCATAGGACTGCTCCAAGCTGAGGACTGTACACTTGAGGAGGTCTAACATTCCCTTGTACACCTTCCGACTGATCTCCTGCAACAATAACCCAGGGGCTAGCGTTGGCAAATTGCCTGTGGTGTTCACATCCCTCTCTCCAGTTACTCCGATTCCCTACCCCCAACACTGACCACATCCGGGATGATGTCCTGCCGGGCATCGTCCTCTGACTGCACCATGCGGTTCAGCTTGCTCAGGACAAAGACTCGCAGCTGCTCGCTCTCCAGCAGCCGGCGCACCTTTTTCATGTTGAGCCAGCCAACTCCCTGGCCGTCCAGCACGCTGTGCACCACCTCCTTCAGGAACTGCTGGTTCTCACTACAGGGTCCACACACCGCTTCTGTGGTCATCAGCTCCTTTGCAGAGCACCCCCCACCTTTCACCCAGACTAGATGTCTGCCTCCAGGGGTAAAACACAAAGCCATGTCTCTGAATGTCCAAGTGCACCACATCCCCACCTCTCTGGAGCACGCGATTTGTCCAAATACCCACCGCTGCTGATTAACCCCCCTCAACACTGTAAGCTTTCAGTTGCATGGAGATCAAGCCAGAATGAGAAGTGCTGGCAAGAAATTGATTACATCTACCCCATTGAGAGCTTCTCTCCCACTCTTGAGCATCCCTAAAGTTCTGTAGAGGAACCACCCCACCTCTGCCTGAGAACTTTTAAAACAGCTCTACCATTTATTACCTAGAATTGCTGGATCGACCCTGGGGTGATGGAGGTTCTCTTTTCACTGTTGGGCTGTGTTTAATGACAGATGACTTCTGATCCACTAACGCCCTCCTGTTTCCTGTGGCAGGGAAGGCAGGAATGAGAGACATCACTATTGTAGTACAGGAGCTCATGCCAGCACAGCCCTAAGTAGCCATGTTCCATGCCCGTTCCTCAGAAGGGCTGGGTGAGGGTAGCACCAAGGCATCATACGTAGGTAGAAACCAGCCATGGCAATGTGGAGGAGGTGGGGATGGAGACTCAGGCCACTCCACATGCACCAGCAGCAAGCCCCATGGGCAAGCATGGGCGTCACGGGGGACGGGGCAAGCAGGTCACTCATGTGACGCTGCTTGCTCCATGAGAAGGATGGCCCTCGGGCAGGCACAGAAGATGCTAGAGAAAAAAAAAAGATCATGCACAGCTCACAGGCAAGACCCACCTTCACCACTCCCGGGGCCGGCTTCAGTAACAATCTCCATTAGAGTATTTAGCCCAAATACTGGGACACAAAATACACAATTAGTAGGTGTACCACAATACCGCAACCCCTCTACCCCTCCGAGGAGCAGTAAGCCAGATAATCTGAGCATTCTCCCAAAGCTTGAGGAATGCACATAACCTTGGTTCTTGGGCACCTCAGAGCTGGAAGCCAAGTGACCAGGAGACAACCAAGGCTCTAAGAAAAGACCACCCTTAAAACTGGCCTCTCAAGCCAGGGGCGGGTAAATGACACAGGGAGCCTTCAGGTACTGAACACACACATGCATGAAACAGGGACCGCTGGTTTTCAGAAAACATCCAGCACAGAGGGCCAGGGGCCTGAGGGTATGTGCAGGGAAGCAACCCATCTTGCAGATGCTGTTGTGGGGAGTGGGGTCAGGGTATGAGGATGGGAGATGGGTGAGAGGGTAAGTGCAGCAAATGCGACAAAGCATCAGCATGCAATGAAAGAGTTTCAATCGCTCTTCTCTTCAAATGTACCAAATGAAGGCCAGTGACACTGACACCCTTCCATCCTTAGCCTACCCGGCCACATGTGGATTCCCTGGCAGTGCTAGTTCGCTCCTTTCACTGCCAGCTCTGATGTCCTTTTGCCCATTTATCCAATGTTCCCATCCTCACCTAAGAACATGTCTTAGACTCCTGACAACTTTGTTTGTTTCTGTTGGCTTCTTTTAGAGACAGGGTTTCACTCTGTCGTCCAGGCTGGAGTGCACTGGCCTAATTATAGCTCACTGTACCTCAAACTCCTGGGCTCAAATGAACCTCCTGCCTCTGCCTAACAAGTAGCTAGGATGACAGGTGTGAGCTACTGCACCCAAGTAACCTGACATTTTTTACCACTAGGAATGAGAGGTCAGTTAAAGAATACATGAGGTTGGCCAGGTGCGGTGGCTCACGCCTGTAATCCCAACCCTTTGGGAGGCCAAGGCGGGTAGATCACAAGGTCAGGAGATCGAGACCATCCTGGCTAACACGGTGAAACCTTGTCTCTACTAAAAATACAAAAAATTAGGCAGGCGTGGTGGCAGGCTCCTATAGTCCCGGCTGCTCAGGAGGCTGAGGCAGAATGGTGTGAACCCGGGAGGCGGAGCTTGCAGTGAGGCAAGATTGCACCACTGCACTCCAGCCTGGGCAACAGAGCGAGACTCTTGTCTCAAAAAAAAAAAAAAAAAAAAAAAAATACATGTTTCTCACTGCACTTCCTACCACAGTTAAATATTTCGTCATACCATCCAGAGAAAACAAAAAAATCAGGCCAGGTGCAGTGGCTCACACCTGTAATCCTGGCACTTTGGGAGGCCAAGGTGGGCAGATCACTCAAGGTCAGGAGTTCAAGACCAGCCTGGCCAACATGGTGAAACCCCGTCTCTACTAAAAATACAACAATTAGCCAGGCGAGGTGGTATGTGCCTATAATTCCAACTACACGGGAGGCTGAAGCATGTGAATCACTTGAGCCTGGATGGCGGCAGTTACAGTGAGCCAAGATCACCACCTTGCACTCCATCCAGCCTGGGTGACGGAGTGACACTGTCTCAGAAAATAAAAAAAATAAAAAATCAAATTCAGAAAAGCCCCTGAAACTGTCAGATAGCACAAACCAATTCAAATAAGGTTTCGTTTTTTGTTTTTTGTTTTTTTAAGACGGAGTCTTGCTCTGTCACCCAGGCTGGAGTGCAGTGGCGCGACCTCGGCTCACTGCAACCTCCGCCTCCTGGATTCAAGCGATTCTCCTGCCTCAGCCTCCCAAGTAGCTGGGATTACAGGTGCGTGACACCAGATGGCTAACTTTTGTATTTTTAGCAGAGACGGCGTTTCGCCATGTTGGTCAGTCTGGTCTCGAACTCCTGACCTCGTGATCCACCCGCCTCGGCCTCCCAAAGTGCTGGGATTACAGGCGTGAGCCACCGCGCCTGGCTTTCACATAAGGTTTTAACTGCCCCTAGAAACTAACCAATACTACCTGGCGCACTCATTAAGCCCTGGGTTGACAGGCTTATGAGTGCGTGAGAGGTGAGAGGCTGTGCTCTATGAACGCTGCCAGGCTCTCCATAACCATTCTCTGGTGGGCCAGCTCCTTGGCACGGAATTTGCCCTAAGTTCATGCAGTGGCAACCCAGCAGACGACTGGGGGCAGCTGATGATCCCTATGTTAATCATATACCCTGACAGGGTCCTCCCGCGAAGCAGCAGTAATCCCACAGTTGCCATTGTCCTAAATGACATAACAGGGCCGTCTCTAGCTACAAAGATGGTTTCCATCTGACAACCATCAGAGCCCAGGATGTGCGGTGAAAGCCATGAGGAGCAACATGAGGGACGACAACCAGGTCAAAGGATTCAGCAGATGCAGGGCTCCTGACATGAACCCACAGCCCGAAACATCTCCCGGAGAAACCTGGCTTGGCAAAAGGAAGGCTGTAGTTACCTTTCAGACTGGGGAAGGGCGTGGCCTTCTCTCGGGCACCTTTGGTGGGCAGTGTGAGGTTTGAAAGACTGAAGCTGGTACTGTGGTTCCGATAGAGGCTGCCTATCAAGGGGAGGGTGCAAGAGCGATGACTTGGCAGAGTAAGTAATCAAAGCAGTAGACTAATGACTATCAGCATCTGCACCTCCCTCCTTTTCAAACACAATCCCAGTTTGGTGGATCAGATCATCTCTGATCTGTCTTAGAAAGGATCAAGTCTAACTCCAGGCAAACAATGGAGCCACTGCCAGGATCAGCCAAAACCCAGTAACAGCTTTCTCTGTCCACCTCACATGATAATATCCAAGTCTCTCATCCACTGCTACACAGCATGAAAGCTGGCAGTTAACAGGCTTCTGGTCTGAAGCTGGCACTGTCCCTCCCTGGCTGCTGAAGAAACTCACAATCACAGGGATCCTCTACGTTCGCTCTCTCTAGTCCATGGTCTGTCTTCAATCTTTAGCTGATACGACCCTGCACTGCTGGGAATACTATCTAAGCACAAAATTCAATCTCATATCGATTTCAAAGCACATTCATGGAAGAGTCCGTTATGAGGCAAAGAAGATACCAGATATGGACTCAAATCAAATTTGACCAGAGTATTTCCACAAAATATAAGTACAAGTGTGTGATTTTGAATTTACTGCCTGTTTTCCAGTTACCCATCCAGCTGTCTTACCTGAAATAGACTGAAATGTCCAGGCATAATGACTAATCTGTCCCTGTCCTTTACTGACCTCACTTGAAAACGCCTTATTCAGTATCACCCAAATGACTGGATTAGGGCTTGCTAATGCCAACCTAGCCCTACATGTGAAGTTCTAAGCAACATTTGCCATAGTCAGGCTCTGCTGTAGAGAAAATGGAACACAGGAGTGAGAGAGACAGCTGAAGGCACTTACTGGCAAAAGACATGATGCCCCCGAAGCCCTCGGTGCTGGTGTTGGAGACGGTGGAGTTGGGAGAGCTTGCCCGAGAGTCTGACTCTGCATCTGAGTCACTTGCCAGTCTCAAGCTGTTGGGCCGCAGCAGCTTTTGAGCCCTTGAATGCACAGAGGCACCTATGATCCCCAGGCAGGGGTACCTGATCTTGGGAGTATGGGCCATAATTATGCTATACTACAGTTGCCACTCCCTTCCCGTAATTCCTAAGCCCCTGGATCAGAACACCATCCTCTGGGGATGGCAGGACCACGAGAGCATTCAGACTTCTCAGACTTTCTGATTAACCCTTGCCCAGGGTCCACTGAGGTGAGGTCCTTCAGTCACCCATCTAGAAGGGATGCCCAGGCTCTCACCGATTGCCACTGACATGTTGGCTGAATCGGGGAGTGTAACTTTCCCCCTGCTCATCCTCATCTTCCTCAGGGGGAAAGCCATATTGGGGCTCGAAGTATGGATTGTCATAGATTCGCCGGCGCACTGACCCCTCTCCAATTTCTGCCTGACGTCTGTCCACGTTCGATTTGCCAATGCTGGGAGGCACGGAAGGGAGGGGCTTGGAGACGCCTACTGCTGCCTTATCATCCATCTCCGTAGAGTCAGCAGGTTCCTAAAGGCCGCATGAAATTAAAAGTGGTTACCTGGTGCCCAATGGTACCTTCCTGTAATCCCAGTTTGGCAGGGCTGGACCAGGCCTGTCAGATTTCTAGCCTAAGGAATGTGTGGGAAATGATCTCTGTAGCACCCGTTCTCTGTCCCCACAAACTATATAAGGGGGATCATAGCTGTACCCTGAACAAAGCCTGATGACCTCCTTTTGGGGTCAAAAGTAGGTCTCTTAGGCTCTAAGCTCTAGGGCCCATGAAGAGGAAGATGAGAAAATTGTGTGAGAAGCAGCAAATGAATAGCTACAGCCTGGCTTTCCTAATAGATGAGGCCCACATCCCAGGCCATGGTTCTCACTCATCCACCGCTCCTCACTTACAGAGTTGGCTCCGTGGATGACAGTGCTGGGGCTGCTGCTGGCTGTGGTGCTAGAGCTGGAGCGCAGTGGGGGGTTTTCCTGAGAGTTCTCACTGTCTGGGCCAGGCTCTTCTGCTTCCTTCTGATTCTGCAGCTCGTCAATCTCCACCTCGCTGGCATCCCCCAGTGCTGCATGTGTCAGAGGGTCCACATCTGCCAAAATCCAAGGGAGGCAGGTACAGACCACTCCATCCTTGGGCCCCCAACCCCTGCCCAGGGCTGGCCAATCTCCCCAAGCACACTTACTGGGAGTATCACCATTAATGTCACATTTCATCATTTCACTGACAAAGTCACCAAGGGAGGAGTAAGAAGAGCTTGAATCGTCATAATCCATACTATCACTGCCACTGCAGAGTGAAGTGCATAAAAAACAAACAAAACAGAAAGGGGCAGGGAGAACACCTACAATCAGCACCAGGAAAAATAAAAGGGGGAGCACTCCGAACTCAAGGCCAGGGAACAAATCAAATAAAGAAGCCAAGAAAAACAGTCAACCAAAGCATAAAGACTGATATGGGGGCCGGGACAGTGGCCCATGCCTGTAATCCAAGCACTTTGGGACGCTAAGGCGGGTGGATCACCTGAGGTCTGGAGTTTGAGACCAGCCTGGCAAACATGGTGAAACACCATCTCTACTAAAAATACAAAAAGTAGCCGGGTGCAGTGGCTCGCGCCTGTAATCCTAGCACTTTGGGAGGCCGAGGCAGGCGAATTGCTTGAAGGCATGAGTTTGAAACCAGCCTGGCCAACATGGTGAAACCTTGTCTCTACTAAAAACACAAAAAATTAGCTGGGCGTGATGGCATGTGCCTGTAATCCCAGCTACTCGGGTGGCTGGGGCAAGAGAATCGCTTGAACCCGAGAGGCGGAGGTTGCAGTGAGCCCAGATCACGCCACTGCGCTCTAGCCTGGGCGACAGAGCAAGACTCCATCTCAAAAAATATATATATACAAAAATTAGCCAGGCAAGGTGGCAGCACCTGTAGTCCCAGCTACTTGGGAGGCGGAGGCAGGAGAATCACTTGAACCTGGGAGGGAGAACTTGCAGTGAGCTGAGACGGCACCACTGCACTCCAGACCGCGTGACAGAGCAGCAAGACTCTGTCACATACATACAAAAATAAATAAATAAGGCCGGGCGCGGTGGCTCACGCCTGTATTCTCAGCACTTTGGGAGGCCGAGGCGGGCAGATCACAAGGTCAGGAGATCGAGATCATCCTGGCTAACACGGTGAAACCCCATCTCTACTAAAAATACAAAAAATTAGCCGGGCGTGGTGGCGGGCGCCTGTAGTCCCAGCTACTCGGGAGGCTGAGGCAGGAGAATGGCATGAAGCCGGGAGGCGGAGCTGGCAGTGAGCCGAGATTGCGTCACTGCACTCCAGCCTGGGTGACAGAGCGAGACTCCGTCTCAAAAAAATAAATAAATAAAATAAAATAAAATTAAAAACACTGATATGGGAAGCCTATGAGACTTTGCCTTCTCTGTGCTAAAGAAGGGCTAGTGAGAGCCTCCTCACCTTTAAAACCTTTTTGCTGCCCTAAGGATGCTCACCTATCATCAGTAGGTTCGGAGTCAGAGTCCCGCTCTGGTGGTACACTCAGGGCCTCAGCCAGCTGGGAATTGCTGTCATAGACGCGATAGTGGATAGGCTGCAGCTGATGAGCATACCACTTTGGCTTGTCACCAATCAGGGCTGGATCAAACATATCTACCCCATGAGGGAAAAGAACAGAAAGTCAGCAGCAAGGAAAAAAAGGCAAGCAACGCCTGAAAGAAAGGCAGGAAAAAGTCTAAAGCAGAGCCAGGATAGAAGGCACAGGTCAAACATTAGCAAAGGAAAAATCAAAGTCCATCAGGAGGACAGAGGCACAAGGCAGAGCGGAGCAGAGGGCAGGTAGACTCACTGTTGTGAATTCGCTGAAAGGCATAGTTGGTGGGGTTAAGGATCCATTCCCCAAAGTACTCCACAGCCTGAGTCCTGGCCAATTTCTCGGCAAAAGGAGTCTGCCGGGGACGTGAGGCTAGAAAGGAGCCAGCTTGAAAAGCTACCACAGGCCGAGGAAAGAGGCGCAGGGTACGCGTGTGCATCTGAAATCCCTGCAGCACGTTGGCGGAATTGAAGAACCGTACCATGGCAACCCTGGGGAAGCAGATGATGAGATAATCTGAGACCCATAGGGTAAGGATTCCCATGATCCAAAGTCTTAGAACACCTCCCAAAGCCATCACTTAACAGGCTTCCAACATCAAGGGGAGAGATATCTTAAAGAATCATCAGCCCCCTCTTCATCCTGAGCACGTGGTTTACTATTTCTTCACTTTGATTTTACTAAGGTGGAAAATAACAACCAAATATAGTATATATTTTATACATAAAGAAACCCTGGGCTGGGTGCGGTGGCTCACGGCTGTAATCCCAGCACTTTGGGAGGACAAGGCGGGTGGATCAACTGAGGTCAGGAGTTCCAGACCAGCCTGGCCAACATGGTGAAACCCCGTCTCTACTAAAAATGTAAAAATTAGCCAGGCGTGGTGGCAGGCGCCTGTAATCCCAGCCACTCAGGAAGCTGAGGCAGGAGAATCACTTGAACCCGGGAGGTGGAAGTTGCAGTGAGCTGAGATTATGCCATTGCACTCCAACAAGAGTGAGAATCTATCTCAAAAAAAAAAGGAACCCTGGTTCAGAGAAATAGTCTGCCCCAAGGTCCCTTAGAGAGCAAAGAAATTAATTTAAGAACTTGTGATTATACAGTCGGCTTGGTCTTACCTGGTTGCAACATCCACAGAATCCACATCATTGCCATAGATGAGTGGGTTGAATTCAGTGGACGGTGTGGACTGCAGGTCATTAGAAGGCCTTCCCAAGAGAAGGGGGATCTCCTGGCCCTCATGAAATTTCTCCAGATTGAGGATGGGCTGGGTGTTGAGACTCATGCTGGCCAAGGCCTGTGGAACAACAAGAAAATTCCTTACACAAGGAACGTCCCTGGGCAGCTAGCCAATCTTAACTCCAAGGAAAAGGCCTTCCTAAGGTCTGCTACCTCGTATTCTCTGGTCAAAAAGTTCTGCAACAAAGAACGGTGCTAATTTGCAAATCACGGCCAACCCATTTCAGACCTTTCATCTTTGAAATAAAAATCCCAATATTCTAGCCTTTAGAAAACAGTTTGAAATATGTAGCTCTCCATCTTAAGACAACCTAGCTCAAGGCAACTTGATCTTATCTGAAGTCCACGACAGTCGTTTGCAAAATTATTATAGTCATTAAATGTTTTTTAAAATTGGAATCTATGTGAAATTATATAGAATGGAAATTTGAAAACAGAGCTGCTCTGAAGGACACAGGAAGCAGAGCCTCAAATGCTCAGGGCTCCCAAGCTAAATCGGCCCCTCAGAGGCTCAATGGGGCAGCGTGAAGACCACTGGTCGAGAGCAGCAGTGCTTCTCAAATGTGAGTGAGGAGAAGAATCACCAGGGGAGGCTGTTAAAATGCAGATCCCGATTCAATATGCCTGGAGTGATCCTGCACTTTAACAAGCCCGAGTGATGCTAATGTTGCTGGTTCACAAACCACACTTTGAATAGCAGGAGTTAGAACACAGGATCAATGAGTCCAAGGATCTTAGCTCCTACAAACATTTAAAATATAATTCTGGCTGGGCACGGTGGCTCATGCCTGTAATCCCAATACTTTGGGAGGCCAAGGCAAGTGGATCACCTGAAGTTAGGAGTTTGAGACCAGCCTGGCCAACATGATGAAACCCCAGCTCTACTAAAAATACAAACAAATTAGCTGGGCACAGTGGTGTGTGCCTGGAATCCCAGCTACTCAGGAGGCTGAGGCAAGAGATTCGCTTGAACTTGGGAGGCAGAGAATGCAGTGAGCCAAGATTGTGCCACTGCACTCCAGCCTGGGTGACAGAGTGGGACTCCATCTCAAAATAAATAAATAAATTAATTAATTAATTTAATTAAATATAATTCCATTTATTAACCTCTCCATCTCATTAGTCATACTAAAGCAATCATCAAGACTGAAAACACAGCAAGTGAAGGCAGCTAGAGAACTTTCTGAACTTAAAATTCCCACTAGACTCTGCAGTAACAAGGTATCATATTATATTAGCAGTGATGAAGCAACTGAGGTGAGAGGGATGAAACACAATGACCCATTTAAACCCAAACATAGCATCTAGAGATACTACTAAGTACTTCAGACAACACAGAAAAAGATTTCTAAAGGCCCTTCAAATGAGAGCAGGGATTCCTAAAAATAAACACAGTGTTATCTACTGGTGTTCCTGTACAACACATAAGGCAGAGGAAGGGAATGAAGCTTTGTCATGTGTTACCTTCAGGTACTGTGTTCAGCATGCAGAGGAAGAAGAAAATCAATCAATAAAAAATGGATGTGAGGAATTACTCAAAGAAAGGAATTTTTTTGTTTGTTTGAGACTGAGTCTCACTCTGTGGCCCAGGCAGGAGTGCAATGGCGCAATCTTGGCTCACTGCAACCTCTGCCTCCTGGGTTCAAGTGATTCTTCTACCTCAGCCTCCTGAGTAGCTGGACTACGGGCGTCCACCACCATGCCCGGCTAATTTTTGTATTTTTAGTAGAGACAGGGTTTCAACATAATGGCCAGGCTGGTCTTCAACTCCTGACCTCGTGATTCACCTGCCTCGGCCTCCCAAAGTGCTGGGATTACAGGCATGAGGCACCGTGCCCAGCCAAATAAAGGAATTTTTGAAGAAAGGAACCCTCAGGATCAACTCTAGAAGATAATATAAAAGCAGCCAGACGGTCCACACTACTAACTTCCACCTAACAAGACTGAGAAAATCGGCCGGGCGCAGTGGCTCACGCCTGTAATCCCAGCACTTCGGGAGGCTGAGGCAGGCGGATCATGAGGTCAGGAGATAGAGGCCATCCTGGCTAACATGGCAAAACCCCGTCTCTACCAAAAATACAAAAAAATTAGCCGGGTGTGGCGGCGTGCGCCTATAGTCCCAGCTCCTGGAGAGGCAGAAGAATGGCGTGAACTCAGAAGGCAGAGCTTGCAGTGAGCCGAGATCGCGCCACTGCACTCCAGCCTAGGGGACAGAGCAAGACTCCACATCTCAAAAAAAAAAAAAAAAAAAGACTGAGAAAATGTTCTGAAGCCATAGAGAGTGGCACACATACAAGAAACAGAGAGTGAAGGGCTATTTTATACAGCATCATAAGCATTAGAAGATGGTAAAGCATACAATGAATTGGAATCAAAAACAGAAATTCACTCTGCCACCCAGAAATGGGATACGCGTTTTCTTAAGCCCATCCAGGGTGAAGAAAACTACTCCACTTGAAGTTTGATAGGAAATTGGCTCTGAGAATAGCTGTCTTCTTATAGGAATCCCACAGCATCTAATACTCCCCTTTCTTTCCTTCGTTCTTCACCTACCTGCTTTAAATGCTTTTTCAGCTCTAGTGATTCTGGTTCTGGCAGGATAGGCAGCACTTCTGCATTGGTGGGGGCAATCACCTGCACCAGAGAAATGATAAAAGACGTGACCTTAGAGTTTATTGCTCAGGAATTTCACTTACATAAATAAAAATAAGAGGACGTATATACATTATTATTATATAAACGAATATACATTATATAACTGCACAGTAAGATATATGTACACACATATATGACATACATATGCATCTGAAATGAAATATAACTTAATGTTATTGGTTATTATCTCTAGATAAAAGGATTATGGTTTTTCTTTTCACTTATTTTATTTACGCTTATTTTTATTTTTTTTAAGTTTTACAATGAGCACACATAAGGGCTTCCCACCAAAGTCTGAATGTATTCACATTGCAGAATGGTCATATAATTAATTAAGCCTGCACTGAAAGACAGTTTCTTACTGGAAACTATACCCCAGGGAAACCATTAAGAGATGATCTATACCACATGTAATGGCCCTCAGATCACAACTGTCTGACTGCTCTTGGAGGATATGGTGGGGGGTCACTTAATTCTGGCAAAAATAAATCCTGTAATTCTCTGAGACCTAACCAAGGGTTTATTTGGCTAATAAGGTAAAAGGAGCATTTAAAAAAACTTGTTTCAGTAAGTCTCGCAATAGAAATTATCCAACAACTTAGGACGTTCCTGAAAGGAATCTAGAAACAGATATCTCAGGACTGGGTCTAGAATGCAATCCTCCTCTAGACTCTACAATGCCTCAGCCAAGAACCTCACCCTATTGCTGTCCAGATCCACTAGCCATACATCATCAGGCATTTTGAAGTCCAGTTTGTAGAGGAAGAAGCTGGCAGGAACCCCAATGATGTACGGGGTTGGAGCCAACAGCAGCTGTGGAAATGATAAAGAAGGTGAGAAACAAAGACAAAACCTATCATGAGCACTTATCAAGTCTGGATTCTTCTAGATAAGGAAATGCAGATACAATCCCTCTTCCAAAACTCTTGAGGCCAGATGTATTTGAAAATTCAGAATTTTTCAGATTTTTTGAAAGGTAACATGGTACATTTTTTTGTATACAGTAGTCTTTCTTATCCACAGTTTCACTTTCTGTGATTCCAGTTAACTGAGGCAAACTGTAGTCTGAAAATATTAAAAGGAAAATTCCAGAAATAAACAATTCATAAATTTTAAACTGCAGCTTGATCATATCTGAAGTGCAGGACAATAGTTCTGAGAAGCATGATGAAATCTCATGCTGTCCCGCTCTGTCCCACCCAGACATGAATCACCCCTGTGTCCAGCCTGTAGCCATCTCGGTTATCAGATCAACTGTCACACAATCTCAGCGTTTGTGTTCAAGTAACCCTTATTTTACTTAATAATGGCCCCAAAGCACAAGGGTACTGATGCTGGCAATTGGGATATGCCAAAGAGAAGCCAAATATATGTAGAAAGAGGCTGGGCACGGTGGCTCATGCCTGTAATCCCAGCACTTTGGGAGGCTGAGGCAGGCGGATCACCTAAGGTCAAGAGTTCAAGACCAGCCCAGCCAACATGGTGAAACCCCGCCTCTACTAAAAATACAAAAAATTATTTGGTGTGTGGTGGTGGCAGTGCCTGTAATCCCAGCTACTAGGGAGGCTGAAGCAGGAGAATCACTTGAACCTGGAAGGCAGAGGCTCCAGTGGGCCGAGATTGTGCCACTGTACTCCAGCCTGGGGGATAGAGGGAGACTCTGTCTCCAAAAAACACCAAATATATGCCCAAAGAGAAAACTGTTACTCTCTTACTGTGTCTAATTCATAAATTAAACGGTATCACCGGTATATATGTATAGAAAAAAACAAAGTATCTATAGAGTTTGGAACTATCTGTGGTTTGAGGCATCCACTGGTGGGTCTTGGAATGTGTCCTCCACAGATAAGGAGGAACTACTGTATTACGTAACACACGTAACACCTGCTGCAGTGTAGCCAGTGGCCTACAGTCATTAACATTTGTTGTGATAAATGAAAACTAAAATAGCATAAGCCTTGCCACCAGATCAGTTCAAATCAGTCAGATTTTGTAGACAAATAAGTTATGACAAAGGATTGAGGACCAGCACTCACTTACAACTTCTTTGAGCATTAAGCCTCCTCCCTCAGGAAGACAGAGGTGAGAAAGCCGGAAGTCGCCTTGAGACTCACCTGCTCTGCTGATGCCATGCAGGTGGGTAGCAGCGGGATGACAGGAAACATATACTCCAGTGGGTAGATCATTGCCACGAATGCCATCACAGACATGGAGAGTGCATTGTAGTCTCGGGACTGTAGCACCACCTGTCATGAGCCATCCAGTAAGAATCACTCCAAAACATAAAATATGGTTTACAAGAAAACAGCTTCCAACATTACAACTTGGTTTCCACTTCATCGAGCCTACAGCTCCAGCTTTGTCTCTCCCACTGCCCCCTGCCCCACCATGCCTGCCACCTCCCAATCCAGGCACAATGGTGATCCTCAGTCACCTGAGATATGCAAATCACTCCCTTACCTTCCTAGTTCTTGTACTGCCCATCCCAGGACCACTCACTGAAACAGAACTACTGATATTTCCAAAGAATTAGGTCAGTACAATTAAGGATAAGCCCTAATGAATGGTAAACCCTCTAAATACATCCCACATGATACCAGTATCTTAATTCAACCCACATCTACGGAACACCTGCTGTTTACCAGGCATCATGTTACCTCCTGAAGACAAAAAGGTGAAAAATATGTAGTCCCTGTCCTCTAAGAGCTCGTGGTCTGGCCACTGGCATATTTAAGAGTTTCTCCCCTAGAAAGGTCTAGGAAGCTTGCCTCTCACCTTGTGCTCTAACAGAATGCAGGTTAGCACCTGGAGACAGGCGTCCACACCTAGAAGTTCCAAGGGAAGGTGCAGTGGGAAATCCACTAGGGTGAATCGAGATGGGTCTGGAAGAGCAAAGGTCAGAGCTGGCTGGAGCTCTTGGGGTAGGACCTCGATGTCTACTCGCTTCTGCCCAGAGACGGGTACTGGGGAGCGCAGCAATCGATAGATCCAGGCCTCAATCTCTCGAAGGTCATGCAGAAGGGCACTTGACTTCTCCTCTACCAGCAGCGATCCAGTAAAGATCCGCCACATGGTGTCCCTGAGAAGCAGACAGCAGGAATCAGACACATTAGCATCAGAAGCTGATACCCTACTGCAACTCAGTATCACCACAGAGGCTCTAATGATGACAATGGGAAACGGAGCATCATTAAGAAAGCCCAGTCTCTGAGCTCAGATAGGACCGGAAAGTATATACAATGGCAAAAGCAAATGTAAAGATATATACTGGGTAAGACTTACTGTCCTAACCACAGTTAAAACACCAAATTCCAGCATTACTCCAAACACAATTTTGGAAAGAGGTCTAACTCTGCAGCAGTCTTTTGCTTAGTAAAGATTAACTCTTGGCTGGGGATGATGCTCACGCCTATAATCCCAGCACTTTGGGAGGCCAACGTGGGTGGACCACCTGAGGTGAGGAGTTTGAGACCAGCCTGGCCAACATGGCGAAACCTTGTCTCTACAAAAATACCAAAATTAGCTGGTCATGGTGGCGTGCACCTGTAATCCCAGCTACTCGGGAGGCTGAGGCAGAAGGATCACTTGAACCCAGGAGGCAGGGGTTGCAGTGAGCCGAGATCGCACCACTGTACTCCAGCCTGGGCAACAGAGCGAGACTGTCTCCAAAAGAAAAAAGATTAACTCTAAATACTCTAAATATGCTTAATAGGTCTGAAGGACCTTGAGCTGTAGAGGAAATTTCCTATGCCCCTCAAAGACCAATTACATGGAATCTCTAAATGCTTCCCCCATTAGGCATCAGCAGCAAACTGTACCTTTGTACGCCTCGAGGGATGCCCAGTTTCTTGCCCAGAAGGCGCTCACTACAGCAGTCCACCAGGCGCTTGAGAGTATACAAACACTCTCGGAAGGTGGAGAAGAAAGGGTAGTGGCTGAGCACGCACAGGGACGTGAGAGTACTGTTGCGGGAGCGGCTCCCCGCCTTGGCCCGGCGTTTGCCCCGAGGAGACTGGTTCACATCAGGGGTAGAGTCAGCACTGAGAGGCTGCAGGGATGAGCCACTCTCTGAGCTCTCAGTGCCACCCTCTTCTGAGGCACAGGTGGCATGGGTTCCTTCCTTCCCACGGGACCCTGCCCCACCTTCCCCCTTCTCCTTAGAGATTCGCTTTTGGAAGGAGCGGTAGAAGTTAACACAGATGCCATATCGCGTGACTCCAGTGTCCTTGTCAGTGAGGGTGAAGACAAAAGAGGTATCATCCCGAAGGCTCATGCGCCGCTGCCGCACGCTCAGGCAGCCCTCGGGCTGGCAGAAGAACACTACATCTGGGGGCAGGGGAAACTCAGTGTGATCCTCCAAGGGGTATCGCCGTAGCAATTCAGGAGTCTGGGCCACGCTATCACTGCTCGGGTGCCTGAAGAACATAAAGACAAATTCAGCAGCCTGAAGGGATGGAATGGGCTATCAAATTTTAACCACAGTCAACAAATAAAGCTCAAGATGCTATTTTGGATAAAGTAACCTGACTGTAACACCTTGGAAAATATGGGTGCTGCCTGCCGCATGGAGCTGGTAACCTAAGTGAAGTCTACACTGTCATGAAGGCATCTATTCTGAAACGAAGGGGAGATTTTGACAATAAAATTATCACTGGCACCTTAAGATGATTAACATCTTTTAAAGTGAATTAACTAATAAATTACCAAAAAAGTATACATAGAGGAGTAGCTTATAATGTACTTTTTCTTTTTACAAAATAAGAAAACTGAGGTATAAAGAGTATATTTGCTCGACATCAAGAAGATGTTAGTTAAGAGCAGGGTTTTGCTTTCAATCCACCTGATTTTGTTTTTTCCCTACTGGCTTCGATGCTCCCATCAGGGTAAAATAACAGGAGAAGATGAGCTATGCAAAGCAACATGGAAATCGGAGAAGGGAACAACTGCAGATTTTATGGCTATCCCAGATATTAAGACAAAAGTCAATCTCTTCTTGGTTACCTGGCCCCTACGATCACTAGATAGTCAAGTAACCGAGGACAGAACTTCTTCTTTTGCACCATGGTTCCAATTCATCAGTTTATCTCAGAGAAGCATCAGGGCACCAAGCAAGGAGTCAGCATTCCCAGGAGGAATTCTGAAAATCGAAGTCTAATAGGAAAAAAAGTACTGATAAGATCCACTGCTGTGCCTAAGGGACTCATCCCTCTCAACTTCTTCCCGGCCAGAGGCAGAGGTCAGAAGGTCTTCCACTTTCATACTAATGATAGGAGAACTTGACGCTTGCCTAGCCTCGTGTCTAGGCTCATGAGCTCACAGAATCGAATGTTAAAAAATAGATAGGCCAGGCATGGTGGCTCACGCCTGTAATCCCAGAACTCTGGGAGGCCGAGGCGGATCACCTGAGGTCAGGAGTTTGAGACCAGCTGGCCAACATGGCAAAACCCCATCTCTACTAAAAATACAAAAAAATTAGCCGGGTGTGGTGGCACACATCTGTAATCCCAGCTACTCGGGAGTCTGAGGCATGAGAATCGCTTGAACCCAGGAGGTGGAGGCTGTGGTGAGCTGAGATCGCACCACTGCACTCGAGCCTGGGTGACAGAGTGAGACTCCGTCTCAAGAAAAAAAAAAAAATGTAGATAAATAATGGTTCACCTACCTATCCCTACCAATGACTTAATTTCCAGCTTAACGCCTGGGGCTCTGTTTCTGAAAAACAGACCTAGGCCATCTAATCTGGACTCAGTCATTGTAACAAAAATTGAAGTCACTCTCAGGATCCCTCCAGGGTGGATCAGGATCAAACCAGACTCCTCAACTAGCTAGCACTAACCTGCACTTCTAGGTCTAGATGGAAACTTAATTATTCTGTTTCAACAATCTACATTCAGCTTGATGTAAAACTACCACATAGACTGTCTAGTTAACCATGCTCAGACAATAACAGCTGGCTATTCTACCTCATGTGATCTCAAATGAAAATGTCCATGCCCCAATTGCCTAATCTGCACCACTTTTCTCCCTCCTTCAGGCAAGAAAGGAGCCCAGAGGCCACTGCTACTAGCTCTGCCCTTGGTGCTGAATCATAATCTCTCCTCTATTTTGATCTCAGGCTCAGAATCAGTAATACAATACCCACAGATGAGTCCTTGTCCTACTATACATTACAGAGGCTATGAATTAGAGGCAGAAATACCAGGATTTCTGCAAGGACAGGGAGACGTGCTCAGAGAAATTTCTAAACTATGTCCTAAAATTAGGAAAAGCTTTCATGGTCTTAATTATAATTTATTTCGTGTTAAGTGTCTATACACTTCTCTAAATAAAACGTTTCACCCCGCTGCACAGCTATTTCTGGTAGGGCTACTTCTTCTATGAGTAGAAGTTCTTTTCTCATATTTCTAGTGTTCCAGGATTCTACCTCTGTGCTCTACATGCGGCCTAAGACCTTGTTCAATGCACACGGAGAGAAACCCATTATCGTATACACACACACACCCTCTACTCCCTCACCTGCTGCTGCGGGCACTCCCATATATACAGACATACACACTCCCTGGATGCTTAAGGCCCTATTTGGTTTAGGTAATGAGTAGAAGTTTTTTCTCCCCTACCTAACAATAAACAAGACCTATTTGCAATACCTCTCAAATCCTCAAAATACTGCTTTCTCCTTTCCCTTGCTCCCAGTAGAGGACCTGCAGGTAATAGGATTCAGTTTTATCTCTATAGCGACTCTGGCTCCCAGCACTATTTATAGCAGAGCCACAGCCCCTCCCCTGCTTGGTGACCGCACAGTGCTAGCAGCTGCTACTCCAGAGTCAGCCAAGGCCCATAACAATTCACTCTCCTCGAACCTAGAGACACTTCTCCCACTGACAGTACCTGCTAAGAATTAGGTTGTCTTCTCCCTCATCTGTCTGTAGTTTGTACTTCGTCCTAATTCTGGCTTTTGATAGTGATATCTCTAGAACACCACCAGGTTTCTGAGCACGCCATATATTCATTTCTAGGTATCACCACTGCTTAACGAACCCAAATAGTCCCTTGGTTCTCCCAACTGCAATAGAGTCATGAGCAAACTGCAGGAGGTGGGGCACTATAACAGAGCCGCACTCAGCTCCTCCTGAGCAGAATCCAAGGGGGAGAGAAATAGAGAAATGAAATGGGATATGAGTAAAAAGCATAATTTGTTTTAATAAAGAATTATGTAGTTAACCTGTCATGGGATTCGAAAAAAAAAAAAGAATTATGTAGAAATGACTAGAGTGAGAGCCAAAGTATCTTAAAGTAAAACAGAATTTATAGAACCAGAGCTCTAGACTACACCTTGCAATCTATGTTTACATTGAAAACCCGGAGCCCTCTCCAACCAAAATCTCAAAGATCAGGCCTGAAGCACCTCCTACTGAGTACGCATCAGGCCTCTCTAGCCTTGGTGGGATCTCAGTCCCTCTCCACTGACAACTATCTGACGAAACTCAAGTCACTCACAATCATTTCCTTCCAGAGCCACAAGGACCCTGAGATCTTGTTATTATTCTAGCTACGGGTGGTAGGATAAATTTTTAGCCAGAGTTCACATCTGATCAGCAGCCACTGCCTTCAGTTATTCAGATTGCAAAGATAACTAAGATTTTCCTTCTCATTCTCTCCTCTCTCCCCTCCCCAAAAAGACTAACACCTTTAACTCCTCTAAAGACTAAATCCTCTAACATCACCCACAACTCACACTCTTGTCTTCACAACCAACGAGGCTCCGACTCTGCCTCTTGCCTCAACCATGTTTACTAACGTAGAGCCTCTGGTTCCTATCTTCCTGTATTCCAAAAGCATCCAGCTCAAAATGCATATCTATCTGCTGAAGTCCGACATCACCATCAGCTCCACCCAGAGGTAGATTTAGGATTCACAAACTTTTAAGTTATCTATGCCTTTTCAGCAGAAATAGCCATGCTAACCAACCCTTTGGATTCGTCCCTCATTTTGGACAGGATCTCACAGTAAAACCACAGGAACCAGAGAGCGATATGACATCTCTGCTGACGTGAACACAACAGGAGGCTCTCCTCCCCTCCTCTACCTCCCCAGGCAGTGACCTTGCAAGCTCATCAGCACAGACTGGTCCAGCGTATGGGAGAACTGGAGCAAGGAGGCTGGCAGCTGGCAGGGTTGGGGTAGAGGGGAGGGCAGGGAAAGGTGGAAGAAGGTAGATACACGAGGATGGGGAGGAGAGCGATTGCAGAAAGATGAAATGGTGTTCTCTCTCCAGCAAGTCAATTTTGAAATATCAAGTTAAAAAAAAAATTTCTTGAGAACCAAACGTGTTTCTCCAAATTCTAGCCAAAAATAAGGCGCAAGCACGCACACGCACAAGCACACCCGCCAAGCGCTGTGCGGGTTCGGCCCCAGGGCTGGCCAGCTCTGCCCGCCCCCTCACCTGCTGGACAGTTCTCCCCCGCCCCCGCCCCCGCCCCGAACCTGAACCCGAGCCGCCCGCTCGGCAGGAACCAAGCCCAGTAGCCTGAGCCCCCTCCTCTGCCCGGGGCGCCCCCATCCCCGTCCCCGCCCCTCCTCGGCAGACCCCCGTCCCCACGCCCCTTCACACTCCCCCAGGGCCTCCTGAGAGACCCCTTCCTCCAAGAGCCACGGTGTCCTCTCAGAGCCCGTCTCCCGCTCGGAGTCCCCAGACGCTCGCCCAGGACCCCACCGGCCCAGACTCTCCTACCTCCCAAGCTCTGGGGGACTGGCCAGGCCCAGCCCGACGTCCCCCGGCAGCGGGGCGTCAGTCGCTCCCCAGCGCGGCGCCGCTCCGAGCGGGCGCCAGTTCCGCGTCTGCACTGGGGGGCACGCACCACTCGCGCGGGGTGCGGAGGGGGAGGCCGGGGCCGGGGCCGTACCATTCAGCCCGGGGGGCCGGGGCTGCACCGAGCCGAGCGCCGCGGGGCGGGGCCGACCTCGGGAGACAGCGGCTGCGCACAGACCTAGCCTAGCGCCCGTGGGCGCGGGAGGGCGCGCCAGGCCGACCCAGCGCCGTCGCGTGCCAAGTGGGGGACCCACAGCAGTACCTTCTGTTTGGGTTGCTCAGAGAGACTCTCACCCGACGGGGTCATAGCGCCCGTTTCGACGACATGGGGATTCCTCTGAAAGTCACTTCCCAAGATAATCGGCCCCTGAGACTTCCTGACGGGCTCCCCATCCCCCAGTCCCCACCCCCCACTCACGCGCTTTGGCGGTGCTCGGCGTCCGAGCAGGGAAGCCGGCTGCCGAGCGGTGGAGCCTACCAATCCTGGGCAGCGGGGGCAGAGGGGGGCGCGCGGCCGCGGTTACCTCCACCGGGCGCGCGCGGGGAGTGGGGGGGCGTGGCCGCGCCGCGGCGCCCGCTGGGAGATGGAGTCCAGTCAGTCCGCGAGGACAGCCCCGCCTCAGGACATCCTCCCCGCGGCCACACGGCTCTTCTCTTCCTGTCCCAAAGGGCCTGGGGACCGACACTGGGTTCTAGGTCTTTCAGGTTGTGCCTTTTTCAGATGCCAAAGGAAAAACCAAGGCATGCTACACATGCACGTGAGGTGCACCGCCGACGCCTTAGCGCTGAAATCCAACACTTCCTCCTCCACCGCAGAAAGGCAACCGGATCCTACCCGGATCCCAGCAGGGGAAGGGGGCGCCTAAGCCTCAGCATTCCATTTACCCATATGGCGCAGTGGGGGTTAGTAAGAAGAGGCCCCCTCTCACGGCCAAGGCTGTCATTTGTGACTCTCCCTCCTCTGGGCCTGGAGGCGGATCCTAAAGATCGCAGGCTTCCTCCTCTATTACCGTGTCCCCACCCCCAATCCAGAAATTGGTTTCTCTCATTTTGTATTCATTTTGATCTTCCTGTTCAAACAGTACCAGACCTATCAGTGAGGCGGCGCTGAGGCATTTATGGCCATACCACAGAGTGACAGTGGAGAATTTTTCTTGGGGCCCTGTGGGAAAAACAGGAAGTGGTGGAGGCAGGATGGGCAGGGCTCTGGAGAACCCTGTGCAAAGTGGCC
Organism: Homo sapiens; assembly: GCF_000001405.40. Taxonomy (NCBI): domain Eukaryota; kingdom Metazoa; phylum Chordata; class Mammalia; order Primates; family Hominidae; genus Homo; species Homo sapiens. Next base: position 47,268,937 of record NC_000011.10, on the reverse strand, counting down.
CCCAGGCCCATCCGTTTGTGGGGTCAGCATGATCTTCAGACACAGCACAGTGTTAGCGAGGGCTCCACTGCTCAGTAGCCACAAAACTCGCAACCCTTTGACTCTCTTTTAATGCCACGGGAGGATCTCCTTGCCCAGCTCCCAGGAATGTTTGCCCTTCTCAGTCTGTTCCACTTCTAGGAGGCAGCCACCAGGCCTCAGCCATCCGGCCAAGAAAACAGAAAATATGGGGACAGAACAGTCATTCGTGCACATCCCAGATCTCAGAGAGCAGCGGTGGGAGCTTTTTGTCCTGCAGACGCAGTGCAAACACTTGCTCTGAGTGGACGCTGCTCAGGGTCCGGAGGCTCACCAGTTTCATTAGCATCCGTGGGAACATCAGTCGGTCCTGGGGAAAGGAGAGAGACAAACACAGCTTTTGCCTGTCCCCAGGGAAGCGGGGCAAGAGTAGGGGAGTTGTGGGAGAGGTGAATTGTCTGCACAGCATGCAGTCAGAGAGAAATTCTTGAAGGGAAAGTAGGTATGTCAGGGAATGGGCCTGTGTGTGGGAAGGAGGAAAAGGAACACCATGGGGAGACTCACATGGGGATGGTGGATGGAGACGTAGGCATGCAGGGCTTCCACATATGTGTGCTGCAGCCTCTCTACCTGGAGCTGGTCCTGCACGTTGGGCCGGTCTATAGGTCACCAAGAGAGTTGAGGAGCAGGTCTGGCCAGGGTCCAGTTCCATACCCCAAATTGCAACCAAAATATAGAGACATGCTCCAGCCAAGCTCTCTCATCCTAAAATAACACAGCAAATGCCTCCACCCTCCCAAGCCACCACCCCCCTCCCCCCACCGATTCCTGTGGGACCTGCAGCCCTCCTTGGTGTAAGTCTCTTGCTGTTTCCCATTGCCCCTCCTCCACACCTGCAGAGAAGATGCTGATAGCAATGAGCAAGGCAAACTCGGCATCATTGAGTTGCAGCTCATTCATGGCCCTGGAGAACTCGAAGATGGGGTTGATGAATTCCACTTGCAGCCCTGGGGAGGAAGAAGGGAGGCTGACGCAAGCAGCAGGAGCAGCAGGAACTTTCTTCTCTCCTCACCTTAGGGAACTATTAGGAACTCACTAAGAAGTTTACTGAGGCCGGGCACAGTGGCTCACGCCTGTAATCCCAGCACTTTCGGAGGCTGAGGCGGGCGGATCACCTGAAGTCAGGAGTTCGAGAAGAGCCTGGCCAACATGGCGAAACCCCGTCTGTACTAAAAACACAAAAACTAGCCGGGCGTGGTGGCAGGTGCCTGTAATCCCAGCTACTTGGGAGGCTGAGGCAGGAGAATTGCTTGAACACGGGAGGCAGAGGTTGCAGTGACCCAAGATTGCACTACTGCACTCCAGCCTGGGCGATAGAGCGAGATTCCGTCAAAAAAAAAAAAAAGGTCTACAAGGCTTTGCTGTGTAACCTTGAGCAAATGTCTTAACCCCTCTATAAGCCTCATCTGTGAAATGGGAATCATATCTGAACCCTTCTCAGAAAATTGTTGGTATAGTTCAATGACAAAGTATGCAGGGCACTTAGCGCTGTGTCTGGCACACAAGAGGTGCTGAATTAAATAATAATTCTGGTATTCTTGTTTTTTTTCTTTGAGACAGGGTCTTGTTCTATCACCCAGACTGGAGTGCAGTGGCACAATCACAGCTCACTGCAGCCTCGACCTCCCGGGTGCAAGCCATCCTCCTACTTCAGCCTCCCTAGTAGCTGGGACTACAGGTGCATACCATCACAAGTAGCTAATTCTTATATTTTCAGTTGTGACAGGATTTCACCATGTTGCCCAGGCTGGTCTCGAACTCCTGGACTCAAGCAATCCACCCGCCTCGCCCTCCCAAAGTGCTGGGATTACAGGCACCAGACACCATCACCTGCCAATTCTGTCATTAAAATTCTTGAGGGCTCCACATTTCTAGAAATAGAGGCAACTCTTATTTTTGTTTATCAAGAATCGTTTTTCAGCAAGGCACGGCGGTTCATGCCTGTAATCCCAGTATTTTGGGAGGCCGAGGCAGGGGGATCACCTGAGTTCAGGAGTTTGAGACCAGCCTGGCCGACATGGCAAAACCCTGTCTCACTGAAAATACAAAAATTAGCTGGGCGTGGTGGTGCACTCCTGTAATTCCAGCTACTTAGGAGGCTGAGGCAGGAGAATTGCTTGAATCTGGGAGGCGGAGGTTGCAGTAAGCCGAGATCACGCCACTGCACTCCAGCCTGGATGACAGAGCGAAACTCCATCTCAAAAAAAAAAAAAGAAAAAGAAAAAAGGCTGGATGCGGTGGCTTATCCCTATAATCCCAGCACTTTAGGAGGCCGAGGCAGACGGATTGCCTGAGCTCAAGAGTTTGAGACCAGCCTGGGCAACACAGTGAAACCCGGTCTCTACTAAAAATACAAAAATTAACTGGGCATGGTGGCGCACCTGTAGTCCCAGCTACTCGGGAGGCTGAGCAGGCGAATTGCTTGAACCTGGGAGGTGGAGGTTGCAGTGAGCCGAGATTGTTCTACTTGCACTCCAGCCTGGGCGACAGAGCAAGATTCTGGCTCAAAAAAAAAAAAAATCCTTTTTCAGCAGGGCACGGTGGTTCACACCTGTAGTCCCAGCTACTCAAGGAGGATCACTTGAGCCCAGAAGGTCGAGGCTGCATTGAGCCATGATTGATCACACCACTGCATTCAGCCTGGGCGACAGAGCGAGACCCTGTTTCAAAGAAAAAAAAAAGACTTGTTTTTCACTGGCATTGGCCTTACTTATTTGAACACTAGAGATACATTTCATGTATCACATCCTCGAGGGAATATTGCAGTATGGGTGAGGATGTGGATTTTGGTGCCAGACTGCCTCGGGTTGAGTCCTGCCTCTACCACTTACAAGGCAGTGTGACCTTGTGTAAGTTATTTAACCTCTCTGGGCTTTGGTTTTCCCATCTGTAAAATGGGAATAATAATAGTACCTATCTCATAAATATGTGGCATATATGGTAACTACCACATAAGTGTTTGTAAAATAAATAAAAAAATTTTTTTTGAGACAAAGAGTCTTGCTCTGTTGCCAGACTAGAGTGCAGTTGCATGATCTCGGCTCACTGCAAGCTCTGCCTCCCAGGTTCAAGCAATTCTCCTGCCTCAGCCTCTTGAGTAGCTGGGACTACTGGTGCATGTCACCACGCCCAGCTAATTTTTGTATTTTTAGTAGAGACAGGATTTCACCATGTTGGCCAGGATGGTCTCGATCTCTTGACCTCGTGATCTGCCTGCCTCGGCCTCCCAAAGTACTGGGATTACAGGCATGAGCCACCGCGCCTGGTCAATAAATAATACATTTTTCTTGGAAACAGTCTTCCTGCTGAGAAGACTAAAATGCAACAAAACATGAGCTAAAGTAATGATACCTAGAGAATGTCTCTCATACACATTGTCAAAGTCTCTGCACCCTACAGAGTTCCCCAGGCTTTGTCAGATTTCTTTTAGCAACCATCTGCTACACTTTTCCATTCAAGGCTTCTTGGTGAGTCACTTCCTGTACTTTCACCCTGATGTTTATCAAGTGTTGTGTGTTGGTCCATTTAATGGGCAGGCCCCATTTTCTTTTTCTTTTTTCTTTTTTTGAGATGGAGTCTTGCTCTGTCACCCAGGCTGGAGTGCAGTGGCGCGATCTCAGCTCACTGCAACCTCAGCCTTCTGGTTCAAGCAATTCTCCTGCCTCAGCCTCCTGAGTAGCTGGGACCACAGGTGTGCACCACCACGCCCAGCTAATTTTTGTATTTTCAGTAGAGATGGGGTTTTGCCATATGGGCCAGGCTGGTCTCGAACTCCTGACCTCAGGTGATCCGCCTGCCTCGGCCTCCCAAAGTGCTGGGATTTCAGGTGTAAGCCACCACGCCCGGCGGCAAGCCCCATTTTCTAAAGCATTTCTTGGTGAGGTTTTGAGCCCCAAAGTGTGGCAAACAGCCCCCTTTATAGAGAAATTAAGAGGAGGTTCTATAGTTAGCTAATGCACCTCTGAGGGTCTGCTGATGCCCACGGAATGAACACCTCAAATGTGCTCAGTCCATGTCACCAGTTATCTACTGCATGCAGTAAATAGTAGCGGATAGGGAGGGGAGGAGACTTGACAAGCAGAGCTCCTGTTCCTTCTCCCCAAGACCTCACTCATGAAATAAGAAATGCAAGCATGATTACTTCAAAACTGCTTGTATAAATAAATCTATGAATAGGTGCAGATTCAGATAGCATGAGTCTACAAGTGCCAAAGGAATACAAAGATCTTAGAACTGGGCAGGGTTCCACAAGGAGGATATTCTGAAGGAGGGGAGAGCCACGGTTAAGAAGGTCTGAGATAATAACCATCGAGGAAAAAGTGGTTTGGAAGAGGGGAGCAGGGCTGGGCTTTAAAGCTGGATAAAGTCATTAAATCACCCCATTAGGTGTCAATACATCCAGGCAGCACACCGGTTACTATAGAAGGCAAAAGGTGCCAACATAGCCCTGTTATGCCCTACAGCGAAGAGTGGCCTTCCTAGAAAGCTCACTGGGTGGACTGCGTTGGGAGAGCAAGAGGCACGTGAGCTGGCCTGAGTTATCAGAAACCAAGGAAGGCTTGATGACTGGCCTGGCCACAGATCTACCAGCCCTGAGAGTGGAGTCAGGGCATCAGCCATATTTTACAGCCCCACTCATCCAGTCGTTAAGCTACTTGGTTTCCTGCTGAAGCTCAATTCCAGTCCCTCCAAAACTCCCTCAGCCTCCCGTCCTTTCCCAGGCCAGTTCTCATGATACAAACATTATCAATAGTTGAATATGAAGAAACCCCTTCTGCGTAGCTCCCAAGCGAGCATCAGATAGAGAGCCGCAGAATGAACTAATTTTTGGAGAAAATACTTCAGATATAGGATGGAGATGGAAGCATTCGCTCTTATTGTACATCCTCTCTGGGCATGTTTGCCATGCCATGGTTCTGGTTCGTCAGAAAGTGCAATTGAAAAAGAGTAGGGGAGGGGCCTGGACAAGTGGCTCATGGCTGTAATCCCAGGACTTTGGGAGGCCAAGGCGGGCGGATTGCCTGAGCTCAGGAGTTCAAGACCAGCCTGGGCAAAACAGTGAAACCCCATCTCTACTAAAAATACAAAAGTTAGCTGAGCGTAGTGGCGCGCGCCTGTAGTCCCAGCTACTCAGGAGGCTGAGGCAGGGGAATCGTTTGAATCCGGGAGGCAGAAGTTGCAGTGAGCCAAGATCGCGTCACTGCACTCCAGCCTGGCAACAGAGTGAGAATCCATCTCAAAAAAAAAAAAAAAGAAAAGAAAAAAAAAGAAAAAGAGTAGGGGAGGCTGTGTGTGGTGGCTCATGCCTGTAATCCCAGCACATTGGGAGGCCGAGGTGGGTGGATCACTTGAGCTCAGGAGTTCGAGACCATTTTGAGACCAGCCTGGGCAACATGGCGAAACCCACTCTCTACAAAAAAATATAAAAATTAGCCTGGCATGGTGGTGCATGCCTGTAGTCCCACCTACTTGGGGGCTGAGGCAGGAGGATTACTGGAGCCCAGGTGGTTGAGGCTGCAGTGAGCCACGTTCATGCCACTGCACTTCAGCCTGCGTGACAGAGCAAGAACTTATCTCAAAAAAAAAAAAAAAGTAGGGGAAATCAGCCCCCATGATCCCCAAAGAGCACATGTGAGGAAGATTTGTTCACTTTTTGACTACTAAAAAGTTGAGTGCACTGAGTTTCAAACTTTTTTTTCAAGCTGTAAAATCTGCAAGCAAAATACTATGTAGCAGTGCAATATATAATGCAGATTTAAATGGAGCTTCTTGTTTGGCTAAAGTAAAGATGAAGGACATTCCTGTGCCTCCCTGTTTCTCCTCCAAGGTGCCATTCCATATATCTCTCAGGTTCCTTGGAATACAGTTTGAAAACCACTGACCTAAAGCAACAGAGGACAGGGGTCTATCTGGAGCAGCTGAGAGAAGCCTATCAGCATTCCAATTTTCTATCTTCAAAAAACAAGGGAGCCTTCCCTTACCAGCCACCCAAACATTGGGCCTGTGGCTCTGTAGTCACTATGGGCCTCTGACAAAAAGCACCAGTCCTGGCCAGGTTCAGTGGCTCATGCCTGTAATCCCAGCATTTTGGGAGGCTGAGGCACATGGATCACTTAAGGTCAGGAGTTCAAGACCAGCCTGGTCAACATGGTAAAACCCTGTCTCTACTAAAAGTACAAAAATTAGCTGGGCATGGTGGTGCACCTAATCCCAGCTACTTGAGAAGCTGAAGCAGGAGAATTGCTTGAACCCGGGAGGCGGAGGTTGTAGTGAGCCAAGATCACGCCACTGCACTCCTGCTTGGGTGACAGAGCAAACTCTGTCTAAAAAAAAAAATGAAACAAAAAAAAAGTACTTGGCCGGGCATGGTGGGTGGCTCACGCCTGTAATCCCAGCACTTTGGGAGTCAGAGGCAGGAGGATCACTTGAGGCCAGGAGTTTGGGACCAACCTGGGCAACATAGTAAGACTCTATCTCAATTTTTGTTGTTGTTGTTGTTGTTGCCCAGGCTGGAGTGCAGTGGTGCGATCTTGGCTCACTACAACCTCTGCCTCCCAGATTCAAGTGATTCTCCTGCCTCGATCTCCCAAGTAGCTGGGGCTACAGGCGCGTGCCACCATGCCTGACTAATTTTTTGTATTTTCAGTAGAGACAGGGTTTCACCGTGTTAGCCAGAATGGTCTTGATCTACTGACCTGGTGATCTGCCCACCTCGGCCTCCCAAAGTGCTGGGATTACAGGCATGAGCCACCGCGCCTGGCCCTCAATTTTTAAAAATAAAAAATAAAAAAAGAAGCATCTGTCCACCCAACCCCAATCCCTGTGTGATCTCAGTTCTCACCTGCTTTGGCAAAGTCTTCCCGGTTATAACTGAAATCCTTGAGGAAGGTGATACTCTCACTCCCAGGGTTGTACCTCCGAGATGTCTCCAGAAGCATCACCTGCACACAAGCAGCAAACCTCAAACGGGGACTAGGAGGGCTGGTCTTGGAGCATGGCCTCTTCCAGGGAGGCCGATTCTCCTCATCCCTGCTTCCCAGCAGATTTGGCTCTCCCAGCTCGATGTCTGGAGGCCCCTCCCACAGATAATCCCACTCTGCTTCTCCCTTCATCCCTTGCCCTTCTCCAGCCACCTCGATCGCAGAGGTCTTCAGCAGGGCAATCTGGTCCTCCCGGCTGAGCTGCAGGAAGCCGGGTAGCTGTTTAGCAAAGTCAACTATCTCCTGCACAGAGACGATGGCCAGCTCAGTGAAGTGGGCAAAGCGCTGCTGACGGGCCTCCCGGCTATGGGGATCTGGTGCCATGGGCCAAGGCTACCCAGGAGGGAAAAGGCAAAGCGCTTTGAGTCGGACATCAAGAAGCCCACTGGTGATCTGGGCGCAGCCGCCTCTCCCCAGGTGTGTCAAGTACCGTGACTCGAAGCCGGTCAGAAAAGGAGCGCCGGTTACACTGTTGCTGGGCAGCGACGAGCTTCTCGATCATGCCCAGTTGTTCCGGGCTGAGCTGGGGCAGGATTTGGGGGGGTGAGGAAGCCCTGGGGGGCAAGGATGTGGCATGAGCCTGTTCCTCCTCTTGCCGCTTCAGTTTCTTCAGGCGGATCTGTTCTTCTGACAGGACACCTAAGGACAGGGCCAAATATGAGGAAGGGAGCAGATGGGGAAAGGATGGGGCAAGGGGGTGGGGGAAAGACAGGAGGGAAGGATGGGGCAAAGGGGGTGGTTTGGGGCTCCAGAAAAGCAGACAGCACTGGGTAAAGGCAAGAAGATTTTTTTTTTTTGAAACAGAGTCTCACACTTGCTCAGGCTGGAGTGCAGTGGCATGATCTTGGCACACTGCAACCTCCACCTCCCGTGTTCAAGTGATTCTCCTGCCTCAGTCTCTTGAGTAGCTGGGATTACAGGCGCTCACCACCACACCCGGCTAATTTTTGTATTTTTAGTAGAGTCGGGGTTTCACTATGTTGGCCAGGCTGGTCTCGGACTTCTGATCTCAGGTGATCCACCCGCTTCGGCCTCCCAAAGTGCTGGGATTACAGGCATGAGCCACCGCGCCCGGTCAAGAAAGATACTGGGATCCATACTTAGGGATCAGTTAGCCCCTGCAAGTTCAGGCACCTGTTTTGGGTCACACCCTGGCCCCCTCTTTCCCCTCAGCCTCTTCCCCACTCCAGCCCCAGAAACTCACACTCCTCCCGCATGCCAGCCTGACGGCATTTGCGAAGCCGACACTCCTGGCACTTGCGACGCATGTAGGTGTCCATGGGGCAGTGGCCGCCACTGTGGCAGATGTAGTGCGCTCCCTTGATGACGCTGCGGCGGAAGAATCCCTTGCAGCCCTCGCAGCTCAGAACATTGTAGTGGAAGCCCGAGGCCTTGTCCCCACACACGCTGCATAGCTCGTTCCCCAGCATTTTGGGGGCTGGCCCCTTTTTCCGCTTTTGTGGACGGATCTCTGGATACAGGAAAGTGCTTCAACGCTCTCCCCCGAGGAAAAACATCATGTTCTCCCTGACTCAGCCACTGCCCTGGGCACTCAGTGACCTTCATTCCCTTCATTATACAAACTCCAGTCTCTCTTTTATGAGAAGAGTAGCCCTCATTTGCCAAGTGCCATTATGTTCTAGGTACTGTATGAGCCTTTTATATGCACTGATCCTTATGACAACCATAATTTTTATTTCCATTTTATAAACAAGGAAAGTGAGGCTCAGAAAGGCCTAGAGACAAAATTCACACTTAGATCAGTCAGATTTAGTTAGCTCTAAAGCCTCTGAACTTAACCATGAGATTATATATAAAGTAAAAACCCCCAAGGAACCTCTTCCAGATCCAGGACCTGGAATCTGGACCCCTACCTCCTCCAAACCCAGAAGCTCCTCACCTGTGGGTTCTGAAGGGGGCTCTGCCCTGGTGAGCAGGGCTGTGGGCTCTGCAGCCTCCAGCCCCACCCCTGCAGTACCCCCAGCAGAGTGGGGCATCCTGGCTTCCTCTCTGAGGATGCAGCTGCTGCCTCCCTGGGCCTGGCTGCTTGCATCCTGTGCGCCTGGCTTCCACAGCTCCACCGCAGAGTCTGAGCTCCAAAAGAGAGGCACAAGGGGGTCTCAGGCCCCATCCCGGCTCCACGGCCCAGCGTCCTAGCTGGGAAACTGCAAACTTATCCCCACCCTTAGAGGGCAGCAAAGTCCCAGCTCAGGCTTTGGGACCCTAGAGTCTGTGTGGGCTCTAGCTAGGACTAGTCACTTGTAGTTTCTTACATCTCAGGACCTTAAATGAAGATGTTAATCCTTGTCCCTTTGGGGGGCTGGAGTGTATGCATTTCAGAGATCAGATAAAACTCTTCAAAGCCAGAGCAGGGTAAGCACTCAGCTGGCCAACTCTCTAGCAGCAAATCCAGACTGGGGAGGACTGGGCGGGTGCCTGCAAGGGCCAGGCACTGGAACCAGGGGAGAGGTGATCTGGGCGGGAGGCAAGCACGACTAAGAATGACTCTGGACTGCTCTCTGGAGGAAGGAAGAAGGCAGGTAATGAAGGAGGCTGATTCCTACAGGAGGCGTGGAGCCTGCGGTCTGGGCTCAGGGGAGAGGGATGGAATGAAGCTTACCAGGAGGAATGTCAGGCACAGGGGCCCCCAGCCACAAGGACATCTCTTCCTGGAGCCCTGGTCATTACCAAGGCACTGTCCTGCAGGAAGGACCCAGATTATACTCTTCTAGAACTGGGCTCCTTTCTGGCCTCAGCTCCCTTCTCCACCTGATCCTCCCTTTTATCAATATCAACAATATCAGCTAACATTTACTTGCCATATATTAGCCTGTACTAAGGCTTTATTATATTACTATTATGTTTTTTAGAGACAGGTTCTCCCTATTTTGCCCAGGCTAGTCTAGGAATTCCTGGGCTCAAGTGATCCTCTCACCTGGGCCTCCCAAAGTGTGGGGATTATTGGAGTAAGCCACTGCGCCCAGCCTGTTATAAGGCTTTATGTGCTTTCCTCATAATATCCCTCTGAGGTCAAAACTATTAATTTTTTTTTTGAGATGGGGTCTCTCTATGTTGCCCAGGCTGGAACTCAGTGCTATTCACAGGTGCAATAATAGGACACTATCGCCTCAAACTACTGGGCTGAAGCAATCAGGTTTCAGCTTCCTGAGTATCTGAGATTATGGGCGCACGCTACTGCTCCTGGCTCAGGACTATTCTTAAACTCATTTTACAGATAAGCAAACTGAGGTTCAAAGAGATTAAGTAACTATGGTCACACAGTTAGGCGGCGGTAGAGTCAAGACTCCAACCCTCCTCTGACTCCAAAGTCTGGGCTCCCAGCCACCGTGCCGGCTTTTCTCCCCCAAAGTCCCCTCCAGGCCAGCAGGGAATGTTTGGGTGCATCTGCCCTGCTTCTCTTGGGCCCCTTCCCCCTCACTCCAACACTGAGGACAGCTCACTCCACCCAGTGAAACACGCTGCTTATTAGAGAACCTCGCTCGTGCCACTTTCCAGGGTCCCAGCACAAACCTGTCTCCAAGAATCTCCCCAATTCACATAGAGGACCTCCTCCCCTGAGCCCCTCATGAGTTATTCTGGGACCCAGAGTCCTGCTCCTGTCCCAAGCTTCCATCACCATCACCCCTCACTTCTCCCCAGAAACCCCCTTCTCAGATCCTTAGGACATTCCCCGACCCCACCCCAGATACACACACAGAGCCCCAGGCCACTGCTAAGGAGCAGACCCACCAAATCCCCAGGCCACCAGACTTCCTGGGTGGGCAGTCTCTGGAGCCCCCTTGCTGGGAGAAGAGGATGGTGCAGTTTCCTGTCCAGAAGTCTCGGTGGCCAGCCAGTGAGCTGGAGCTGAGCACAAGCAGGACCTGGAGCCCCAGAGAAGTAGCAATTTGGGGAAAGGCTGAGGGGAGGGACTGCCGAGGGGTCAGGCCACCCCTCCTTCCTGCCTGGTGACCACAGCCCTCCCCTCCTCACCCCCGCCCACAGGGCAGCTTCTCCACCAGGCTGGCTCCTCCCCAGCCGGCCACCCCCTCTCCCGCCACTCCCGCCCCCTACTCCCGGCCAAAACAGTGGCATTTCCCTGCAGACCAGCCAAGTTCCATGTCTCTCCCCTTCCTCTCCTTACCCAGCGCTCTTAGCAGCTCTTGCAAAAGGACTGCCTCCCAGGAACCCCCACCCCAATCCCAGCAGCCTCCAGAATCGTGTTCCCTCCCCTCCATAGGCACCTCGTGGAGCAAAGGTCCCAGCACGGCCCGGAATTGCGACACTGAGCCCCAGCGGCTTTCCCAGCCTCCCTCCTCCTCCCTTGCCTCTGGGAAGAGGCCAAGAAGCTCTCCCCACTAGCCCCAGGCCTCAGCCAAGCTGGTAGAAATCCAGGGGTGGAGAGAGGCAGGTGCTGGGCCTTCCAGGGAGTTTCTGAAAGTGGGTGCCCTGCGGGGGCCACAGATAAGAGAGGAGGCCAGGAGAGCCTTTGATAGGAAATCTGCTATGAGCAGTGGCAGGCCTGGGATAGGGGTGGAGGTGGCAGAAGGAAGACAGGCAACTCAGGTGGCAGCCCAGGATGGACCTGGGAAGGTATGCGGGTTGCCTCTTCTGGGGAACAACCCCATCTGAAGTGATGGCAGGCTCCAACCAGCAGCTACTGAGACTATAGTCATTCTTCCTACTCTGCTGCCTGGGGCATGAAATCCATCCCTGAAAGTAGACATCATATTTTATTGATTTCATCTCCCCCAACACCCCTGAAACAGGGCTGGCATAGATGTGGCAACAGAGTAGGTACTGTGTTCCTATTTGTTGAATGAATAACAAGAAAAATATAATATATTCTCGGCCGGGCGCGGTGGCTCACGCCTGTAATCCCAGCACTTTGGGAGGCCGAGGCAGGCGGATCACGAGGTCAGGAGATCGAGACCATCCTGGCTAACACGGTGAAACCCCGTCTCTCCTAAAAATACAAAAAATTAGCCGGGCATGGTGGCAGGCGCCTGTAGTTCCAGCTACTCGGGAGGCTGAGACAGAAGAATGGCGTGAACCCGGGAGGCAGAGCTTGCAGTGAGCCGAGATTGCGCCACTGCACTCCTGCCTGAGTGACAGAGCGAGACTCTGTCCCCAAAAAAAAAAAAAAAAGAAATATTATTCTCGTCTATCCCGTACTTATTAGCCCTAGTCAATTTTTTTTATTATTCCTTTTTTTTTTTTTTTTTACCTTTTTTGGGGTAGGGTCTCACTATGTTGCCCAGGCTGGCTTCACACTCCTGGGCTCAAGCCATCCTCCCACCTCAGCCTTCCAAAGTGCTAGGATTACAGGCACACGCCATCACAACTGCTGTAGTCAATTTCAACTCAGCATGTTGATTTAGCGTTCAGACTCTGGGCTCAGATTTTGGGTTCAAATCCTAAACCTCTTATTACCTATGTGATCTTGATTGAGCAAGTTACTTAACGTCTCTGAATCTTTGTTTCCCTATCTTTAAAATAAGAATAGTTGAGCCAGCAATGGTGTGTTGAAAAATAAATAGAACGGGCACGGTGGCTCACGCCTGTAATCCCAGCACTTTGGGAGGCCTAGGCGGGTGGATCACTTGAGGTCAGGAGTTCGAGACCAGCCTGGCCAACATGGTGAAACCCCGTCTCTACTAAAAATACAAAAGTTAGCCAGGCATAGTGATGCGGGTCTGTAATCCCAGCTACTCGGGAGGCTGAGGGAGGAGAATCACTTGAATCTGGGAGGTTGCAGTGAGCCGAGATTGTGCCACCACACTCCAGCCTGGGTGACAGACTGAGACTCCATCTCAAAATAAAAAAAAGAAAAAGAAAGAAAGATAAATAAAATAGGGATAATAGTAATTTTTACCACACAAGGTTGTTGTGGGATTGAAACTACAGATCATGCAGGGTGCGGTGGCTCATGCCTGTAATCCCAGCAGTTTGGGAGGCCAAGGCAGATGGATCACTTGAGGTCAGGAGTTCCAGACCAGCCTGGCCAACATGGTGAAACCCCATCACTACTAAAAATACAAAAAATTAGCCGGGTGTGATGATGCATTCCTGTAATCCCAGCTACTCAGGAGGCTGAGGCAGGAGAATCACTTGAACCTGGCAGGCAGAAGTTGCAATGACCCGAGATCGCGCCATTGCCCTCCAGCCCGGGCAACAACAGCAAAACTCCAAAAAAAAAGAAGAAAGAAAGAGAGAGAGAGAGAGAAAGAGAAAGAAAGAAAGAAAGAAAGAAAGAAAGAAAGAGAGAGAGAGAGAGAGAGAGAAAGAAAGAAAGAAAGAAAGAAAGAAAGAAAGAAAGAAAGAAAGAAAGAAAGAAAAAGAAAGAAAGAAAGAGAGTCTATCACAACGTGTGGCACATAGTGTTTGAGAAATGGCACGAGTTATCATCACCCTCCCAGTTCTTTCAGCTGTAGGTCTTCCCATTGCTTTAACTTGGTGGATTTTGAACTTTGTACTTGTTTCCATACACAGCACAAACCCTTCACTATCTTTTCTGGTCCTTAGAGCAGCGCTGGGAGGAAAGGAGGGTAAGTAACCCGAGCTCCATTTGACAGAGAACACTGAAACTCATGTGAGGGCCTTTTCCAAGACCACACAGTTAGTGGCTGGGCTGGGATCAGAACCCAGATGTCCTCACTCCAGTCCCTTTGCTGTGTCAGAGTCCAGGACAATCTTGTCTTGTTGCGTCTTGGGCCAGTGAAGTGCTGTAATGGAAGCAGCCAGGGCTGGTGGGCTACAGGGGAGAGGCTGAGAACCCTGCAGATGCTCCAGTCCAGATGTGGGAGGCAAGCTGCTGAGGTTACTGCTGGTCATTCACCCCCTGCCCCATTCCCAGTTTCCTGCTCACCGGCTCTTCCTGTTTTGCTATGAACTCCAGTTCCCATGGGCCCCACATTAAAGCATAGAAGGACGGGGGCCAGGGCAAGCAGCCAAAGAGACCGAAACAGATGAACAGGGCACCAGGGAAGAGAACACAGGAAACAGGGAAAGAGTGGACAGGGGGTGTAGATGGGACAGAAGGAACCAGATGAGAAAAAGATGAAGGCTGAGGCAGAAGAGCAGCCTGGTGAAAGATGAGAGGAAGCACAGGGTGGGAGAGGGGGAACAGGCCGGGGCTGGGGAGCAGAGTGTGAGAAGACAGCAGGCTGGGTGCTGTTGCAAAATCTGCCCATGTATTCATTTTCACATTTCAGAAAAGCCCCTGTGACACCCCCATCTCAGACTTCTGCCTCCAGCTTTTGCTTTTGTTCCCCCTCATCACAAGGTCGTCCCCTCCCAAGGCCCCCACCCTGGTCTGGGTATCTCTGAGTCACAAGCACAAGGCTCTCCATTCCTCTCGCCTGTGTTCCCTCTCTGATTTTCACAAGGCCCCAGCTGTCCTGGAAAAGCAGAAACCAGGGACTCTAGTCACTGAGAGACTGGCACTATTCTGTCCCAGCACCCACATCACCAGTCCAGCTCCCTCCTCTACCTCCCTGCTCCCAGAAGCTCCAGCCCAGCAGGGCAGCCAGAGATGTCACAGAGATGGCTGGTTTCAAGAAACTCAGGACTCAATGGTCTGGGGCCTGGTGCCCTATCTTCTGGGAGCTGGGAGAAGCCTCTTTCATCCACTTTGTTCTTCAACTCCCTCCCCTGACACCTAGTCTCCCCACAGGTGGCTTCCCAGGACCCAGGACCACATACGAGCCCCATCTTGTGGGAGTGGGGGTGGGCAGGCTAGGGTCTCCTGTTTAGGAGGAATTATAACCAGGACTTCAACTGCCAGAGCCGTCCTATCAGGTTACAGCTCAGAAACCCCAACCCTCATCCCTACAAAGAGGGAAAAGGAGAGGAAAATGGGAGAAGACCAAAACCTGTGGGCAGTATTTCCATGGAGTTTCTGGAGACCAACCACTGAGACTTACTTCAAGCCAGGGCAAGCAGTGAAGTGATCAGCAGCTGGAATCATGTTCCCACTTTGGCAGCCCCACCCCCGTGCCACAGTCCCACCAGCCCACAGTTGTTAGGTCCAAAGTCCCCCAGTCCTATGGGCCTCTTCTGTGTTTCCTTGGCTCCTGCAGGAGGCAATGTCTCTGGGAACACACTCGGGGATCTACCAAGTCACATATCTGGCCCCCCAGAACCTCCACAGGTTTCTTCTCACAGCAAGGAGAAACTTGAAGCAGAAACAGGAGCATTCACCAGCCATGGTCACAGGTAGTACTGGCTAACTGCCCTGAAAGTACTCATTCCCATGAAGCAGGCCACAGGGTAAGGTCTGCAGGGATGGACCAGGAGAACTGCTTCTTGTTCCCTCCTTCACCGTTCTGGAAGGGTGGAAAGTGCAGGGATCATCTTGCAGACCACTGCGTATCTACTCAAGTGACTTCTGCCCAACCTTCCAATCACAACATAGAGAATAATCCAGAAACCTGGATTCCCAGACCTGAGTTCAGAGATGATACAGAAGGCAGAAAGGAAAGATGTGACATTTATTTCATCCCTACTACATACATTTATCTTTACATGCATTATTTCATTTATTCTCACAGTAAACTCTAGGAGATAGTTACTAGCAAGGGGCAAATATCAAATTTGAATACAGGTATAAGACTGGGTGTGGTGGCTCACACTTGTAATCCTAGCACTTTGGGAGGCCAAGAAGGGCAGATCGCTTGAGTCCAGGAGTTTGAGACTAGCCTAGGCAACATGGCGAAACCTCACCTTTACAGAAAACACACACACGCACAAAAATTAGCCAGGCGTGGTGGCATCTGCCTGTAGTCCCAGCCACTTGGGGGGCTGAGGTAGGAGGACTGTTGGAGCCCAGGAGGTCGAGGCTGCAGTGAGCCATGATTGCACCACTGCACTCCAGCCTGGGTGACAGAGGGAGACTGTCTCAAAAAAAAAAAAAAAAAAAGAATACAAGTTTAGCTGATTCAAAAGTTTGAGCTCAAGCTCAAACAAACAAAAATCACAAATACACTCCATTATATAAAACTGCCGGCTGGGGCCGGGCGCAGTAGCTCATGCCTGTAATCCCAGCACTTTGGGAGGCCGAGTGGGTGGATCACTAGGTCAGGCTAACACGGCGAAACCCTGTCTCTACTAAAAATACAAAAAAAAAAAGCCAAAAAAATTAGCCAGGTGTGGTGGCAGGTGCCTGTAGTCCCAGCTACTCGAGAGGCTGAGGCAGGAGAATGGCGTGAACCTGGGAGGTGAAGCTTGCAGTGAGCCGAGACTGTGCCACTGCACTCCAGCCTGGGCGACAGTGGGAGACTCTGTCACAAAAACAAAACAAAACAAACAAAAAAAACAGCCGGGTGGGTGCGGTGGCTCACACCTGTAATCCCAGCACTTTGGGAGGCCAAAATGGGCAGATCACCTGAGGTCGGGAGTTCGAGACCAGCCTGACCAACATGGAGAAGCTGTCTCTACTAAAAATACAAAATTAGCCAGGCGTGGTGGCACATGCCTGTAATCCCAGCTACTCGGGAGGCTGAGGCAGGAGAATCGCTTGAACCCGGGAGGCGGAGGTTGCTGTGAGCCGAGATAACGCCATTGCACTCCAGCCTGGGCAACAAGAGCAAAACTCCATCTCAAAAACAACAACAACAACAACAACAACAACAAAACAAAACAAAAACTGCCTCTTCAGATGGAAAAAAAATGGCTAACATACCTGGATTTAGGTTTGCTTCTGCCAACACAGAATATGGTAGTGGTTCCTGTCCTCACCTTCAGAGATTCTGATTTATTTGATCTGGGATAGGCCCACATATCCATCTATCTACATGTGTTTTTTTTTTTTCTTTTTTTTTTTTGCACCTGTAGTTACGAACCAAAGTGTAAGAACCACAGAATCATCTGGCAGAAAATGCAAAAGCTGAAGGCAAAGGGGTGAAGAAACTAGGGCTCAGCTTCAGGCTCTACTATCTACTTGCGCTGTAATCCCCACCCTTCCTGGAATAGTTTCTCCCTATAAAAACTGAAATAGTATCTGCTTCATCAATCCCTCCTACGTGGGATACTTGCATGCACAAAGAATATAGACATATTTGAGCAAGTGGGAAGAAAAGCAAAAGCTGAATTTGAGAGATAGCTGAAATTTGGTGAGCCAAAGATTTACACTCTGAAAGTACAATGGTCTGGCTAGTTTGCAAGGAGTAAGAGGCCCATTAAAACAAAACACTCAACTGCCTCCCACTACCACTAATATGCAGCATTTTGCCAATTACCCAAGCCCTCTTTATTTTATTTTTTTTTTTGAGACAGAGTCTCGCTCTGTTGCCCAGGCTGGAGTGAAGTGGCACAATCTCGGCTCACGGCAGCCTCTGTATCCTGGGTTCAAGTGATTCTCCTGTCTCAGCCTCCCCGGTAGCTGGGATTACAGGCACACGCCACCACGACTGGCTAATTTTTGTATTTTTAGTAGAGATGGGGTTTCACCATGGTGGCCAGGCTGGTCTTGAACTGCTGACCTCAGGTGATCCACCCGCCTCGTCCTCCCAAAGTGCTGGGATTACAGGTGTGAGCCATGTCCGGCCTAGGTCCCGTTTAGTCCAACTAATTTGAAAAGGTTTCCTTTGACAGATACCTCTTTATTGAAAGGATTTCGGGATCACCAATTACAGTTTAGTAATGCAGTTTGAGTAGCCTGCAAGAAGCAGCCCATTATAGACTATTTAACTGAAAATCACAAAACCTGACTTTTTTTTTTTGAGACGGAGTCTTGCTCTGTCGCCCAGGCTGGGGTGCAGTGGCACGATCTCCGCTCACTGCAAGCTCCGCCTGCTGGGTTCACGACATTCTCCTGCCTCAGCCTCCTGAGTAGCTGGGACTACCGGCACCTGCCACCACACCCGGCTAACTTTTTGTATTTTTAGTAGAGATGGGGTTTCACCATGTTAGCCAGGATGGTCTTGATCTCCTGACCTCGTGATCCACCCGCCTCGGCCTCCCAAAGTGCCGGGATTACAGGCGTGAGCACGCACCCGGCCAAAACTTGACTTTTAATCCATTCTCAAACTGTGCCCATGCCCAAACTGTGAATTTGGGCAAGTCACTTCCTCTCTTTAGGTTTGTTTCCTAAGCTGTAAAGTAAGAGGACTAGGTTAAATCAGGTATTCAGAGATGCTGATTTATGAAACCTGTAATAAATGGTCTTTGTGAACCATTTGGGATTATATGCAAAATTCCATGTGTGTGTTTATATGTGTGAACATTTTTCTGGAGGAGAGGTGCAAAATTTTCATGTGATTCATAAAGGGGCTTGTGATTAAATAAGAAGGTTAAGAACTGTTTGGCTACCCAGGCTTTGGCTCTTACTCTATTTGCTTCTTGGCCTCCTCCATGACAACTCTGGAAGCAAAGTTTAAATCCTGAAGTATATATAAATAATTGAATCTGGAGTCCTAGGACAAAATAAAGACAGATAATCCTGATCTTTTTTTTTCTTTTCTTCTTTTTGAGACACAGTCTTGCTCTGTCATCTAGACTGGAGTGCAGTTGCACCATCATGGCTCACTGCAGCCTCAACCTCCTGGGCTGAAGGTGATCCTCCCACCTCAGCCTCCCGAGGAGCTAGGACCACAGGTGTGTGCCACCACACCCAGCTAATTTTTAAACTTTTTTTTGTAGAGAGGAGATCTTCCTAAGCTGCTCAGGCTGGTCTCCAACTCCTGGGCTCAAGCAATCTTCCCACCCTGGCCTCCCAAAGTGCTGGGATTAGAAACGTGAGCCACCACACCAAGCCTAATCAGGTTTTTGTTGTTGTTGTTTTGAGACAGTCTCACTCTGTCGCGCAGGCTGGAGTGCAGTGGCGTGATCTCAGCTCACTGCAACCTCCGCTTTCCGAGTTCAAGCGATTCTCCTGCCTCAGCCTCCAGAGTAGCTGGGATTACAGGAGCACGCCACTGCACCCGGCTAATTTTTTTTTTTTTGTATTTTTAGTAGAGACGGGGTTTCGCCACGTTGGCCAGGCTGGTCTCGAACTCCTGACCTCAGGTGATCTGCCTGCTTCGGCCTCTCAAAGTGCTGGTATTACAGGTGAGCCACGGCGCCCAGGCCAAGCCTGATCAGTTTTGTTTCCCAAAGATCTGAGGAGATTTGCTTCCAGTAGGCAGATCTGAATCAAAGCATCCCCAGGACCTATGATCTGACCTGCAACCGTCACAGGAGTCACAAAGTCCTGAGGCCAAACTGGCTGCACCTGAATCCTAATGGTCAATGCCAAGAGGGCCATTGATTCTGTGGAAACCCCACCTACTCCCACTTTATGATATGCGCCTGTCCCTTACCTCAAAATACCTCCCCACTGGTCTGAAATTCCTCCCCCAGGGATTCAGTGCTTTGGGTTTGTAAAGTCTGAACATCCTGTGCAACCCAACTCCTTTGGGAAGAGGCATGACATGACGTCTTGACTCTAATTAACTAAAACTTGGAAGTGGAGGGGAGGGAGGACAGGGAAAGGACTGGAAGGGAAAGTGAGAGGGCTACTGAAGCTTTGTGCAGGGCAGGAACGGTAGGCCAGACTGGGGCAACCTCAAGGACACACGGAGTCCAAAGGGTTGTTTACATACTGTGTCCTGCACCCCAAGCAAAACATCTCCTGGAGAACAGGGCCAGGGCTCAATCTCCCCACAAAGGCAGGGGCGTGGAGAGAAGCGACCTCTACTTTCCCATCCCTCGCCTCAATTCTGCACCCGATCTAGCTATGGGGTCAAGCCTGGAGGGGACGCTGGTTCTCCAGACATGGTCCCGCCCACTGCAAGTGCCACCTTGGTAAGGGATTTCTCCGAGCAGAGGCAAACGCGAATTTGTGGCCTTCTTAATCAAGATGAGGTCTTCGAGCCCTGTCTGCCGCGCCAGGTCGCGTTACCTTCTTATGCTCCTCCGCCACAGCCAGACCACGACCCTCCTGCACGCAATCCCACCGAGACTGCGCCTTTTCCCCGCACCCCAGCAGGTCCCTAAGTAAGATGGCGGCGAACGCACTTCCGGCGTGTGTCCTTACGGGTGCGTCCGGGCGGCTGCTTGCAGGTGCCACCCAGCGGGTTCCAGCTTGTTTGCTGCATAGATTACAACGGTGATGGCGGGCAAGCGGTCCGGCTGGAGCCGGGCGGCTCTCCTCCAGCTCCTTCTCGGCGTGAACCTGGTGGTGATGCCGCCCACCCGGGCCCGGAGTCTGCGCTTCGTTACCTTGGTAATGAGAGATGGGCTCACCAAAGACTTCCCTGAAGCTAAAAGGGCAAAGGCCAGCTGGTGGAGGTCGAGGATCTCGGGAAGGAACAGCTGGTTTAGGAGGGGACGACTGGCCTGGGTAGTTGGGAGGCTGGATTCAGGATTGACCTGGAGCCCTGGCTTATGGGAGTCAGGATGACCGAATACGTCGGGGTGAGTCTGCCTTGAGACAGGGAAGTGGTTGAATGGTTAAGACTCATCCCTAAAGAAGCCTTTGGTTATCTTTTTTCCCCAGTTGTCCCCACCACATACGTTGCTTTCACTTCTCTTTTCCCTTCCTACCTGTACCTTGGCTTTGCCTATGGTCTCCAGTAGCATTGCTTAGCTAAGTTAGAATCTCTGGAATCTGGAAGAAGTGACTGACTCCTAGCTGGGGTCTTTTGCAGCCAGTAGGCTTCCCAGAGGGAATGAGACTTCCTTCCCTAACATGGGGCAAAAGGTAGGCTCTGGGTCCCTATCAAGGGGATGCTTCTGACCTATAGGCAAACCATTTTATTCTCTCAGCTGTACCGCCATGGAGACCGTTCACCAGTGAAGACATATCCCAAGGACCCCTATCAGGAAGAAGAATGGCCCCAGGGGTTTGGTCAGTTAACCAAGGTGGGTCAGAAGCCAGCCTTTCCTCAGGATGAGCTGCAGAATGAGCGACGTCTAGAGCAGTCTACAAAACTTGGGGTCCTACTAAACTGCCTTTTCCCATATGGGTGCTGACTTTGACCAGATTTCATAACCTTAATCTCTGTGCCCATGATATTGCTGTGCATGACTGGCCACTTAATGAAAGACTTCTGGGATCAGATTAATTGACTCCAGCAAAGCGTGAACCTGGAAAGCAACAGGGCCTAAACCCCATGGGGCTTGAAGCCACCCCTTCCCTCTAGACCCTCTTAACCCTTGGGTTTGCCCACAGGAGGGGATGCTACAGCACTGGGAACTGGGCCAGGCCCTGCGGCAGCGCTATCACGGCTTCCTAAACACCTCTTATCACCGGCAAGAGGTAAGGTTGGGAGCTCCAGAGGCAAGGGGAACAAGGTATGCTGCCCTCATCTTTTGCCCTCAGGGAGCCTAAGGCTGAGGCTGGGCACTTTGGCCTCCTTCTTGTATTTTTGGTCACAACTACAGGAAAAGACATCTGAGAGCTGTCTGGAACAAAGCCCTAGGAGCTGAGTTGCCCCTGCTTGGCTGGGATGAGGCAAATTTGATTAAGCATCCAAATTCGGACTTAAGGGCGGGCCTGGCAAAGTGGTTTCTGACTGTGAAATCACAGGCTTTCCATCCAAGACATTGAGTACCTATTAAAGGCCAAGGACTGTGCTAGCACTTTGCATTCAGTTGTGCACCATACAGATATGATCTCTGTCTTCATGGAGCTTAGAATGTTGTGGGGGTATCTAATGATAAACCAGACAGGGCCAAGATGAAAGACAGCGGGGAAGACATGCGTAGAGAGGGCTTGTCTTTTCTTGATCAAGATGAGGTTTTTGAGCCCTGTCTGCTGCGCCAGGTCGTGCTATATTCCTAGGGCACATCAGGGAGGACTGGTGAGTGTGCCTGCTCCTTGAGTCTTCGCCCCACCCCAGGAATGGGGGAAGCTGTTCCTCTGATTACCACTGTCAGCCTCAGCCGTATCAAGAATCCATAGACATTGTTATTGTTCTCTTAAGGCCCAGCTCTGTCCTGAGCTTGTCCTTCCCCAGTTTCCTCCTCCCTTTTCATGAGCCACTATCTCTGAATAAGCTCTTCAAAAAAAATTTTTTTTTTTGAGACAGAGTCTTGCTGTGTTGCTCAGGCTGGAGTGCAGTGACATGGTCTTGGCTCACTGCAACCTCCACCTCCTAGGTTCAAGCGATTCTCCTGTCTCAGCCTCCCAAGTAGCTGGGATTACAGGTGTGTGCCACCATGCCTGGCTAATTTTTGTATTTTTAGTAGAGACAGGATTTCATCATGTTGGCCAGGCTGGTCTTGAACTCCTGACCTCAGCTGATCCGCCTGCCTCGGCCTCCTAAAGTGCTGGGATTACAGGCATGAGCCACCGTGCCCGGCCCAAAATATATACATATATTTTAAAGGGGTCTCACTCTGTCACCCAAACTGTAGCACATGCCTCAGTCATAGCTCACTGCAGCCTCAAACTCCTGGGCTCAAGTGATCCTCCTGCCTCAGCATCCCAAGTAGCTGGGACTACAAGTGCCCGCCACACTTGGGTAATTAAAAAATTTTTTTTTGTAGAGACAGGGTCTCACTATGTTGCCCAGGCTGGTCTCGAGCTCCTGGCCTCAAGCGATCCTCCTGCATTGGCCTCCCAAAGTGCTAGGATTATAGGTGTGAGCCACCAGGCCCAGCCCTTTATCTTATTTTTTTCTCCCTGGTCTCTAAGGGTCGTCACTGGAGCCAGTTTCTGCCCCAAGGACCCTGATCTAGACAGGGAGAGAGGTGTTGTTATGAAACCAGACAGACCAGAGAGCCTTACTGATTGACTCAGCACTTTTGACTGGAAGGGGCATTTCAACTAAGGCCATTCCCACAAGAGTTCTTCACAGAGTGGTGACAACCCCCAGTGGAGTGTTTGGGGGATGGGGAAGGCCAGAGGCCAGAGGAGGGTGAGGGCCAGATGTATGGTAGGTTTAGTTTGCTGGGTGACCATCAGGAACAGGTTCTCCTCTGGGGCTCCACTTTGGGGTGACCAAAACTTCCCACCACACACACACACATACATACAAGGCTCCACTTCAGGGTGACCAAAACTTCCCCAACACACACACACACACACACACACACACGACTTGTGTTGCTATCGCTGCAGGTTTATGTGCGAAGCACAGACTTTGACCGGACTCTCATGAGTGCTGAGGCCAACCTGGCTGGACTCTTCCCTCCCAACGGGATGCAGCGCTTCAACCCGAACATCTCGTGGCAGCCTATTCCTGTGCACACTGTGCCCATCACTGAGGACAGGGTAAGAGTGGCCAGCCCTTCCCTGGGGTGGTGAGGGGACAGCTCTGGCCGTAGGCCTGCTGATGCCAGGCTCCTTTTCCCGCTGCCTGTTTCCCCGCTTCGCTCTACAGCTGCTGAAGTTCCCGTTGGGCCCATGTCCCCGTTATGAGCAGCTGCAGAACGAGACCCGGCAGACACCAGAGTATCAGAATGAGAGTTCTCGGAATGCAGTGAGTGGGGGCAGAGGTGCAGCTCACCACGCTGTCTTTTCCCCAGAGCAGGACTGAGACCCTGATCCATTTTTCATAGCAATTTCTGGACATGGTGGCCAACGAGACAGGGCTTACAGACCTGACACTGGAGACCGTCTGGAATGTCTATGACACACTCTTCTGTGAGGTGAGCCCACTAGGGTGCCCACTGTGATCATTCTTTTCCCTCTCAGCAGGCCCAGGTCACCAGGACGGTAGAACACAGTGCCTGATACCGTCACGCCCCTGGGGAGGTCCAGGGAGGCTGTGCTTGTGAAACACGGGAACTTCCCTCATGGGTGACAGAGATCCTCAGAGTGGGAAATGGTTTATTAATTGTCAGCAGTCCCTGCTGCTCTCCACCCAGAGCTCCTTTCTGCTGAGTCTCACTTTTTGTGCCTGAGCTTCCTTTCCTGTGCCCTGAAGCATCCACACCGCCTGCCATGTCTACTGGTTCCAGCCCCTCTGCCTCTCTCCCCTCTCCCTCCCTCACACACACAGGCACCTTCCCACTAGGGAAGAGAGCTGCCCCCTGGAGAGGCTGGCCTAGGCCTGGGGCGCTAACCTGCCTGCTGCGATACACAGCAAACGCACGGGCTGCGCCTGCCGCCCTGGGCCTCACCCCAAACCATGCAGCGTCTCAGCCGGCTAAAGGACTTCAGCTTCCGCTTCCTCTTCGGAATCTACCAGCAGGCGGAGAAGGCCCGGCTTCAGGGGGGTGAGTGACAAGGACAGCGTGTCACTCTACTCCTCAGGACCCTAAGGCGTTAAAAATCTGCTGTGGGGGCTTCTCACACACTTCCCTCTCTACTGAAACACTCCCTGCTCTTTCAAAACCAAATCCCCCTCCTCATGCCGCTAGTCACCAAATTTCCCCACCTCTCTTCCTTTTCTGCCATTCATATTCTTTTTAAAAAAATTGTTATTTTTTTTCGGGGGGATGGAGTTTCCCTCTTGTCACCCAGGCTGGAGTGCAATGGCTCGATCTTGGCTCACTACAACCTCTGCCTCCTGAGTTCAAGCAATTCTCCTGCCTCAGTCTTCTGAGTAGCTGGGATTGCAGGCACATGCCATCATGCCTGGCTAACTTTTGTATTTTTAGTAGGAACGGGGTTTCACCATGTTCGCCAGGCTGGACTCAAACTCCTGACCTCAGCCACCATGCCCAGCTAATTTTTGTATTTTTAGTAGAAACAGGGTTTCACCATGTTGGCCAAGCTGGTCTTGAACTCCTGACCTCAGGTGATCCACCCACCTTGGCCTCCCAAAGTGCTGGGATTACAGGCATGAGCCGCCATACCCAGCCTATTTATTTTGAGACAGAGTCTTGCTCTGTCACCCAGGCTATAGTAGAGTGGCACGATCTCGGCTCATTGCAGCCTCCACCTCCCAGGTTCAAGCGATTCTCCCGCCTCAGCCTCCTAAGTAGCTGGGACTACAAGTGCCTGCCACCACGCCCAACTAATTTTTATATTTTTAGTAGAGATGGGGTTTCACTATGTTGGCCAGGCTGGTCTCAAACTCCTGACCTCTGGTGATCTGCCCGCCTCAGCCTTCCAAAGTGCTGGGATTACACACATGAGCCACCACGCCCAGCCCTGCCATTCATGTTCTTAAGTTTCGCCCACATCAGAAGACCCTCCCTCTCCTAAATGAATAGCTGCCCCAAGAGAACCACTGGGGGCCATTTTGAGAAGGCTGAGAGTAACACACATGCCAGCTTCCTTATTTGAGCACCTAAGGGCATGCCTGCTGTCACACCTTTTTGACATCTCACTTTTCAGAGCATATGGTAGTTACCCGGGCATGCACCCACCCGCTGTGTACTCTGAAGCAATCTTAAGTTTACATTTGTTTCAAACTGAAGTGCTTCTGTAAACACAGGCAGGTTTCTACATCCGTGTTGAAATATAGGCAGATATCTTGTTTTGTCTTGCTTCCTTCTGTACATTTGACAGTTCTTAGAGAGGAGGGGTGCCACAGAGTTCTTACATGGTCCCTATGACACTAAAGAGTTCTCCGTGTAGGTGATGAGGCCCAGGCCTGGCAGAGGGTGAAAGGAGCACAGATAGGTCTAATTAGAAGGCAGAGGTGGCTGTAGCCAGCAACACCGGGGACTTTTCTCCTTCAGGAGTCCTGCTGGCTCAGATAAGGAAGAACCTGACCCTAATGGCGACCACCTCCCAGCTCCCCAAGCTGCTGGTTTACTCTGCGGTGAGTGCCTGCGCTCCCTAGCGTGCTGTGTCAGGCAAGGAGCTGGATTTCTTCTCTGTTCGGTTCCTGCGGGTGTGGGGAACAATGCTGACGGGCAGCCCCTCTCCCCCGCAGCACGACACTACCCTGGTTGCCCTGCAAATGGCACTGGATGTCTACAATGGTGAACAAGCCCCCTACGCCTCCTGCCACATATTTGAACTGTACCAGGAAGATTCTGGGTGAGTGGAGCTAGCAGTGTCCTCTGGAGGGGGGCCCTCGGGAGGTGGCTCGGGGCAGCCCAAGGACCCCATGATGGGCAGGCTGAGCAGCTCCCATGTTGCCTCCTGTCGACCCTCAGGAATTTCTCAGTGGAGATGTACTTTCGGAACGAGAGTGACAAGGCCCCCTGGCCGCTCAGCCTGCCTGGCTGCCCTCACCGCTGCCCACTGCAGGACTTCCTTCGCCTCACAGAGCCCGTCGTGCCCAAGGATTGGCAGCAGGAGTGCCAGCTGGCAAGCGGTCCTGCAGACACAGGTGAGCTGTCACCGGCCTCCTTGCTAGTCATGCCCTAGACCAGCCTGCAGTTCACATCCACGCATCTCAAGAGCTGTCGCACTTCCAGCCATTTGACTGCATTTGCTAGGAGTTCCCTCCCCGACCCCAGACTGCTTTATACCTTCTCCCCACTTCTCACCCTCGGGTGATGTCTCACTTGTATCACCGAGAAAATAAGAGCCAAGAGAGAATTGGCTCGTTCTCCCACCACCAGGTTACTTCCTGGGGGAAGCCACCGCTTAGGGTGGCCTCTCCACCCGCACTTGGGTTCTCTCCTCATCTCTGCAAGGAGCTCTGACGCCTCTGCTTCTCTACTGGATCACTTCCCTCCCAAAAGCCCATCCATGACCTCTGAGAGCCACCTCTTCCCCAGCCACCAGCCTCTTCCCTCTCAGAATGGAATCCTTGAAAGAGCTGCCTAGAATCTGGCTCTGCTTCCTCACCACTTGTTCTCTTAGACTCACATTAGACAGTCTTGTGTCACCTTCCACTACCCTGAAGCCATACTTGTCTGGTGACCAGTCACCTCCTACCAAAGCCAGTGACTAATTCTTAGCTTCTCTCACCTCTCAGCAGCATTACATAATTGGTCACCCCTTCCTGAAACACTTTCTTGGCTTCTGACTTTCAGGCGTCCCTTCCTCACTAAAGAACGGATGACCCAGGACTCATCCCTGGAGCTTTCCCCATCTGTGCACACTCCCAAGTGATCTCATGCAGCCTCATGACTTTATGCCCATCTCCATGCCCACTTCTGTCCTTACGCCCTGACTCACAGATTCACAACCTCTTCTCTGAGCTAGAGACTCATATCCAGCTGCCAACTTGAGATCTCTACATGCATGTTAAGTAAGGCATCTCAAAGTTGCAATGTCTAAAACCAGATGCTTTTCCTTCCACAGCTGCTCTTCTTCCAGGCTTCCTTGTTTCAGTCAATGCCACGAGTCACCTAGTGGCACAGTATAACCCTTGGGGTCATTCTGCATACCGTTTCTCATACCCCTCATCCAGCCCACTGCCAGATCAGCTCAACCTTTCAAATATTAATATGTGCTCTTGCCTCCGCAGTCCAATCTACCGTCAGCTCTTGCCTGACCGAATGAAAAGCTTCCTAGTTCTTTCTGGTTCTATTCTTGTCCCTACCAGTCTTTCAACACAGCAGAGTTAACTTTTTTTATTTTTTTGAGATGGAGTTTTGCTCTTGTTGCCCAGGCTGGAGTGCAGTGGCGCAATCTCGGCTCACTGCAACCTCCGCCTCCCGGGTGTAAGTGATTCTCCTGCCTCAGCCTCCCGAGTAGCTGGGATTACAGGCATGCATCACCATGCCCAGCTGATTTTGTATTTTCAGTAGAGATGAGGTTTCTCCATGTTGGTCAGGCTGGTCTCAAACTCCCAACCTCAGGTGATCCGCCCGCCTTAGTCTCCCAAATTGCTGGGATTACAGGCATGAGCCACCGCGGCCGACTGAGTTAACTTTTAAAAAATGTAAACCAGTTCATACTACTGTCCTCTCAGAATTTTCTAGTGGCTTCCCATCACATATAGAATAAAATCCAAGTTCTTCACCATGGCCTTCTAGGCCCTACTCCATCTGGTCTCCTGCCCCATCTCCTACATGCCCCTTGCTTACTCTACTCTGGTGAGACTGACTCTTGATGATACTAGCATGTGCCAGGCTTATCCCCACATCTGGGCCTTTTGCCCTTCGTCTCCTCTGCCCTGTGATACTCTTCTCAGATTGTTGTATGTCATTCATTGACTCCAGGTCTCTGTTAAACTTCTCACTTTCTCAATGATGCCTTCCCTGCTGACCTACTTTGCTTTGTCTCTCTGTATCACATTCGTCACTGACCTGTCACTCCTAATTTTTTTTTTTTTTTTGAGACGGTGTCTCATCCTGTCACCCAGGCTGGAGTGCAGTGGCGTGATCTCGGCTCACTGCAACCTCTGTCTCCCAGGTTCAAGCAATTCTCCTGCCTCAGCCTCCCGAGTAGTTGGGATTACAGGTGCACACCACCATGCCCAGCTAATTTTTTGTATTTTTAGTAGAGACGGCATTTCACCACGTTGGCCAGGCTGGTCTCAAACTCTTGACCTCAGGTGATCCACCCACCTCGGCCTCCCAAAGTGCTGGGATTACAGGTGTGAGCCACTGCGCACGGCCAACTTTATTTAGTAGAGATGGGTTTTCACCATGATGGCCAGGCTGGTCTCCAACTCCTGACCTCAGGTGATCTGCCCACCTCAACCTTCCAAAGTGTTGGGATTATAGGCGTGAGCCACTGTGACCAGCCCATTTGCTTATTTATTACATCCCCTCTCCTAGAATGTAAACTCCATGAGAGCAGGGACTCTGTCTTGGCCACCTCTGTGTATCTCCTATATGTCAGAACAGTAGCTGGCATATGATGGAACGCTGACATGACCTTTCTCTTGCCTCCCCCATGCCCAGAGGTGATTGTGGCCTTGGCTGTATGTGGCTCCATCCTCTTCCTCCTCATAGTGCTGCTCCTCACCGTCCTCTTCCGGATGCAGGCCCAGCCTCCTGGCTACCGCCACGTCGCAGATGGGGAGGACCACGCCTGACAACCACTCAGCCCCCTTCCCTCCACCTCCTAGGGGAGGTGGGCTGGGCCCTCGCTCCTGACTGTTGCTGCTCCCCAGCCCATGGACAGGAGATCCTGGGTTGGGCCTCCCTCTGATGACCCCAGCCAGATGAGCGAGTGGGGCTCAGCGTGGCCCATGGTGCCTGTCACTCAGCATTCCCATGCCTGATGTTTACCAAGTGCTGTGTTGGACACTGGCTTTCTCCAAACAGGATTTGCCTCCTCCACGCTCCCTACACACCTGAGATGTAAACTGGCAGTCAGTGTTCACTCAGGACCTAGGATTAGAAAATGGCAGAGTTGGTGCTGGATCCACCTTGCACTTCTATCAAGCCCTGTTCTTTTTCCTCCAGCCTGAAGTCTTCGGCAAATAGCTCAGAGGGACACGGTCTTGCCTCTCAGTGCTTATTTTAGTGGGAAAAACAGCTAATACCAGGGGTACAAACATTGGCTCCCAAGGAACTGGATCACCCAACAGCCAGCCAGCCACATTTCCCTGTGTCTGGCTAGAGCCACCATTAGACTCAGACAGAATGCTTCAGGAATCGTTGTCACCCCTTCAACTGGAGCAGGACGGAAGGTTGTCTGTACTTGGGAGGGAGTAGGGAGTGGTGGGAAGGGAGTTGCTTGTCACACGAATCAGGAAACTGCTCTCCCTCAGCTGGGCTGGGGTCTCCAGGGACCTGAGCTACATGCAGGTTGTGAGCTGGAAAAGAAAGTTCTAGACTGTGGCCCAGAATAGGGCTGGGGCAGCTCCCAGAGAATGAATAGTGCTGTTTCCTATTGGACTGATAGTGCTGTTTCCTGTGCTTTTTCTTCATTTCTGAGACGCAAGAAGCTCTCTGACCAGGTCACTTCTGGAAGATCCACGCAGAAGCTCAGTCGGTATGGTTTTATTGGCCATATCAAAAGTGAGCACAAATCAAATAACTGCTTGATCCCTCTGCTACCACCCACTGAGAGGAGAAAAGTCATTTAGTTCCAAGATAACCTTGGTTCCAGGCTAGATACAGAGGGGCCCTTGGGACAGCTGTGTCACCAACTCTGGAGCAGTCTCTGGAGGCAAGTCCAGAGCATTAACATAAAAGTGTCCCAGTCCCACAGTGCCCCAGGTCCCAGCACCCCTGCTCCAACCCTAACCTTGGATACTTTTGGCCCTTTAACAAATCGCCACCTCTGCTTGCAGGACTTGATCCCATGTGTGGGCTCCAAGGCCTTGTCTGGCCCACACCTTCTTTAGTGTCTCTCACTTCCGTGTCCTGGCTTCCTCCTGGCTCCAGATGAGAATGTGGTAACCTAGGAAGAGTGAGACCAGTCTGACTTACACTTTCTGTTACCAATCTCTCAGAGCCTGGGGCTGGCCCGCAAACCTACAATTTGGTAAAGAAATACTAGGAAGGCCGGGCGCGGTGGCTCAAGTCTGTAATCCCAGCACTTTGGGAGGCTGAGGTGGGCGGATCACGAGGTCAGGAGACCGAGACCATCCTGGCTAACACGGTGAAACCCTGTCTCTACTAAAAATACAAAAAATTAGCTGGGCGTGGTAGCGGGCACCTGTAGTCCTAGCTACTCGAGAGGTTGAGGCAGGAGAATGGCGTGAACCCAGGAGGCGGAGCTTGCATTGAGCCAAGATCACGCCACTGCACTCCAGCCCGGGGGGACAGAGCGAGACTCCGTCTCAAAAAAAAAAAAGAAATACTAGGAAACTGGACAGTAGCCAGGCATTGCATGACCAAGACAAAGCCAGAGGAATGGAGGGCCTTGGCTATAGAGACCACTGTCTCCCAGCCATCTTCTTCGTGGGCCACTGCCCTGGGGTGAATGTGGCAGGGCGGGGCTGAGGCTGGCCCGCACTGAACCTTGGGAAGTAGGATCGGACTTGGCAAGTCAGAGACATTCTCCTCCTACTCACCCATTGCAGAGGCCAGCGTGTCCCCCATGGGATTGAATTCATTAAGCTGCAGAGACAAGAGTGTCAACATGAGGAGAGGGTGAAGGTATTAGCAGAGACACCTGATTTCTGGTCACTTTTGGTCAATAAGGTAGGTTGAATCCCTGCTTCCTCCCATCATTATTTGAGGACCCAAGCCTCACCGAACTGATGCCAGAAGATTCTGGGTCATAGAGCTGACACATCATCTTCCCTGAGTTTCCATCGAACACGTCGATCGTCCTCAATTCATAAGGGGTACAACTTTTGAAATTAGGATCTGGGTATCGGCCCACAACAATGAGGTTGTAGCGAGGATGCCAGGCTGCCTAGGAGATGGAGAGGCCGGCCATGAGGGTAAACACAGAACATGATCAAGGGGGACATCAAAAACAAATATGAACAAAGAGGAACATCAAAAGTATTCTTTGGGCTGAGTGCAGTGGCTCACACCTGTAATCTCAACACTTTGGGAGGCTGAGGCAGGCGGATCACGAGGTCAGGAGATCGAGACCATCCTGGCTAACATGGTGAAACCCCGTCCCTACTAAAAATACCAAAAAAAAAATTAGCTGGGCGTGGTGGTACATGCCTGTAGTCCCAGCTACTTGGGAGGCTGAGGCAGGGGAATCACTTGAACCCGGGAGGCGGAGGTTGCAGTGAGTGAAGATCATGTCACTGCACTCCAGCCTAGGTGACAGAGCAAGACTCTCAAAAAAAAAAAAAAAAAAGTAGTATTTGCCAGTAACAAGCCAACCTAATAATGGAGATAAGTCTTACAGAAAACTACAAGAATGGTTTTAGGTTGTGTGTGCCTCTGCCATTGCACATTTTTAATCCCTAGCTGGCCTCCCTGGCCCTTAGGGCACCTTCAGGCCTTCTCCCTCATTTGCATTTCCTAAGATCATACCAACTGGTAAACGTTTTAACATCAGCCTGACCCAGATACTGACCTAAGAGGCCTACAACAAAGCAGAAAAAGCCTCTGGTGACCAAACCCTAACAGGACTTGAGTTCTGGAGGAGCCCCACTGTCATCCTGTCTCCATCAACACGAATAACTAAGAGCTGAGTGTAAAATTGCTAATGGCTAAAAAAGAGAAGGAAACCCACATTCCCCAGATCACCCCACTAAAAACAAATCTGGCAGTTATTAAAATGGCAGAATTGGATGGGATTTTCCTAAACTTCTCAAGGAAGTTTTGAAGGAAGAAAGACATGGTTAGCAGGAAGGAAGAAATAGTACATGCGAAGGCTTAGAAATAAGTCACAAATCACACACAGGAAGCTGTAATGACTTACGACACCTGGCTAGATACAAACTGGGACATGCAGACAGATGGATTATCGGGAACACTGATGGATTAACAGGAACACCAACTGGGGAAGGATTCTTGACATTATTTATTAAGAGCTTGGATGTGATTGAGGTACGTGGGGGCCACTCAATATTCAATCATCATTTATTGAATACTTACCAGTACTTACCAGGTGCTGGGCATGGGGCCAAGTGCTTTAAGTATACTGACTCATCTTCACAACAACCCTATCAGTTAGAGACTAGTATTCCCTTTTTGCAGATGAGGAAACAGATCCAAAATATAAGTAATTTGCCCAAGGATTCTAACCCGGGGGGTCTGGCTGCTGGAAACTGGCGCTCCCCACCACTATTCTGAACTGACCAGAGAAGTATAGGCATAAAACCTGAAGATCTGAAGAGGATCTGTAGTTTTGGAAAAGAATGCAGAACTAGCAGAGCTCAGTCTGCATGGGGGCTTAGGCAAAAAGGCATCAAAGGACTTGAAAGCTATTAGTGTTGGGGACTAATGATAGAGAAGCTATTAACAAGAGCCTGAGAAAAGGTGGGAAAATAAAAGACTTATTTTTATTATTAGAAGCACTGAAACCTGCAAGACAAACTAAGAAGGCAAAGTTGCCAGGCGCAGTGGCTCATGCCTGTAATCCTAGCACTTTGGGAGGCCAAGGTTGGGGGATGGCTTCAACCTAGGAGTTCAAGACCAGCTTGGGCAACATGGCAAAACCCCATCTCTATAAAAAATAAAAAAATTAGCTGGGTATGGTGGCGCATACCTGTAGTCCAATCTACTTCCGAGGCTAAGGCGGAAGGATTGCTTGAACCCAGGAGGTTGAGGCTGCAGTGAGCTATGTTTGTGCCACTGCACTCCAGCCTGGGTGACAGAGCAAGACCGTTTCAAGAAAAAAAAAAAAAAAAAAAAAAAGGATCAGCCTGGGTAACACAAGAATACCCTGTCTCTACAAAAAAAAAAAAAGTGAGGCAGGAGGATCGCTTGAGCCTGGGAGATCAAGGCTGTAATGAACCATGCTTGCCCCACTGTACTCCCACCTGGGTGACAGAGCGAGACCCTGCCTTAAAAAAAATAATAAAAAAATAAAAAATGAAGGTTTGTGGGTCAACTGTACACAGGTAACTGAAGCTGAGAAGACAGAACAGAGGGTCAGGATCTTAGAAAATTCTCACAGTGAGATCAGAGCTGGGCTGAAAAAACTCAGAAAAATATCTTATCAGCGAGACAGAAAACTCAACCATATGGGATGGCAGAAGTGGGATAAAAGGAAGAGAGAGAGCCAATGGGTAAGAGATGCTCTGTGCTCGGGCCAGGAGCGATCTGGGGTGGCAGGCTTACCACATCAGCCCTTCCCCACTGTGGGCAGACCTGCTCCGGCCTCATGATCACAGCCTCCTTCTGCGAGCTCCTTCCCACCGCCACTCACCTTGATGGGTGTGAGGTGCTGGAAGTGACGGTGAGGGTGCGGGATCAGGCCCAGGGGGCAGTCCCACTGGGAAGCAGAGTAAACTCGGATCTCGCTCTTCTGGTCCGTGGTCAGGAGCCGGGCTCCATCGGGACTGAAACAAGCTGGCAAAGTGAAAAGCCCCTGAGCTGAAGGAACCACAAGCCCTCTGTGGTCCTGGCCTTGCAGGCCTTCTCCTGCAGGGGTACTCTCCCTCCCACTCCTCTCTAGACAGGAGCGGAAAGGAAGAGGTGAATCTGGGCTGTGAACAACAACAAAAAAATTCTGGAAACTCAGCAGCTGATGGGGACAGCCACAGCCACAAAGGTTCCCAGACATCAGCTTGGCAGACGCTATCAGGGGTAAAGGTTTGACGTAGTGGCTTCCACACTGAGGGAAAACCCCAGCAGTGGTCAGACAGGCAGGGTCTGCAGGAGAGATGAGGTCTGGGATATCACACCTGCGTTGACAGGATGCCTGTGCGGCAGCGAGTAGAGGAAGCTGGCTTTCCCTCTAACCTGGCGCAGGTCCCAAATTTTCACTGTTTGATCTACGGAGGCTGTGGCCAGGAACCAATCACAGCATGGGTTCAGGGCCACATGCGTCACTTTCTTTTTGTGCATTCTGAGATTCCAAAGCTGCAGAGAAGAGCTCGGTTCAGGTGGGGACACAGAACCGAGGTGGGGGTGAGGGAGGGAAAGGCAGGACCTCGGAGAACGCACCTCTTTGCCGTCCATGTTCAGCAGGATCACGTTCCCCACGTTGTCTCCTGTGACCACCATTCGGCTACTAGCAGACACATCCAGGCTACAAAACCAGATGCTGGAGGGAGAGACTGTGTTGTAAGATTCTTGGGGACAGAGATAGTCCTATTTACTCACTGTTGCCGCTCCGGTGACTAACCCACAGCGGGCATTCAATAAATATTTGTTGAATGAATGAATAACTGTCTTGCCGTGGATTCCTAGTGAGGAACATTCAGACTGCTCTACCGTCCAGACAGAGGGGATGGGATAATGGGGCTCAGAAATCTGTCTGGTTATGGCTGGGCCCAGGATCCCCAGCTCCTAAAAGTCCCTGAAGCAGACAAAGCTTATACCATAAAGCAAGCCCTGAGGCACGCCTGCCCCCCACACCCCGGGTTCTGAGCAAGCCTCCTTTACTGCTCTCTCCTTTCACTCTTCACCCTTTAGGCCAAAGGAGACACAAGCCAAAGAGGGATTGCCTGGCCCTGTTCCTCAGAGCTGGCTAGAAAAGCACTTCTGCCCCCTTCTGAACACTGGGGGAAAAAACACAACCAGGAGCTCTTCTGGTCCCTCAAACCACTGGACTGGGAGGCTGACTAGGAGGGTGCTTCAGGGATCCTGCTATTCAGCCAGAAGAGCTCAGCTCACAGTTTTTCTCTCAAACTCTCAAATCCATGCTACACTGCCTTTTGCCATCCCCTATGAATATCTTCAAGCAGGAAGATTTCTTGCGGAAGAGTAGCCTGGAGCCTTGTCTATCCAATTGCCTGCTGATTTGCGTGCGCATGCACTCCTCATCCCTGCGGGACAGCCCAGGATCCAATCCAATGCTAGTTACACCCCAGCACCCTCACTTAATTCCTCAGGGAGCAGTCAGAGTCACGGCTCTAGCTGGAAATCAAAGTGACGAGTATTCTGTAATTTTTTTTTTTTTTTTTTGAGATAGATTTTCGCTCTTGTTGCCCAGGATGGAGTGCAATGGCGCCATCTCGGCTCACTGCAACCTCTGCCTCCTGGGTTCAAGCGATTCTCTTGCTTCAGCCTCCCAAGTAGCTGGGAATTACAGGGGCCTACCACCACGCCCAGCTAATTTTTTGTATTGTTAGTAGAGATGGGGGTTTCACCATGTTGGCCAGGCTGGTCTCGAACTCCTGACCTCAGGTGATCCACCCACCTTGGCCTCCCAAAGTGCTGGGATTTCAAGCATGAGCCACTGCACCCGGCCGCATTCTGTAATTTCTCCAGCCACTTTCTCTTGGGAAGTCCAGAGCACTTTATGGAAAAGATTCCATCCATATAAGCTTCCACCCAGGAACAGGTCAGGTCATTACACCACAGTGAGTGCAGGGCATTCAGTCTCAAGTTCTGAGCTGTTGCTCCATTCTCTAGGTGGCTTTCTGGGTCCACGCCATGCTGGCTTATCTAGTGAGGGTCAAGGTCCAGTCTAATACAGGTATGACTTACAGAAGAGCTGAGGCTCCAGAACACCTTCCCAAAGCAGTAACCCACCTGGACCAAAGTGAGGGCAGCCAAGGAGCAGTTTGAGAAAGAGAAAGAAGGGCGGAAAGTGGCTGACATCTTTCCTTTCTTCCCTGGGCCAGGTTGGGTTAAGGAAATGGGATCTGGATGCTCTTGCCGGAACTACACCTAAGCTTAGAAGCCCTTTCCCCTGCTAGTTAAACTACTCACTTGATGGTGTCTGAGCTGGCAAAAACTCGTAGAATGTTGCCTTTAAAGTCTTGCAGCCTAGTTGTTCCCTCCATTGAGGAGGCGTAAAACTGGTTGGTATTGAGAGGGTTAAACTTCAGCCCAGTGATGCTCCCTCCAGCTCCAATCTAACACGAGGAAGGAAAAAGCCAGTGAGTGATGATGGGCCTGGCCGTGAGGAACCAGGCCTGGGCACACATGCTGCGCCGTCACAGAAGCACCCCTCGAGCAGCGCTTGGGGCCAGGTCAGCTTAGACACTAGGACGCTCTCTACAGGGCCTTCACTTCTTTTTCTTTTCCTTTGAAATAGGGTCTTTCTCTGTCACTTAGGCTGAAGTGCAGTGGCACAAACACGGCTCACTGCAGCCTCAATCTCCTGGGCTCAAGCGATCCTCCCACCTCAGCCTCCCAAGTGCGTGCCACCATGCCCAGCTAATTTTTCTATTTTTTTTTTTTAAGATGGGGTTTTGTCACGTTGCCCAAGCTGGTCTTGAACTCCTAAGCTCAAGCGATCCCCCTGCCACGGCTTCCCAAAGTGCTAAGATTACAGGCATGAGCCGCTTTGTCTGGCCCCTTCATTTCTTTCTTTTTTTTATTTTTATTTTTATTTTTATGTTTTTGAGATGGAGTCCTGCTCTGTCACGACCTCGGCTCACTGCAACCTCTGCCTTCCAGGTTCAAGCGATTCTCCTGCCTCAGCCTCCCAAGCAGCTGGGATTACAGGTGCCCACCACCACGCATGGCTAAATTGTATATTTTTAGTAGAGACAGGGTTTCACCATGTTGGCCAGGCTGGTCTGGAACTCCTGCCCTCAGGTAATCCGCCACCCTTGGCCTCCCAAAGTGCTGGGATTACAGGCGTGAGCCACCGTGCCCCGCCTCCCTTCATTTCTTAAGGCTTTATTTTTACTTTTTTTTTTAATTAACATATAGCAAATTTGGGATATAAAGTTCTCTGAATTTTAACATATGTATAGACTTAAATAACCACCACCCAAATCAGGATGCAGAACATTTGCAACAGCCCAAAAACTCCATCGTGGTATCCCATTGTAATCACACCCTCCCCTCGCCCCCAGCCCCTGGCTGATCTGTTCTCCATCACTATTGTTTTGCCCTCATAGAATGTCCTATAGACCGAGCACAGTAATCCCAACACCTGGGGAGACTGAGGCGGGGGGATTGCTTGAGGCCAGGAGTTCAAGACCAGCCTAAGCAATATAGGGAGACCCCATCTCTACACACACAAAAAAAATTTAGACATGGTGGTAGGTGCATGTGGTTCTAGCTACTCAGAAGGCTGAGGTGGGAAGATGACGGAAGCCTGGAGGTCGAGGCTGCAGTGAGTTGCGATCGAATCACTGCACTCTAGCGTGGGTGACAGAGCAAGACCCTGTCTCTAAAAATAAAATAAAATAAAATTAAAAATAGAATGTCATGTAAATGAATTAGGCAGTATGCAACCTTTTGAGACTGTCTTGTTTCATTTCACTCATCATGCCTCTGAGATTCATCTGAGTTTGCTGTATCAAGAGCTCATCTCATTTTATTGCTGAGGTATTCCATTACATGGATGTGCCCTAATTTGTTATTCCCACAGTGCTCTCTTTAGAAGAGCTTCAGCTCAGAGCAGTGGCTGAGTTAGGAGGGCAGGAGTCAGATCTGTGCCCCTTCCTATTCTTCCAAACATTCATGAAAATGATGATGAAAATAATCATGAGAATATCAATGGCTTAACCTTATTAAGTGCTTACTATGTACTAGGCGCTGGTTTTTTGGGGGGATTTTCTTTGTGTGTTTTTTTTTTTTTTTTTTTTTTTTTGAGATGAAGGCTTGCTCTGTCGCCCAGGCTGAAGTGCGGTGGCACAACCTCAGCTCACTGCAGCCTCCACCTCCTGGATTCCAGTGATCCTCCTGCCTCAGCCTCCTGAGTAGCTGGGATTACATGCCCACACCATCACACCCAGCTAATTTTTGTATTTTTAGTAAAGACAGGTTTCACCATGTTGGTCAGGCTGGTCTCGAACTCCTGACCTCAGGTGATTGGCCTGCCTCGGCTTCCCAAAGTGCTGGGATTACAGGCGTGAGCCACTGCGCCCAGTCAGGCACTGTTTTAAGAACTTTACATCCCCAAGATGTAAAGTTCTCCACTTGTCCGCCTTTCTCCACCTTTTCCACTTCTTCTTTACGCTGCAGCTATCCCAGCCTCACAGACCTGTACAAGTTCTTCTATGCAACAACCACTTAGCTATCACAACATACTAACTGGCACATTCCCTTCCCTCTATAAAACATTCTAACCTCACGGTCATTCTAATGCTCATGGTCTGCCAAATGCTTGCTGGTAGTATGACAATCTTCGGCTCCCTCCAGTTGAGTTCTATGCTTACCAAACCAAGGGTTGGTTGTAGTTGTTCTCAAACCTGTTTATTCCAATTGTATCTTTTATTGCAATTAACACCAAATTTAATTAAGCATGTAAATTGATGAAATACATGCAAAAACAAAGGCCATTATTACTACTATAAAAGCCGTGTTGAAAGCTTTGGAAGAACTTGATAATGAGTTGCAAAAATAATAGCTATTGGCTGGGCACAGTAGCTCACATCTATAATCCCAGTATTTTGAGGGGCTGGGGCAGGAGAATCGCTTAAGGCCAGGAGTTCAAAACCTTGATGCAGTGGTGCAATCCTGGCTCAGCGTAGCCCCAACCTCCTGGGCTCAAGCAATCCTCCCGCCTCAGCCTCCCAAGTAGCTGGTGCTATAGGCTATAGGTGTGTGTCACCAATTTTTTTTTTTTTTTTTTTTTAGAGACAGGGTCTCACTATGTAACTCAGGCCAGTCTCAAATTCCTGGGCTCAAGCAATCCTTCCACCTCAACGTCCCAAAGTGCTGTTACAGGCATGACCCACTGGGTCCAGCCTCTATAAAAAATTATTAAAAATTAGCTGGGAGTGATGGTGCACACCTGTGCTCATAGCTATTCGAGAGGCTGAGGTGGGATGGTGACTTGAGCCCAGGAGTTCAAGGCTGTAGTTAGCTATGATCCTGCCACTGCATTCCAGCCTGGGTGGCAGAGCAAGACCCTGTCTCTATTAGGAAGAAGAAAAAAAAAAAAAAAAAGAAGAGCCATCAAATTAAGCATAGGGTGAGATACTTATAAAAGATTAAGGTAATAAAAATGTAAAAGGAATCTGCAATCAGATTGCTTCACAACTGTCTTACTTTGTATACTGAAAACCTTAAATTTGTATCAATGTCTTCAATTCAAAGTCAACACCACAGAGTTGATTCGAGTTTCTCTCTTTCCATGTTTATAATTCCCTTCTTTGACAGTGAAAAATGTGGTTCCCATTTTACTCAATATACTTACATATTTGATTAATCTCCTTGTATGTAACCAGTCTTCCACTATTGCTGCCACACACTCCCCAAATGCACGTCTTCCTTAGGATGCTTGGACTCTTTTACCCTCCCGAGGGCACAATCACCCTCTTCCCTCTCTCCACTCCCTCAACCATGCAGACACAACTTCCTTGCCCACATCAGGCGCCACGGCCGCCCCTCTCCATGCAAAAGCCCTGCTCACCCCACTTGACTCCGCCACCCCACTCTAGGCCTCCCTGTGGTTCAGCATCCTCAACCCCGCTTCAGACTTCACTATTCCATGCCCGGCCTCCTCTACTCTTCACCCCTGCCTACATGGATGCCCTTCTGATCTTGTTTGGGCCCAGTCTCTATGTACTGAGCTGCCACCTGCCACCTGTAATGACATTCACCTCAGCTTCAGGGGCCCCAGCATCTGGCACTTCCAGCACTGTAGCCTTCCCACTACGTAAACATCTATCTTGCTTGATCCTACCTAATGACTTTTGGTTTGAACTGTTCAGGAAGGGAAAAAGAAGATGAAGAAAGAGGAAGATAGATAGATAGATAGATAGATAGATAGATAGATAGATAGATATTTCTTTTTTTTTTTTTTTTTGAGATGGAGTCTCACTCTGTAGCCCAGGCTGGAGTGCAATGGTGCCATCTCAGGTCACTGCAACCTCCGCCTCCTGGGTTTAAACAATTCTCCAGCCTCAGCTTCCCAAGTACCTGGGATTACAGGCTCACGCCACCACGCTTAGCTAAGTTATGTATTTTTAGGAGAGATGGAGTTTCATCATGTTGGCCAGGCTGGTCTCGAACTCCTGACTTCAAGTGATCCGCCTGCCTCGGCCTCCCAACAGTCATGAGCCACCGGACCTGGCTGAGGAAGAGATATTGATCTTTCCTTCCTTTTTTTTTTTTTTTTTTGAGACAGAGTCCCATGCTGTTGCCCAGGCTGGAGTGCAGTGGCACAATCTTGGCTCACTGCAACCTCTGCCTCCTGGGTTCAAGCAATTCTCCTGCCTCAGCCTCCCGAGTAGCTGGGATTACAGGTACCTGCTACCATGCTTGGCGAATTTTTGTGTATTTTTAGTAGAGACAGGGTTTTGCCATGTTGGCCAGGCTGGTCTTGAACTCCTGACCTCAGGTGATCTGCCCACCTTGGCCACCCAAAGTGCTGAGATTACAGGAGTGAGCCACCGCACCCAGCCAGATATTGATCTTAAACCCTCCGTCTCCACAGACTAGAAAAAGAGGGAATAATTCCCAAGCTAAAGAGGGCAGCATAATTTTTTTTTTTTTTGAGACAGAGTTGTGCTCTGTCGCTCAGGCTGGACTGCAGTGGTGCACTCAGCTTACTACAACCTCTGCCTCCTGGGCTCAAGCAATTCACAGAAATCAGCATAATCTTTTTTTTTTTTTTTTTTTTTTGAGACAGAGCCTCACTCTGTTGCCAGGCTGGAGTGCAGTGGTACGATCTCACCTCACTGCAACCTCCACTTCCCAAGTTCAAACGATTCTCTTGCCTCAACCTCCCGGGTAGCTGGGATGACAGGAGTGCGCCACCACGCCCAGCTAATTTTTGCATATTTAGTAGAGACGGGGTTTCACCATGTTGGCCAGGATGGTCTCCATCTCCTGACCTCATAATCCGACCCCCTCGGCCTCCCAAAGTGCTGGAATTACAGGCGTGATCCACCACGCCTGGCCAGAAATCAGCATAATCTTGAT
Organism: Homo sapiens; assembly: GCF_000001405.40. Classification (NCBI taxonomy): domain Eukaryota; kingdom Metazoa; phylum Chordata; class Mammalia; order Primates; family Hominidae; genus Homo; species Homo sapiens. Next base: position 47,227,838 of record NC_000011.10, on the reverse strand, counting down.
ACACAAATGTGACAAGGATTTGGCCAATTTTACACATGAACACAAATGCAAAGATCTTAAAATATTTGCCAGCTCAATCCAGTAATATTTAAAAACGATAAATATGTTATGGCCAGGATGAACTTATTCCAAGAATGCAAAGTTGGTTTAACTATTAAAAATCAATCGGGCCAGCTGGGCGTGGTGGTGGGTGCCAGCTTCTTGGGAGGCTGAGGCAGGAGAATTGCTTGAACCCGGGAGGTGGAGGTTGCAGTGAGCCAAGATTGCGCCATTGCACTCCAGCCTGGGTGACAAGAGTGAAACTCCATCTCAAAATTAAAAAAAAAAAAAAAATTCAGGCATCAAAAGAAACAATCGACAAAGTGAAAAGGCAATCTATGAAGTGGGAGAAGATATTTTCAAATCATAGATCTGATAAGAGGTTAATATCATGGCCGGGCGCAGTGTCTCACACCTATAATCCCAGCACTTTGGGAGGCCGAGGCGGGTAGATCACCTGAGGTCAGGAGTTCAAGACCAGCCTGGCCAACATGGTGAAACCCTGTCTCTACTAAAAGCACAAAAATTAGCCGGGCATGGTGGCGCATGCCTGTAATCCCAGCTACTCAGGAGGCTGAAGCAGGAGAATTGCTTGAACCCGGGAGGTGGAGACTGCAGTGAGCCGAGATTGAGCCATTACACTCCAGCCTGTACAACAGGAGCAAAACTCCATCTCAAAAAAAAAAAAAAAAAAAAAAAAGGTTAATATCCAGAATATATAAAGAACCCCTACAAAACAACAACAAATAACCCAACTAAAAAACAGGCAAACAGGAGTTCAAGACCAGCCTGGGAGACATAGCAAGATCCAATCTCTATAAAAAAAAATTTTTTTTTAACTTAGTAAGTCCTTTCTGTAAGAGACAGCGAAAAAAACAAAACAAAACAAAGTTAGCAAGGTATGATGGTGAGCACCTGCAGTCCCAGTTACTCGGGTGGCTAAGGCAGCAGGATCACTGGAGCCCAGAAGTTCGAGGCTGCAGTGAGCTATGATTGTGCCACTGTACTGCAGCCTGGGTGACCAAGTAAGACCCTGTTTCAAAAAAAAAAAAAAAAAAAAAAAAAGGCAAAGGACTTGAATAGACATTCCTTCAAAGAAAATATACAAATGGCCAAGAAGCACACGTAAAGATGCTCAATATCACTAATCATTAGAGAAATGCAAATGAAACTACACTGCTATCACCTCACATCCCTTAGGATGGCCACTATCAAAAAAACAGAAAAGGCCGAGCATGGTGGCTCACACTTGTAATCCCAGCAATTTGGGAGGCCAAGGCAAATGAATCACCTGAGGTCGGGAGTTCAAGACCAGCCTGGCCAACGTGGCAAAACCCGTCTCTACTGAAAATACAAAAATTAGCCGGGCATGGTGGTGTGCGCCTATAATCTCAGCTACTGGAGGCTGAGCCAGGAGAATCAGTTGAACTCAGGAGGCAGAGGTTGCAGTAAGCTGAGGCTGTGCCACTGCATTCCAGCCTGGGCGACAGAGGGAGACTTCATCTCAAAAAAAAAAAAAAAGAAAATAAATGTTGGTGGGGAAGTAGAGAAGTTGGGACATTTGTACACTGCTGATGGGAACATGAGATGGTATAGCCAGTATGGAAAACAATATAGCGGTTCCTCAAAAAATGAACAACAAAATTACCATTTGATGAAGCAATCGTACTTATTGGCATAAGCCCCAAAGAACTGAAATCGGGGTCTCAAAGGGATATTTGCACATCCACATTCACTGCAGCATTATTCACAATAGCCAAAAGATGAAATCAACCCAAGTGTCTGTCAATTAATAAACAGATAAACAAAAGGTGGTACACGCAAACAATGGAACATTATTCAGCCTTAAAAAAGGAAATTCTGCCACATGCTACAACATGGATGAATCTTAAAACACTGCATTAAGTGAAATAAGCCTGTCACAAAAAGACAAATACTGTATGATTCCACTTAGATGAGATATCTAAAGTAGTCAAACTCACAGAAACAGAAAGTAGTACTGTGGTTGCCAGGGGCTAAGGGGAGGGAGAAGTGGAGGCTTGTTCAGTGGGTATAGAGTTTCAGTTTTACAAGAAAAAAGTTCTAGTGATCTGTTGCACAACAATGTGAATATAGTTAACATTACTAAACTGTACACTTAAAAATAGTAAAGATTGTAAATTGTTTTACGTGTTTTCTACCAGTTTTTTGTTTTTTTTTTTTAAAATAGAGATGGAGTCTCGCTCTGTTGCCCAGGCTGGAGTGCAGTGGCATAATCTCGGGTCACTGCAACTTCTGCCTCCCGGGTTCAAGTGATTCTCCTGCCTCAGCCTCCCCAGTAGCTGGGATTACAGGCGCCCACGACCATGCCCAGCTAATTTTTTGTGTTTTTAGTAGAGACGGGGTTTCACCATGTTGGCCAGGATGGTCTCGATCTCCTGACCTTGTGATCCGTCCACCTCAGCTTCCCAAAGTGCTGGGATTACAGGCGTGAGCCACTGAGCCTGGCCCACAATTTTTTTTAAAAAAAGCAGTATTACTTGTTAGAGTTTTTTTTTTTTTTTTTAAAGACACAGGATCGGGCCAGGAGCAGTGTCTCAAGCCTGTAATCCCAGCACTTTGGGAGGCCAAGGTGGGTGGATAACTTGAGGTTAGGAGTCTGAGACCAGCCTGGCCAATATGGTGAAACTTGGTCTCTACTAAAAATACAAAAATTAGCTGGGCGTGGTGGTGCACACTTGTAATCCCAGCTACTCAGGAGGCTGAGGCAGAAGGGTCGCTTGAACCTGGGAGGTGGAGGTTGCAGTGAGCTGAGATCTCATGCCAGTGCACTCCAGCCTGGAAGAGAGAGTGAGACCTCATCTCAAAAAAGAAAGAAGAGGAAATAATAAATATGAGGAGAGAAATGGAAGACATGAAAAAAAATCCAAATTAAACTTCTAGAGGGGATATACAGTATCTGAAATGAAAAATACGCTGGGCTACTTTGCCTATGGAGCAGCCCTGCTCTGCACAGGCAAGAAAGAGAAGAGAAAAGGAAGAGGAAGAGAAGAGAGAGAAAGGAACGAAGGGAGGGAGGGAGGGAGGGATTGACAGCAGAAGGTTAGATATTACAGAAGTAAAGATCAGTGAACAACTGCACAAAATGAAACAGGGAAAAAGACAAAAATGAACAGTGCATCAACCACCTGCAGGACCATATGTAATCGCAGTCCCAAGAAAAAAAGAACTGTTCTTTTTCTTCATTTTGAACTCTTTGTAAGAAATAATGGGCTGGGCAAGGTGGCTCACGCCTGTAATCCCAGCACTTCAGGAGGCCAAGGTGGGCGGATCACTGGAGGTCAGGAGTTCAAGACCAGCCTGGCCAACATGGTGAAACCCTGTCTCTACTAAAAAAATAAAATAAAAATAAATAAATACAAAAATTAGCCAGGTGAGGTGGTGGGCACCTGTAATCCCAGCTACTCGGGAGGCTGAGGCAGGGAGAATCGCTTGAACCCTGGAGGTGGAGGTTGCAGTGAGCCGAGATTGTGGCACTGCACACCAGCCTGGGCGACAGAGTGAGACTTTGTCTCAAAAGAAAAAAAAAATCCATAAATCAAAGAAGCTTAGTGATCCCCCCACAAGCACATCATAATCATTTTTAAAGCGACCAGAAGAAAAATTACATAGACAGGAACATAAGGATAGTAGCAGACTTCTCATCAGGATGTTTTGTTTTGTTTTGTTTTTAATTGAGACAGGATCTTGCTCTGTCACCCAGGCTTGCCTAGCTCACTGAAGCCTTGTCCCCCTGGGCTTAAGCAATTCTCCCACCTCAGCCTCCTGAACAGCTGGAACTACAAGTTCAAGCCACTAGCTAATTTTTAAGATTTTTTTGTAGAGATGGGGTCTTGCTGTGTTTCCTAGGCTGGTCTTAAAGTCCTGGCCTCAAGAGGTCCCCCAGCCTCAGCCTCTCAAAGTGTTGAGATTACAGGCATGAACCATTGAGCCCAACTAGAAATCATCTTTATTTTTATTCTTTATTTATTTATTTATTTTAGACGGAGTCTTGCTCTGTCACCCAGGCTGGAGTGAAGTGGCCGATCTCGGCTCACTGCCAGCTCTGCCTCCTGGGTTCACACCATTCTCCTGCCTCAGCCTCCCAAGTAGCTGGGACTACAGGCGCCCACCACCACGCCTGGCTAATTTTTTTTGTATTTTTAGAACAGACAGGGTTTCACCGTGTTAGCCAGGGTGGTCTCAATCTCTTGATCTCGTGATCCGCCTGCCTCGGCCTCCCAAAGCGCTGGGATTACAGGTGTCAGCCACCGCGCCCAGCCTTATTTATTTATTTTTGAGACACAGTCTTGCTCTGTCACCCAGAATGGAGTGCAGTGACACCATCTCGGCTCACTGCAACCTCTGCCTCCCAGGTTCAAGATTCTCATGCCTCAGCCTCCCGGGTAGCTGGGATTACTGGTGAGCGCCACCACACCCAGCTAATTTTTGTATTTTTAGTAGAGGCGGGGTTTCACCATGTTAGCCAGGCTGGTCTAAAACTCATGATCGCAAATGATCCACTTGCCTTGGCCCCCCAAAATGCTGGGATTACAGGCGTAAGCCACAGCGCCCAGCCTAGACATCATCTTTAAAGTACTGACAGGAGAAAACTGTGAACAAATATATTGTATGCAATAAAATACAATTTTAATTTACCAATTAAAAAATAAAAGTTAAATAATTTTAAAAACTGTGAACCTAGAATTCTATACTTAGCAAAAACATCCTCCCTCAAAATAAAGGCAAAATACTTTTCTAGATAAACAACAGTGGAAAGTATTTATCACCAATCTGCATTATAAGAAATATGAAAGGAATTTCTTCAGGCAGAAAGAAAATATTACCAAAAGGAAATCTGGATCACATGAAAGAATGAAAGCACTGGAAATGACAATATGTGGGCAAATAGAAAAACCTTTTCTCATTTAAAAAGTATCTTTAAAACATTCCTACTCTATAATCCAGCCATTCCACTGCTAAGTATTTACCCAAGAAAAATGAAAACATATATCCACACAAATACTTGTACGTGAATGTTCACAGTCGCTTTATATGTTGCATTCAAAAACTAGAAAAAAATTCAAATGTCCTTGAACAGGTAAATGAATAAACTGTATCATATCAGTACAATGTGGCTGGGTGCAGGGGCTCACGCCTATAATCCCGGCACTTTGGGAGGCTAAGGCAGGAGGATAGCTTGAGGCCAGGAGTTTGAAACCAGCCTGTGCAACACAGTGAGACCTCTGTCTCTATAACAAAATTTTAAAATTAGCCAGGTATGGTGGCCTGTGCATGTAGTGCCAGCTACTCAGGAGGCTGAGGTGGGAGAATCGCTTGAGCTGAGGAGGTTGAGGCTATGCTGAACCATGATCATCCCTGGGTGACACAGCAAGACCCTGTCTTAAAACAAAAAACAATGAACCATTATTCAGAAAGAAAAAAAAAACTACACATAAAAATGTAGATAAATTTCAAATAATTATACTGAAACAAGCTAGAACAAAAATAAAAGACCATATATTCTATGATTCTATTTATATATAGTTCTAGAAAATGTAAATTAATTTCTAAAAATAAAAAATAGATCAGCAGTTTACAGTGAATAAGATATTGGGTAGAGAGGGGTGGATTACAAAGGGGCATAGATAACTCATCTATCTATCACTCTCCAAATATTCAACAAAGGGTGGGGAAATGGGAGTTATTTTAATTGTGGTGATGGCTTCACAGTTGTACACATATGTCAAAACTCATGGAATTGTACAATTTATTCTTTTTTTCTTACTGCTTCTCTGGAGTAGGACTACCCCATAGGCTGAGAATAGCCAAATTGTACACTTGAAATAGCTGCAGTTTATGTCCACTATACCTCAATAAAGATATAATTTTAAAAACCCAGGCCGGGTGCAGTGGCTCGTGCCTGTAATCCCAGCATTTTGGGAGGCCGAGGCGGGCGGATCACTTGAGGTCAGGAGTTCGAGACCAGCCTGGCCAATATGGTGAAACCCTGTTTCTACCAAAAATATAAAATTCAGGCTGGGCACGGTGGCTCACACCTGTAATGCCAGCACTTTGGGAGGCCAAGGCAGGTGGATCACCTTAGGCCAGGAGTTCAAGACGAGCCTGGCCAACACGGTGAAACCCCGTCTCTACTAAAAATACAAAAATTAGCTGGGCATGGTGGTAGGCTCCTGTAATCCCAGCTACTCAGGAGGCTGAGGCAGGAGAATCATTTCAACTCAGGAGGCAGAGGTTGCAGTGGGCCGAGATCGTGCTACTGCACTCCAGCCTGGGCAATAGAGTGAAACTCTGTCTTAAAAAAACAAAACAAAACAAAAATTAGCTGGTGTGGTGGTGCATGCCTGTAATCCCAGCTACTCGGGAGGCTGAGGAAGGAGAATAGCTTGAACCCAGGAGGCGGAGGTTGCAGTGAGGTGAGATCGCACCACTGCACTCCAGCCTGAGCGACAGAGCAAGACTCAGACTTGGAAAAAAAAAAAAATAGTGTACACATGCACAGAGGGATGCTGAAAATGGGGATTTTGGATCATATTTAATTTATTTTTTACACTTTTCTCTGTATTTTATGATAAGAATACACTGTTTTGTTTTTTGAGAGATGGAGTCTCACTGTGTCGCCCAGGCTGGAGTGCAGTGGCACCATCTCAGCTCACTGCAACCTCCACCTCCCAGGTTCAAGTGATTCTCCTGCCTCAGATTCCTGAGTAGCTGGAACTACAGACGTGCACCACTACTCCCGGCTAATTTTTGTATTTTTAGTAGAGACAGGGTTTCACTATGTGTTGGTCAGGCTGGTCTCGGAACTCCTGACCTCAGGTGATCCACCCGCCTCGGCCTCCCAAAGTGCTGGGATTACAGGCGTGGGCCACTGCGCCTGGCCCCATACATTGTTTTTATAATAGGAATAAAATTAAGCTATCTTCATTGTGAAACTGTAATACATGTTCCCTTGCCAAGGGCCTGAAGAATGTAAAGGTCACAGCCAAGGTCAGATGACTAAAGAAGTGACAAAATGAGGCACTGTTGCTCCTCCAGTAACTGGTCTCAAATCAGCATTCTGCTGTCAGCATCTGGGAGTAAAACCAGACAGGTCTCTTCCAGACTGCCATACCCTTCCTCTGCTCCAACCTAGCTCCCTGCAAATGCAAGCCACAAAATTCAATGCCTAGACCAATCTTCATTACAGTGTAAAGAAAGTTTACACTGTAAAGAAGGTTACACGCATGTCATAAGGTGATGCAACAAAGAAAAAAAGCAATCTCAGTCTGGCACAAGTTCAAAGCACTTGTCATTATCCTGTTAGTCAGGAAGCTCTTCCCCTAGAATACCCTACACTGCTTCTTCCCATCTCCAGGCATAAGCTAAATTCCTCTATTCCCATGTCCTAGACTCCTGGAGAAAACAAGAAAACAAATTTCTTCCTGTCTGAGCTCTGGGTTCTGACTTCAACTTCAAGCTGCCTTATTAGCGGTCACCTGCCTCTTTAGCTGGGCAGGAAACCTACCCCACTCTGTCCGCGGCACTCCTCTGACTGCCTTTCTGGGGGCTTCTGGCACTTGTTCCTTGAACACCCATCTCACACTTTGAATTCCAGTCTCCCACACCTGTCTAACCTGGCCTTTTCTGGTGGTCTGCTCTCCAAATCCCTCCACTTAAGAGACCTCCTGCTGGCTGGGTGCAGTGGCTCACGCCTGTAATCCCAGCACTTTGGGAGGTCGAGGCGGGCGGATCACGAGGTCAGGAGATCGAGACCATCATGGCTAACACGGTGAAACCCCATCTCCACTAAAAAATATAAAAAAAGTAGCCGGGTGTGGTGGCGGGCACCAGTAGTCCCAGCTACTTCGGAGGCTGAGGCAGGAGAATCGCGTGAACCTGGGAGGCGGAGCTTGCAGTGAGCCGAGATTGCGCCACTGCACTCCAGCCTGGGCGGCGGAGTGAGACTCCATCTCAAAAAAATAAACAAATAAATAAATAAAGAGACCTCCTCCTGGGTTCCCCCTCATGTCTACCTTTAAACCAGAGCTAGAAAAATAGTGGACTGAAGCAGAATTCGGCTGAGACGTGTGTTTAGTTTCATTCAGTGCCAATATTAAGACGTTCTAGAGGCCCAGCACAGTGGCTCAGCCCTGTAATCCCGAGCAATTTGGGAAGACAAGACAGAAGGATTGCTTGAGGCCAGTAGTTTGAGACCAGCCTGGGCAATATAGAGAGACCACATCTCTAAAAATTAGCCAGGCATGGTGGTGCGTACCTGTAGTCCCTGATACATGGGAGGCTGAAGCCGGAGGATTCCTTGAGTCAGGAAGGTGGAGGCTGCAGTGAGCTATGGTTGTGTCACTGCACTCCAGCCTGGGTGACAGAATGAGACTCAAAAAATAAAAATAAAAAAAAATAATGAAGTTCTGGAGACTGCTTACACAATTTACCCAACGCCATTGAACTGTGCACTTTAAAATGGTTACGAAAGTAAATTTCATGTTATATGTATTTTATCATTATTTTTTAAAAAGTTGGCTGGGGGCGGTGGCTCACGCCTGTAATCCCAGCACTTTGGGAGGCCGAGGCAGGCAGATCACAAGGTCAGGAGATAGAGACCATCGTGGCTAACACGGTGAAACCCCATCTCTACTAAAAATACAAAAATTAGCCAGGCGTGGCAGCATGCACCTGCAGTCCCAGCTGCTGGGGAGGCTGAGGCAGGAGAATGGCATGAATCCGGGAGGCGGAGCTTGCAGTGAGCCAAGATTGCGCCACTGCACTCCAGCCTGGGTGACAGAGCGAGAGTCCGCCTCAAAAAAAAAACACTTTTAAATGGTTAAGGTGATACATTTTATGTTACGTGTATTTTACAATTTTTTTTAAAACTCAAGATATATGACATTTAAAAAATGAGGATTTGTGTCTTTGTTTGAGAAAAATCACATCTGATATCAAAAGACCTACATTTTTGCACAACAGTCATCTCTAGTTTACCCCTGACCCTACCACCATACATTCTTTTTTTTTTTTTTTCCACTCTGGCTTCTGGAGCCCTATAAGTTTGTGACTCCTGCTCTAAACCCAGTGTCACTTTTCACAGCACAGCCCTCCAATGTCAGCCACCAGCTGGGCTGGCTAAAGGTCCTAGAGGGGACGACACACTCACCCCTCAGCAATGGATGATAAACTCTAGCACAACAAAGACCATTCCCAAGAACTCTGTGCCAAACCTCACCCAGTCACACTATGTCTTTCCTTCTTTTCTCTCCATTTATCTAATACTGCTCCTCCTCGCTCATCCATGGAGTCTTCTTTATTGACTCCAATTCACAAGGGGTTCTTCCTTCTTTCACATTCTGTAGCACTTGGCATCTGTATTGTTAATTACCTCGTATGTATACATCCCATCTGCTCAATTACACTTCAAGCCCCTCACTCATTCAACAAATATAAAGCAGCTACTCTAGGCCAAACTTTGTTCCAGGCACTGGGAATAGGATGGTGAACCAGAAAGGAAAGGTCCCTGCCATCAGTGGGCAAACATACAAATAAGCATCAGATCTCAGACACCCATCAACACTTGGGGGAAACATGAAGCAGGGTAATGATACAGGGAATGACGGTGGAGGAGTGGGATCTACGTTATGAGTAAGGACAACCAGCGAAAGCCTCTTTGAAGAGGTAGAATCAGCAAAGACCTGCAGAGAAGACGCCAGCCATGAGAAGACCATGGGGGAAAAGCACTCCAGTCAAAGGGAACAGCAATTACAGAGACCCGGTTTCAGGAATAGAAACAGCTGGTGTGGCTACAGCATAGAAGTGAGAAAAGACAATGGCGTAAGATGAGGTCAATGTGGTAAGAAGGGGCTTCAATTCTTTTTTTTTGAGATGGAGTCTCGCTCTGTTGCCCAGGCTGGAGTGCAGTGGCGTGATTTCGGCTCACTGCAACCTTCGCCTCCCGGGTTCAAGCGATTCTCCTGCCTCAGTGTCCCAAGTAGCTGGGACTACAGGCGCACACCACCACATCCAGCTAATTTTTTGTATCTTTAGTAGAGACGGGGTTTCACCATGTTGGCCAGGATGGTCTCCATCTCTTGACCTCGTGGTCAGCCCACCTTGGCCTCCCAAAGTGCTAGGATTACAGGCCTGAGCCACTGCGCCCAGCCCAGAAGGGGCTTCAATTCTATGGGTGATCAATAGTCTATATCTTCTAGTATTTTAAGGACAGGCATTAGAAAAATATATATCATCATCATTTACGTATTTGAAAATGCCCACAGTTAATTTTGATCCCAGTCCTCTTCCTGATGATTACTGGATGACATCAATATTCCTTTCATGCCTTCAACAAACACTCCTTATTTTTATTTTCTTTTATTATTATTATTATTATTATTTTGAGATGGAGTTTCACTCTTGTTGCCCAGGCTGGAGTGTAATGGTGCAATCTTGGCTCACTGCAACCTCTGCCTCCCGGGTTCAAGCAATTCTCCTGCCTCAGCCTCCTGAGTAGCTGGGATTATAGGCGCCTGCCACCACACCCAGCTAATTTTTGTATTTTTAGTAGAGACGGGGTTTCACCATGTTGGCCAGGCTGGTCTCAAACTCCATACCTCAGGTGATCCACCCACCTTGGCCTCCCAAAGTGCTGGGATTACAGGTGCGAACCACTGCACCCAGCCAACAAACACTTCTTTAGCACGACCTGGCATGGGGAACTGCTCACCCCTTTGATGAAGGTGGGTTTGTCCTTGATGCCAAAATTCCAGAGCATGATATCTCCCCCTTTGGAACCCACAGCCACGGTGCTGGGGTGAGTTGGGTGCCACGCCAAGGATGTAGCCCTCCTGTCAAAGGGGGCAGCCTTTTGTAATATCCGGTAAGAATCCAGAGTGTGCAAAAAGGACTGCTGGAGCCCCTGCCACAGAGAGAAATGAATTAGGTTGAATTAAAACCCAAGTTCTGGGTAAACTGCCAATCTCTGCCTCCTTCATGGATGAGCCCTAGATCCAAGTCCTCCCACCAAAGGAAAGCTAACTGCCTGCCCTGTGCATGAAAATATTTGCAATGTACACGAACGAATAATCTTGGAAAGCAAAAGGGGCAGAGTGCATTCCAGCTGGGACCTTTACAACATAAGACATTTTTTACCTGGCTGAGTGCCCAGTAGGCCAGTCACCACAGTCTGGGTGATCGGACCACTCTGACAAGCTGGTGAACCAAGCCATCATCTAATTTGGGAGCATGCAATAGTAAAAATGCACGTGTAAACCCTTGAGGACTTGAGGCAAAAAATGCCTTACCTGCTGGACAGATGGCCAGGAAGCTCTGCCCAGCTTATGCTGGTGGAGGGTCCTGACGATGCTGCGGCATGGTGGCAGGATCTGTGGGCCAGCCAGCCCCACCCAGAGGCAGTCTGAGTCACATCTTCTGCTAGGACCTGCCAAGCAGAACAGACATATTTTCCTCTCCAATCTCACGAAAGGTTTTTCTGCTGAATTCCCCGAAAGGAAGCCTTGTTTCATTCGGCACGGTTAATCTCTGTCTCATCACCTCCTGCGGCCTTTCCATGTCTGTGTGGTCTCAACGAGCACCAGAAATAAAAAAATGAGTGAGGATTTGGCCCCTTCCCCAAAACACTCCCACAAACAGTAAGTCTGAAGTGAAAGTAAATACAGTCGTGCAGGGTTCCTGAGACCCCAGCCAAAGAAACACACAAGGATAAAGTACAATGCAGAACTCTTCCCAGTTTGGGCTGCAAAACTCGAGATGGGACTGGGTCACAATTTTATAAATCACATATAATGCACAATAAAAAGATTTTAGGGCAGCATGGCAGAAGTCACCGTTTAGGAAAAGAAGGAATAGGAAGGCCTGGAAATGCTCTTAACTAGGTTACTTCTGGGGAGGTAAGTGAAATTAGAATAGCAATAAAGCAACAACTCCTGATCACCAAACTGTATTTGAGGACCCAATCACTATAGGTCCGACGTCTTGACAACCAATTCTTTCTTCTCATGGACAAAAACCACTTGATTAACAAGCCCCAGCTCGTTTTTGAGTGTCTCGAAACTCCTTATAGCCCCAGGTTCAAGCCCCAGTAAACCTCAGAGAATGAGCTTTCTAAGGAGGAAGGAATTGGGGGCTCTCACAACTGACCACCGAGGACGTGCAGCTAACAAGCGTGACTATGAAATCCAGCACACACAGCGCCAGGAAAGGTAGGATTCTCTGAAGCCGTCCTAACTGTGCAAGAACCCTGATACGAACAAGGAATCTGACAAGTCCGTGTGTCTGTTGTTACGGAGCTCATCTGCTTCCTGTTACCTAGCGGGAGAGGTGTTGAAACCTAAACACTCTGGTGTCAAAGGACCTGCAGGTAGAATGCACAGCCGGAGGCACCCGTGACCTGCGCGGGCCTCGGGAGCCTCGGAGCACCCATCCCCCGCTGCAGCCTCCTGCGCGAGCACCCTAAAAGGCGGAAATATTCAAGCAGCAGGCACAGGCAGTACCGGAGCCCTTCGCACAGAGCTTCTTGGCCTCGGGCTCCAGCTCCAGGGGACTCCTGCTCCTCTTGTTCCTGGGGCGTAATACAATCTCGGAGGTCTTCTGGGTTTCTGGGCGTTTCTTGGGAGCCATCGCGTCCTCCGTGTGAAGGGGTACTGTGCTCTATGCGAAGATCATGGAGGGAGGATTGAGAGGCCTCTGGGGAGAAACAAGGCGGGGACTACAAAACTGCGGGGCCACAGGTAGCCGAGCTAAGCCAACTTCCCGCCAAACATGCCCAGGGCTTGTTCAAACCAGCTTGGAGCTCCGGCCCCACCCGTCTCGGAGACCCCGCCCCTTCCTGGAAGGCGGGGGCGCGGGGAGGGGGTGGTGCCAAGGGGCGGTGCCAGCGCTCCCGGGAGGGGCGGGAACTGCGCCAGGGCCAGTGCCAGCCCGGGTCAGCTGACCTCCCTGGAGCAAAGATGGTCCCCGGCTTTATGGATTTTTTTTTTTTTTTTAGCAACAGGGTCTGGCTCTGTCGCTCACTCTGGAGGGCAGTGGGGCGATCATAGCTCAGTGCAGCCTCCACCTCCTGGGCTCAAGCGATCCTCCCACCTCAGCCTCCTAAGTAGATGGGACTACAAGCGTACGCCACCACGCCCGGCTAATTTCTCTCTCTCTCTCTCTTTTTTTCTTTTTCTGGAGAGACGGGGTCTCGCTTTGTTGTCCGGGCCGGTCTTTAACTCCTGGGCTTAAGCGATCATCCAGCCTTGACTTCCTGACACGAACCCTCCTCAAACGCGGCGCTGCCAGGCCTCTGCGGGTCCGGGGAGGAGGCCCGGTGCCAGCCAAGGCTCTGTCTCCCGCCTTGCAATTGGTGATGACGCCCGCTCGGGCTTTGGGATTGGCTGGTCCCTACAGGGTGTAGTTGGGGAGTGGCGGCTTTGTAGAGAGCTAGTGCCTTTCCTAAGTTAGAAGCTGGGCTCTACCAGCGGTCAGCTTTGCAGTCGGATTCCAGAAACTACAGTCCCATCGAATCCAAGCTGCTTCTCTGTGAAGGGAGAATGATTGGAACTCCTTGCCTTTTTTTTTTTTTTTTTTTTTTTTTCCTAGAGGCAGTGTCTCTCTTCCGTTACCCAGGCTGGAGTGCAGTGATGTAATCACAGCTCACTGCAGCCTTGACCTCAAGTTTCACTGATCCTCCCACCTCAGCCTCCCAAGTAGGCTTGCAGACCTGTATCCCCAAGCCTAATTTTTTTATTTTTATTTTTGTAGAGACAAGGTCTTGCTATGTTTCCCACGTTGGTCTGGACCTCCTGGGCTCAAGTGATCCTCCTGCCTCTGCCTCCCAAAGTGCTGGGATTACAGGCATGAGCCACCGTGTCTGGTTCTCACTGCTCTTTTATTTGTTTGGTCGTTGGCTGTTTTTATTTTTTCTTTCTTTCTTTCTCTCTTTCTTTTTTTTTTTTTTTTTTTTGAGACAGGGCCTCTCTCTGTCACCCAGGCTGGAGTGCAGTGGCAGGATGTGGGCTCAATGCAGGCTGGACTTCCTGGACATCGATCCTCCCACCTCAGCCTCCCGAGTAGCTGGGACTACAGGTGCGCGCCGCAACACTCAGCTAATTTTTGCATTTTTTGTAGAGACAGAGTCTCCCTAAGTTGCCTAGGCTGGTCTAGAACTCCTGGCATCCATCCACCTCGGTCTGCCAAAGTGCTGAGATTACAGGTGTGAGCCACTGTGCCCAGCCTCCTCACTGCTTTTTTTTTTTTTTTTTTTTTGAGACGGAGTCTCACTCTGTTGCCCAGGCCGGAGTGCAGTGGCACAATCTCGGCTCACTGCAATCTCCGCCTCCCGGGTTCAAGCGATTCCCCTGCCTCAGTCTCCGGAGCAGCTGGGACTAGAGGCACACACCACCACGCCTGACTAATTTTTTGTATTTTAGTAGAGACAGGGTTTCACCATGTTGGCCAGGATGGTCTCGATCTTCTGACCTTGTGATCTGCCTGCCTCGGCCTCCCAAAATGCTGGGATTATAGGCGTGAGCCACCATGCCCAGCCTCTTGGCCTCTCACTGCTTTTAACTAAGACTTGCCTAACCTGTTGGGTGTCCACCTAGGAGCAGCCTGGGACGTGATGGGCCAGAGGGCGTGCAGCCAGCGGTACTTAGAACTCCTACGCCCTCGCTTCAGCCAAAGTCCAAGTCTTGAAGGTTCACAGGTGAGGCCGCGCTGTCCTGCCTAGCCTGAGAAGAGACAGTTTGGATGCACCCTAGTTTCTGCGAAGAGGCAGGCAGGAGTTGGGCTTACTCAGGCATTGCTGGGCCTTTCCTCCACCCACTAAGCCCCGTGCCTGACAGTTTGTGGGGGTGGGAGGAGATATACAAAAATGCATTAATGGTAGGCCATCGCATTGGCTCAAGCCTGTAATCCCAGCACTTTGGGAGCCTAAGGCAGGTGAATCACTTGAGGCCAGGAGTTCAAGACCAGCCGGGCCAACATGGTGAAACCCTTTCTCTACTAAAAATACCATCAGGCGCAGTGGCTCATGCCTGTAATCCCAGCGCTTTGGGAGGATGAAGCAGGCAGATCACTTGAGGTCAGGAGTTCGAGACTAGCCTGACCAACATGGTGAAACCCCGTCTCTACTAAAAATACAAAAATTAGCTGGGGCGTGGTGGCACTTGCCTGTGGTCCCAGCTACTCAGGAGGCTGAGGTAGGAGAATCGCTTGAACCGAGGAGAGGGAGGCTGCAGTGAGCCAAGATCATGCCACAGCATTCCAGCCTAGGCGACAGAGCAAGACTCCAACTCAAAAAAATAAAAATAAAAATAAATAAATATAAAAAATTAGCTGGGCATCATGGCACGCACCTGTAATCCCAGCTATTCAGGAGGCTGAGGCAGGAGAATCACTTGAACCTGGGAGGCAGAGGTTTCAGTGAGCTGAGATAGCGCCACTGCACTCTAGCCTGGGTTACAGAGTAAGACTCCATCTCAAAATAAACAAACAAAAAATAATAATTTGTTTAATGCATTAATGGTAGATCCTACTCTCAAGGATTTTTCAGACAGATAGGGACAGAAGATGTTACCAAAATCAACTCTTGGTCCAGTGTGGTGGCTCATGCTGGTAATCTCAGCACTTCGAGAGGGCAAGAGGATAGGATCGCTTCAGCCCAGGAGTTGGAGATCAGCCTCAGCAATACTGAGACCCCTGTCTAAAAAATTAGAAAATACACAACTTAGCTAGGTGCGGTAGCACACGCCTGTAGTCCCAGCTACTTGGGAGGCCAAGGCAGGAGGATCGCTTAAGCCCAGGAGTTTGGGACTGCAGTGAGCTACAATTGTGCCACTGCACTCCAGCCCGGATGACAGAGGTTTACCCTGTTTCTAAATAAATAAATAAAAATTGGCCAGGCGCAGTGGCTCACGCCTGTAATTCCAGCACTTTGGGAGGCCGAGGCGGCCGGATCACCTGAGGTCGGGAGTTCGAGACCTGCCTGACCAACATGGAGAAAACCCATCTCTAGTGAAAATACAAAATTAGCAGGGCATGGTGGCACATGCCTGTAATCCCAGCTACTCAGGAGCCTGAGGCAGGACAATCACTTGGACCCAGGAGGCGAAGGTTGCGGTGAGCCAAGATGGCGTGATAGCCCTCCAGCCTGGGCAACAAGAGCAAAACTCTGTCTCAAAAATAAATAAATAAATAAATAAATAAAAATTAAATAAGCTCTTGCAACGGAATGAATGCTCCAAAAGGGAAATTAGAAGGCCGGTTGCGGTGGCTCACGCCTATAATCCCAATAGGAGACCGAGGTGGGCAGATCACCTGAGGCCAGGAGTTTGAGACCCACCTGGCCAACATGGTGAAACCCCTCTCTATTAAAAATACAAAAATTAGCCAGGCATGGGGCACGTGCCGGTCATCCCAGCTACTCAGGAGGCTGAGGCATGAGAATCGCTTGAACCGGGAAGGCAGAGGTTGCAGTAAGCTGAGATCACGGCCAGGCGTGGTGGCTCACGCCTGTAATCCCAGCACTTTGGGAGGCCCAGGCGGGCAGATCACGAGGTCAGGAGATTGAGACCATCCTGGCTAACACGGTGAAACCCTGTCTCTACTAAAAATACAAAAAAAATTAGCCAGGCGTGGTGGCGGGCGCCTGTAGTCCCAGCTACTCGGGAGGCTGAGGCAGGAGAATGGCGTGAACTTGGGAGGCAGAGCTTACAGTGAGCCGAGATCGCGCCACTGCACTCCAGCCTGGGTGACAGAGTGAGACTCCGTCTCAAAAAAAAGAAAAAAAAACACAAAAAGGCTGAGATCACATCACTGCACTCCAGCCTGGACGACAGAGTAAGACTCTGTCTCAAAAAATAAAAAATTAAAAATTAAAAAAAAGAAATGGTTTTGCCTGGGAAAGGGGCAAGCTGGGAGCTTCTCCCCTGCTAGCCTAGAGCTGTGTTTTCAGAGCTGTGTTGCAGAAGCAAACTGTTCGCCCCCTCCCCTTATTCAGACCAACCAACATGCCAACTAAGACCAACCTGTCCTTCAGCAGGGTGCTCAGTTGCAGGGGATATTGAAGTGTAAGAAATGGACTTTGCCTCTAAAAGATTTACAACCTACTGGGAACTGAATAAAAATATATGTGAAACAAGTAAAATACTTCAAGGTAGGTACACATTTGAAGACTAAGTATGCTATGCCCACCAAGGTTTTTGGTTTTTGGTTTTATAGAGACAAGGTCTCACTATGTTGCCCAGACTGGCCTTGAACTCCTGGGCTCAAGCCATCCTCTAGCCTCAGCTTCCCAAATTGCTTTGATTACAGGCATGAACTACCATGCCTGGTCACCAATTAAGATTTTTGGATGCACTCAGGAAAGCTAATTCTATGGAGACAGTAGTACTGTTGTAACGACCCAAGGGGTTCACTTTGCCTGAGCCAACTCATCAAGACAGGGGAATTGCAACAGAGAAAGAGTAATTCACGCAGAGCCAGCTGTGCAGGATACCGGAGTTTTATTATTACTCAAGTCAGTTTCCCCAAGCATTGGGGGAGCAGAGTTTTTGTTGTTGGTGGTGGTGTTTTGGTTTTTTGTTTTGTTTTGTTCTGAGACGGAGTCTCGCTCTGCCACCTAGGCTGGAGTGTGGTGGCGCAATCTCAGCTCACTGCGGTCTCCACCTCCTGGGCTCAGGGAATTCTGCCTCAGCACCCAGAGTAGCTGGGATTACAGGCATGCGCCACCATGCCCAGCTAATTTTGTATTTTTAGTAGAGACGGGGTTTCACCATGTTGGCCAGGCTGGTCTCGAACTCCTGACCTCAGGTGATCCACCCGCCTCTGCCTCCCAAAGTGCTGGGATTACAGGCATGAGCCACCATGCCCAGTCGGGGAGCAGAGTTTTTAAGAATAACTTGGTGATTTGGGGGAAGCCAGTGAGCCAGGAGTGCTGACTGGTCAGGGATGAAATCATAGGCCGTCGATGTTGTCTTCTTGCTCTGAGTCAGTTCCTGGATGGGGGCCACAAGATCAGGTGAGCCAGTTTATCGACCTGGGTGGGGCCAGCTGATCCATCAAGTGCAGGGTCTGCAAAATATCTCAAGCACTGATCTTAGGAGCAGTTTAGGGAGGGTCAGAATCTTGTATCCTCCAGCTGCATGACTCCTAAACCATAATTATTTATAATCTTGCAGCTAATGTTAGTCCTACAGAGGCAACCTAGTCCCTAGGCAAGAAGGAAGATGGTCTGCTTTGGGAAAGGGCTGTTATCGTCTTTGTTTTATGTATTGTATGTATGTACGTATGTATTTATTTTCGAGACAGAGTCTCTCTCTGTTGCCTAGGCTGGAGTGCAGCGGTGCAATCTCTGCCTTCTGGGTTCAAGCAATTCTCCTGTCTCAGCCTCCCTGGTAGCTAGGACTACAGTCACACGCCACCATGCTCAGCTGATTTTTGTATTTTTAGTAGAAACGGGGTTTCACCATATTGGTCAGATTGGTCTCGAACTCCTGACCTCAAGTGATCCACCCACCTCGGCCTCTCAAAGTGCTGGGATTACAGGCATGAGCCACTGTGCCCAGCCATTGTCTTTGTTTCACTGTAAATTATAAATAAATTTCTCCCAAAGTTAGTTCAGCCTACGCCCAGGAATGAACAAGGACAGCTTGGAGGTTAAAAACAAGATGGAGTTGGTTAAGTTAGATCACTTTCACTGTATCAGTTATAATATTGCAAAGGTGGTTTCACTGTCTTTGGGAAGACCTCACAGGAGAGATGGAATTTTGTGCAGTTTGACTTGAAAAAAGTAGTGTTTGGCTGGGGAATGGAAAAGAGCCTCTTAGGCAAGGAACAGCTTGGTAACATTTGGGAACGGGTGTGAGTTCTGAGAAAGGAAATGAAGCCCTGGCATGTGGTAGTGGGCCTGGTACTATCAGCTAGGCCTTGATGTTCCACTGAAGTAAATAATTTCACAATACATGAACACCAGACAAGGCTACTCTGTGGCCATGATAAACCAAGAGAAAAACATCATCACAGCCGGGCATGGTGGCTCACGCCTATAATCCCAGGGAGGCCGAGGCAGGTGGGTCATGAGGTCAGCAGTTCAAGACTAGCCTGGCCAAGATGGTGAAACCCCGTCTCTACTAAAAACACAAAAATTAGCCAGGCACGGTGGCAGGTGCCTGTAATCCCAGCTACTCGGCAGGCTGAGGCAGGAGAATCGCTTGAACTCAGGGGCGGAGGTTGCAGTGAGCTGAAATCACACCACTGCACTCCAGCCTGGGCGACAGAGTAAGACTCCGTCTCAAAAAAAAAAACAAAAAACAAAACACAACACCATCATCACGGCCGGGCACAGTGGCTCATGCCTGTAATCCCAGCACTTTTGGAGGCTGAGGCGGGAAGATCATGAGGTCAGGAGTTCAAGGCCAGCCTGACCAACATGATGAAATCCCGTCTCTACTAAAATTACAAAATTTAGTTTGGCATGGTGGCATGCGCCTGTAATCCCAGCTACTCA
Organism: Homo sapiens; assembly: GCF_000001405.40. Taxonomy (NCBI): domain Eukaryota; kingdom Metazoa; phylum Chordata; class Mammalia; order Primates; family Hominidae; genus Homo; species Homo sapiens. The sequence continues at coordinate 47,208,268 of NC_000011.10, read as the reverse complement.
GGAGGCTGAGGCAGGAGAATTGCTTGAACCCAGGACGCGGAGTTTGCAGTGAGCCAAGATTGCGCCATTGCACTCCAGCCTGGGCAACAGAGCAAGACTCCATCTCAAAAAAAAAAAATTAGCTGGGTGTGGTGGCGCATGCCTGTAATCCCAGCTACTTGGAGGCTGAGGCAGGAGAATCGCTTAAACCCAGGAGATGGAGGTTGCAATGAGCAAAGATCATGCCACTGCACTCCAGCCCAGGCAACAGAGTGAGACTCTGTCTCAAAAAAAAAAAAAGAAAAGAAAAAAGAAAGCAAAAATGACGTCCAGATGTTTAGCTACCTGGAAATACCATTTATTGAGATGAGGTAAACTGTGAAAGAGACAGAAAAAGAAGGAAAGATCAAGAGTTCACCTTTGGACACATTGGATTTGAGATGCTGATGAGATGTCTGGGAGGATTTGTCAAGAAGGCAGGGTCATGCACTATTCTGGACATCACCAATGAACCCGAGTCCCAGGAAAAGGTATAGGAACCCTGCTCCTCAGCCTTGCAATGGGAGCTCTGTGCCCAAGGTGAGGTTGGACCAGGGTGGAGAAGGGGGAGGATGGGAACTCATGCGTAAGTTGCGTCTGTGGTACACCTGGCATTCCGCTCAGCACTCTGTCACCATGGCCTCACAACAACCTGGCAGAGTAGGACTTACTCTTCCCGTTTTACAAAGGAGGAGACTGAAAATCAGAGAGGTGCTAAGATTTGCAGAGGGACACAGCTAAGAACTGGGAAAGTGAGGACCGGTTGGTAACACTGAGCACCACAGCAGAGACCAGGTGTATTCGTTTCCCAGGGTGGCTGTAACCAGTTACTGTAAATGAGTGGCTTCAAATGACAGAAATATATTCTCTCACAGTTCTGGAGGCCAGAAATCCAAAATTAAAGTGTTGGCAGGGCCACACTCCCCAGGCTCCGGGGTAAAATTTTTTTTTTTTTTTTTTTTGAGATGGAGTCTTGTTCTGTCATCTAGGCTGGAGTGCAGTGGCATGATCACAGCTGACTGAAGCCTCAAATTCAAGGGATCCTCCTTCTTCAGCGTCCCCAGTAGCTGAGAGTACAGGTATGCACTGCCATGCCTGGCTAATTTTTTTTTTTTTAGTTTTTGTAGAGATGTTAACCAGGATGGTCTTGAACTTCCTGGCCTCAAGTGATCCTCCAGCCTCAGCCTCCTAAAGTGCTGGGATTACAGGCATGAGCCACTGCACCAAGCCTCGAATCTTTCCTTGCCTTTCTCCTAGCTTTTGTGGCTGCCAGCAATCTTTAGCATCCCTTGGTTTACAGCCTGTCATTCCAATCTCTGCCTCCATTTTCCCAGGATCTTCTCCTCTGTGCATCTATTTCTCTGTATCTGACCTCCTTCTCCTTCGCTCTTTTGTTTGTTTTTAGAGATGGGGTCTCACTGTGTTGCCCAGGCTGGTCTCGAACTCCTGGGCTCAAGAGATCCTCCCACCTCAGCCTCCCAAGTAACTGGCAAAATAGGCATGGGCCACCACGCTGGCTTGCCTTACTCTTTTTGGTATGTGCTTCACTTTTTTTTTTTTTTTTTTTTTTTGAGACAAAGTCTTGCTCTGTCGCCCAGGTTGGAGTGCAGTGGTACGATCTTGGCTCACTGCAACCTCTGCTCCCTGGGTTCAAGCAATTCTTGTGCCTCAGCCTCCTGAGTGGCTGGGATTATAGGTGTGCACCACCATAACCAGCTAATTTTTGTATTTTTAGTAGAGACAGGGTTTCAGCATGTTAACCAGGCTGGTCTCGAACTCCTGGGGTCAAGTGATCCGCCTGCCTCAGCCTCCCAAAGTGCTGGGATTACAAGTGTGAGCCACCACACCTGGCCAATGTGCCTTACTCTTATTAGGACACTTGCCATTGGATTTAAGTCCTACCTGGATAATCCTGGATGATCACCTCACTTAAAAATTCCGAATTAGGTTAGGTGCAGTGCCTCAAGCCTGTGATCCCAGCACTTTGGGAAGCTGAGATGGGTAGATCTCTTGAGCCCAGGAATTGGAGACTGGCCTGGGCAACACAGTGACATACTGTCTCTACAAAAATATAAAAATTAGCTGGGTGTGATGGCATGTGGCCGTAGTTTTAGCTACTCAGGAGGCTGAGGTAGGAGGATCCATTGAGCTCAGAAGTTCAAGGTTGCAGTGAGCCATGTTCACGCCACTGCACTCCAGCCTGGGTGACAGATTGAGATCCTGTCTCAAACAAACCTTTTTTTTTTTTTTTTTTTTTTTGAGATGGAGTCTCGCTCTGTCCAGCCCAGGCTGGAGTGCAGTGGCGCAATCTCGGTTTACTGCAACCTCCAACTCCCGGGTTCCAGGAATTTTCCTGCCTCAGCCTCCCGAGTAGCTGGGTTACAGGCGCCCACCACCACACCCGGCTAATTTTTGTATTTTTAGTAGCAACAGGGTTTCATCATGTTGGGCAGACTGGCCTGGAACTCCTGACCTCAGGTGATCCCCCCACCTTGGCCTTCCAAAGTGCTGAGATTACAGGCATGAGCCACTGCACCTGCCAAAAACAAACCTTTAATTATATCCAAAAAGATCATTTTTCCACATAGAATAACATCCACAGGTTCTGGGGATTAGGATATGGACGTATCTTTTTAGGGACTACAGTCAACCCAGCTAGAGGAGCTAGAGGAGGCTGCAGCTGTTAGCCTTGGAAATCTTATAAAATGCTTCCTGAGCTTAAAAAGTAGGTAGCTTTTCCTACTTTTTCTTCATCCAGTTTCACAAATATGCCTCCTTGCAGGATGACCCAGCAGCTTAAATGCTGCCAACCCAAGTGTGGCTTGGTCTTCTAGACTGTGTATAATTATGACAAAACCCTCAGATTCTGAGTCCTTATGACACAGGGATAGTCAAGTATGAAGGGGAGGCCGGGCGCAGTGGCCCACGCCTGTAATCCCAGCACTTTGGGAGGCCGAGGCGGGTGGATCACTTGAGGTCGGGAGCCCGAGACCAGCCTGGCCAACATGGTGAAACCCCCTCTCTACTAAAAATACAAAATTACCTGGACGTGGTGGTGCATACTTGTAATCCCAGCTACTCAGGAGGCTGAGGCAGGAGAATTGCTTGAACCTGGGAGGCGGAGGTTGTGGTTGAGCCGAGATCGTGCCACTGCATTCCAGCCTGGGCAACAAGGGCAAAACTCTGTCTCAAAAAAAAAAAAAAGTCTTTGGGGATGTGCACTCACAATTTGGAGCACAGGGGAGGACGTGTGTGGATTTGTACAAAGACACCGCCCCACTGGGCCATGGGCTTCACCAACAAGAACCACAGCTACCCAGGTAGCTTGCCACCTTCCTCCCCATAGAGAAACTAAGCTGGGGTTTCTTGAGCAAGTTTTTTGTCATAGCGACAGGAGCCAACACAGGGCAGTGGAAAGGAGGGTGGAAAGAGGGAAATGTAAAGGAATGTAAATGTAGTTCTCCCAGCTCTGCTCACATGTGACTCATCCACCCATAGGGAACTAGCTTGGCTGTAACACAGACAGAATCATTTTTATTTCTGCCACTTGGGATTTTTGCCATCCTTGGAAGAGGGCTTTGGCATGAGAACAGTGAGAGGAAGGATCTACCAGAACTCAAAACCCTGGTTTCTGATTCTGGAGTTCCAGTTCTTTCTATGACGGTTTTCTAACCAGTGAGGACTTCTGAGAACAGCAAAGGGCTTCTTCACCATCATCATGAGACCTTATCAGTAACTAACATATCACCAGGAGATTATATCACAATGTCTGTTTGCAGAACACTTTACAGTTTACACATTTCACATATATTATTTCAGCACTCTGGCGATTGCTGTGCAAATCTGGCTGCCTAGAGAAGTTACCTGGCATTCTGTACATATGGTATTTTATGACATGATATTGATTTAGTGTGTGGATGGTGTCTCATCCCCCATATATAAAGACAGAGGTGAGGCTTGGGTTTGGTTTTTCTTTTTTTTTTTGGACAGGGTTTCTGTCACCCAGGCTGGAGTGTAGTAGTTCGATCTCAGCTCATTGGAGCCTCAACTTCCTGGGCATCGATCCTCCCACCTTAGCCTCCCAAGCAGTTGGAACTACAGGCGCAGACCACCACGCTGGGCTAATTTTTTTTTTTTTTTTTTTTGAGACAGCGCCTCACTCTGTCACCCAGGCTGGAGTGCAGTGGCGCGATCTCGGCTCACTGCAACCTCCGCCTCCTGGGTTCAAGCAATTCTCCTGCCTCAGCCTCCTGAGTAGCTGGGATTACTGGCACACCACCACGCCCGATTAATTGTTGTATTTTTAGTAGAGACAGGGTTTCACCATATTGGCCAGGCTGGTCTCGAACTCCTGACCTCAAGGGATCCACTCGTCTCGGCCTCCCAAAGTGCTGGGATTACAGCATGTGACACCATGCCCGCTTGAGGCTTGAGTGTGTGTGTGTGTGTTTTGTTTTGTTTTTTTGGTATTTATGAAGCTATTTGACACTTCCATCACTATCCAAATTTATATATATATGTATGTATAGTTGTTGTTTTTGTTTTGTTTGAGACGGTATTACTGTGTCGCCCAGGCTGGAGTGCAGGGACTCAATCTCGGCCCACTGCAACCTTTGCCTCCTGGGTTCAAGCAATTCTGCCCCAGCCAACTGTGTAGCTGGGACTACAGGCACATGCCCCCATGCCCAGCTAATTTTTGTGTTGTTGTTTTTTTGTTTGTTTGTTTTTTGTTTGGTTCTTTTTTTTTGTTTTATTTTGTTTTGTTTTTTGAGACAGAGTCTCACTCTGTCGCCCAGGCTGGAGTGCAGTGGCACAGTCTCGGCTCACTGCAACTTCTGCTTCCCGGGTTCAAGTGATTCTCCTGCCTCAGTCTTGCGAGTAGCTGGGATTGCAGGCGCTCACCACCATGCCTGGCTAATTTTTGTATTTTTAATAGGGACGGGGTTTCACCGTTTTGGCCAGGCTGGTCTTGAACTCCTGATCTCGGGTGATCCGCCCGCTTTGGCCTCCCAAAGTGCTGGGATTCCAGGCATGAGCCACTGTGCCCAGCCTAATTTTTGTATTTTTAATGGAGACGGGGTTTCACCATGTTGGTCAGGCTGGTCTCAAACTCCTCACCTCAAGTGATCTGCCCACCTCAGCCTCTCAAAGTGCTGTGATTACAGCCATCAGCCACCGCGTCCAGGCCCAAAATTGTATTTTTGACACTGATTGCTGCTCCCAGAGTGTGGGACTCCTGCCTTCATTCAGCACTGTTATGGATTTGCTCCTGTTAGGGCATTTAAATATGTGTTGGAGATGCCAAGCAGCAAGGACTCTGGATGCCTGTATTCAGTCTGTTTCCAAGCCTTGAGGAGGAATTTAATCTTCAGTTTGCTGCAAGTTCTGCAGAATCCTTGAGGCTGTTATTTGCAAACCACTGGATGCAGTGACTGTGTGGAAAGCTCACACACATCCATGTGGATTATTGATGATTTTGCAGACTCAGCAAAACATTTGGATCCACAGACCACTTGAACAGAATCAGAGTCGTGTATTAGCCTTCACCAGGAAAACGCATCCCACTAGATGGAAATTTCCCAGAGGGAGCCTAGAGTTGAAAGCTTCTGCTGCTTTTACAGCAAGTCACGAAATCCACAGGTCCCAAAACTGGAAGGGATCCGAGGGACCGTCTAATCCTTCCCCTTTCATTTTAGGATGAGGAAGCTAAAGCCTAGAAAACTGAAAGGATGAACCCAAAATCCCATAGCCCAAGTCCAATGCTCTTTCCACTGTGCTACATTATCTGTTCTAGAAAACACCCCAATAAAGCCAAATATTGTTTTGCAGATCAAAGAAACTGGCATTATTCAGGGTCATGCTCATGGTCTGTCCAGCTTCCAGTGTGAACCTGAGACCTTGGTTTGCTATCCCCAGCAGCTTTTCAGTGAGTTGCCTTGTGATGCCTTATGTCAAAGTAGTGTTACAGACAGGAGCAAAACGTCTGTAAACAGGGCTTCATGACACGGCCTCTCCATGGCAAGAAAGCAGAGCAGGGCCACTCCATCCTCCTCACTGTCAGATTAGCAGCATCAAAAAGTAGGTGTTAGGTCAGGCATGGTGGCTCACACCTGTAATTCCAGCACTTTGGGAAGCCAAGGCGGGAGGATCGCTTGAGCTCAGGAGTTGGAGACCAGCCTGGGCAACATAGCAAAACTCTGTCTCTACAACAACTACAAAAATCAACTGGGTGTGGTGGCACACGCCTGTGGTCCCAGCTACTGGGAGGCTGAGGTGGGAGGATCACCAGAGCCCAACAGGTTGAGGCTTCAGTGAGCTATGATCATGCCACTGCACTCCAGCCTGCAGCCTGGGCAACAAAGTGAGACCTTGTCTCAAAAAAAAAGTATTAAAGTTTTTTGTCCACCCTGCATCTGGGGGCTCATCAGATGGGAATGAATGACTTTAAGCCCCTAGGAAGTGGTTTTGCTATGTAGCAAAGGGAGCCGAAGTAAAACCTGGGGTTAGTTAAGATGCCTCAAAGCACAGCCTGAAACAAAGCGCTTTACTGGAGTGTGCAAGGCAGGTCTCCACTGCTCGAACATGGTTCTTTTGTTGTTTTTTTTTTTGAGATGGTCTCCCTCTGTTGCCCAGGCTGGAGTCCAGTGGTGCGATCTTGGCTCACTGTAACCACTGCCTCCCAGGTTCAAGTGATTCTCCTGCCTCAGCCTCCCAAGTAGCTGGGACTACAGGTTCACCACACCTAAGTTTTGTATTTTTAGTAGAGATGGGGCGTCATCATGTTGGCCAGGCTGGTCTCAAACTCCTGACGTCCAGTGATCCACCCATCTTGGCCTCCCAAAGTGCCAGGATTACAGGCATGAGCCACCGTGCCTGGCCCGCACATGGTTCTTTCTATCCACCATGGAAAACCTCTCAAATCCTAAAAATGCATTCTGGGAAAATGTGGCATTAAGCAGGACATTTGCCTTGCTCATAAATCCATTATAGCTAGAGGCGGCCTCCCTGCCCATGCATTTCCTGCTGCCTCTGCCTGGAGCACCCTCCCCCTCCCCCTCGATCAATCTCAAGATTCAGCTTAAGTGTCACCTTCTTTGGGAAGACTTCCTTGACACTATCTTTTCCTTTTTCTTTCTTTCTTTTCTTTTCTTTTCTTTTCTTTTTTTTTTTGAGGCAGGGTCTCTCTCTGTTGCCCAGGCTGGAGTGCAGTGGCATAATTGCAGCTCACTACAGCCTTGAACTCAAGTGGTCCCTCCACATCAGCCTCCCCAGTAGCTGAAACTACAGGTGCAAGCCACCATGCCCCAGTATTTTTTTGTTTTGTTTTTTTGTTTTGTTCTAGAGTCATGGTCTTGCTATGTTGCCCAGGCTGGTCTTGAACTCCTGGCCTCAAGTGATCCTCCTGCCTTACCCTCCCAAAGTGCTGGGATTGCAAAGTGCTGGGATTACAGGTGTGAGTCACCACGCCCGGCCAACACTGTTCATTCTTTTTATTTATTTATTTTTTTGAGACGGAGTTTCGCTCTTGTTGCCCAGGCTGGAGTGCAATGGCGCAATCTCGGCTCACAGCAACCTCCACCTCCCGGGTTCAAGCCATTCTCCTGCCTCAGCCTCCAGAGTAGATGGGATTACAGGCATGTGCCACCACACCCAGCTAATTTTGTATTTTTAGTAGAGACAGGGTTTCTCCATGCTGGTCAGGCTGGTCTTGAACTCCAGACCTCAGGTGATCTGCCTGCCTCGGCCTCCCAAAGTGCTGGAATTACAGGCATGAGCCACCGTGCCCAGCCAACACTGTTCATTCTTTACCCCATCCTAAGCTGACTTAAAGTGCCCCTTTTCTGTGCCCCCCCTCCCTCCATGCCTCTTCTCTCAGCAAGCTTATCGCGTTCCATTGTAGTTGTAGGTTTACTTGTCTCCCACTCTTAGAAGAGACAGTCCATTGGGAGCAAAGAGTATTTTCCATTTCAGCATTTCTTTTTTGTTTTTGTTTTTTTTAAGACAGGCGTCTAGGCCGGGCACAGTGGCTTACACCTGTAATCCTAGCACTTTGGGAGGCCAAGGTGGGCAGATTGCTTGAGCCCAGGCGTTTGAGACCCGCCTGGGCAACTTGGTGAGACTCTGTCTCTACAACAATAACAACAACAACAACAACTTAGCTGGGCATATGCAAGCCTGTAGTCCCAGTTACTCAGGAGGCTGACAGGGGACAATTACTTGAGCCTGGAAGGTGGAGGTTGCAGTGAGCCGAGATCGCACCACTGCATCCCAGTCTGGGTGACAGAATGAGACCTTGTCTCGCAGGAAAAAATAAAATAAAAAGACAGGAGTCTGGCTCTGTCACCCAGGCTGGAGTGCAGTGGCATGATCATAGCTCACTGTAATCTTGAATTCCTGGCTCCAGTGATCCTCCTGCCTCAGCCTCTCAAAGGGCTGGGATTACAGGCATGAGCCACCACGCCTGGCTGAGCGTTCCCTTTGAAACAGTGAGGAGGAGAGTAGATTTTAAATAAATGTCAGTATAATTAATGATTCTTCTGCCTGCCATCCAATCACCCCCTTTATCTGGCCCCTCTTACCTTTTTTTTTTTAGACAGACTCTCACTCTGTCGCCCAGGCTGGAGTGCAGTGGTGCGATCTGGGCTCACTGCAACCACCAACTCCTGGGTTCAAGCAATTCTCCTGCCTCAGCCTCCCAAAGTAGCTGGGACTACAGGCACGTGCCACCACGCCCAGCTAATTTTTTTGTATTTTTAGTAGAGACGGGGTTTCACAGTGTTAGCCAGGATGGTCTCCATCTCCTGACCTCGTGATCCACCTGCCTCAGCCTCCCAAAGAAGTGCTGGGATTACAGGCATGAACCACTGCGCCCAGCCTTTTTTTTCCTTTTTTGAGACAGAGTCTGGCCCTGTCACCCAGGGTGGAGTGCAGTGGTATGACCTCGGTTCACTGCAACCTCCACCTTCCAGGTTTAAGCAATTCTCCTGCCTCAGCCTCCCGAGTAGCTGGGACTACAGGTGTGCGCCACCATGCCTGGCTAATTTTTGTATTTTTAGTAGAGACAGGGTTTTTCCATGTTGGCCATTCTGGTCTTGAACTCCTGACTTCAGGTGATTTGCCTGCCTCAGTCTCCCAAAGTGCTGGGATTACAGGCGTGAGCCACTGTACCTGGCCTCCTCTTACATTTTTTAAAGGAAATAGAGGCAAGAGAGGCCTCACTATGTTGCCTAGGCTGGCCTCAAACTCCTGGGCTCAAGTGACTTTCCTGCCTCATCCTCCTGAGTAGCTGGGGCTCCAGGCACACGCTACTGTGCCCAGCCAGCCCCTCTGACTCTTGAAAGATCTTCAATATGAGGATCTCTTCAAACTGCCTCCTATCCTACCAATAAACGTCACTGTTCCCAGCCAGCCACCACCAGGAACACACCTGTAGCTGAAATTTGGGTTTATTGCTGTTTGCAGTGGAGAATGTGTACTGGGGGAATGACGGGACATCTGTCTAAGAGGGTGTTAGAAAGGACTTATTATAGGATTTGACTTGCGTTGGGTGATTTGGAGAAGAGTCGAAGAAACAGGGCTTTGCTTTAAATTGGAGGCTGTCAGGAAGTGGGGGTAATGCTATAATTTTTTGTTGTTGTTGTTGTTGTTGGGACAGAATTTTGCCCTTGTTGCCCAGGCTGGAGTGCAGTGGCACGATCTCGGCTCACTGCAACATCCGCCTCCCGGGTTTAAGCAATTCTCCTGCCTCAGCCTCCTGAGTAGCTGGGATTACAGGCATGCGCCACCATACCCAGCTAAATTTTTGTATTTTTAGTAGAGACAGGGTTTCTCCATGTTGGCCAGGCTGGTCTCGAACTCCTGACCCCAGGTGATCCGCCCGCCCCGGCCTCCCAAGGTGCTGGGATTACAGGCATGAGCCATGGTGCCTGCCCCTTAAGATTGGTTATTGAAGTGGTTCAGAGCATGCCACCCCAAAATATGCCACTTTAGCATACTGATTATATATTGGGCTGAAGGCACAAGAGAAACAGCAGATACAGGAAAGGATCTCTGACCTCTCCCTTTCTACCTAAAAGAGGTCATAAAATTTCCCATAGGAAAGTTTCCTTACCTAAACCAGGAAGAGACTGAGAACCCATGCCCAAATGGATCTGTACAAACAAACCTACTAAAATAAGCCTTATCTTCCATTACTTTCCTCCATCTATTTCCTAGTCACTGTCTCACAATTTACTGCCCCTAGTTCAAGCCTCTTTGTCTTGTCACATCCCCACTGTGCCCAGTTGTGAACAATTGACTGTTCTTTTTTCTTTTTTTTTTTTTTTTGAGACAGTCTCCCTCTGTCACCCAGTCTGGAGTGCAGTGGCACAATCTTGGCTCACTGCAACCTCTGCCTCCCGGGTTCAAGCGAGTCTCCTGCCTCAGCCTCCCAAGTAGCTGGGATTACAGGCACATGCCATCATGCCCGGCTAATTTTTGTATTTTTGTAGACACCAGGTTTCACCATGTTGGCCAGGCTGGTCTTGAACTCCTGACCTCAGGTGATCTGCCCCCTCGCCTCCCAAAGTGCTGGGATTACAGATGTGAGACACGGTGCCTGGCCCACAATTGATTGTTCTTTGTGTAAAAAGGTAAGGGTATATAAGCTTTTGAGCCTAACAGCTTCTTTGGGTCTTCATTTTCTTTCTGAAGTCTCCCATGTACACGCAAAAATATTAAATAAAATTTGTATGCCTGGTTGGCCATGGTGGCTCACACTTGTAATCCCAGCACTTTGGGAGGCTGAGGCGGGCAGATCACGAGATCAGGAGATCAAGACCATCCTGGCCAACACAGTGAAACCCGGTTTCTACTAAAAATACAAAAAATTAGCCCGGCGTGGTGACGCTCTCCTGTAGTCCCAGCTACTCAGGAGGCTGAGGCACGAGAATCGCTCAAACCTGGGAGGCAGAGGTTGCAGTGAGCCGATATGACGCCACTGCACTCCAGCCTGGGCGACAGAGCAAGACTCCATCTAAAAAAAAAAAAAAATTGTATGCCTTTCTTCTGTATATTTGTCTTACATCAGGTTTTTTTTTTTCCTCTTTTCTTTCTTTCTTTTTTTTTTTTTTTTAAGACAGGGTCTCAGTCTCCCAGGCTGGAATGCCATGGCACAGTCAGCTCACTGCTGCCTCAGCCTTCCAGGCTCAAATGATCCTCCCACCTCAGCCTCCCAAATATCTGGGACCACAGGCTTGTGCCACCATCGGCTAATTTTTAAATTATTTTTGTGGAGATAAGGTCTCACTATGTTGCCCAGCTAGTCTTGAACTCCTAGGCTCAAGCCTCCCGCCTCAGCCTCCCAAAGTGCTGGGATTACAGGTATGAGCCACCACACATGGCCAGTTTAATTCTTTTTTTTTTTTTTGAGACGGAGTCTCACTCTGTCACCCAGGCTGGAGTGCAGTAGTGCAATCTCGGCTCACTGCAACCTCCGCCTCCTGGGTTCGAGCAATACTCCTGTCTCCACCTCCTGAGTAGCTGGAATTACAGGCACGCCCCACCACGCCTGGCTAATTTTTGTTTTCACGATGTTGGCCAGGCTGGTCTCGAACTCCTGACCTCAGGTGATCCACCCGCCTCAGCCTCCCAAAGTGCTGGGATTACAAGCATGAGCCACCGTGCCTGGCCCAGCCAGTTTAATTCTTACACTCAGCTACAGAACCTAAGAGGGTAAAAGGAAGTTTTTTTGTCCTCCCGCATCCTGTACCTTAATTAATGTTATCTATAAGGTGGGAGGAAAGAAGCAAAACTAAAGTTGTGATTGGCAAAGCAGCTGCAGTGAATCACATTGGCTAAAATAGGGAGATATTTGGTCATTTTTGTGTTTTGGACCATGTTCATATTTTTGCCTGTGTTCTGACATGAGTGATGATTTTTTTTGTTTGTTTGTTTGTTTTTTGAGACAGAGTCTTGCTTTGTCGCCCAGGCTGGTGTGCAACGGTGCAATCTCAGCTCACTGCAACCTCCGCCTCCCCGGTTCAAGTGATTCTCCTGCCTCAGCCTCCTGAGTAGCTGGGATTACACCCGACCTCAGGTGATCCAGCCACCTCGGCCTCCCAAAGTGTTGGGATTACAGGCTAATTTTTTTATTTTTAGTAGAGACGGGGTTTCACCATGTTGGTCAGGCTGGTGTCAAACTCCTGACCTCAGGTGATCCGCCCTCCTTGGCCTCCCAAAGTGCTGAGATTACAGGCATGAGCCACCTTGCCCGGCCCCATGCATATCTCATACCTCCATGGCTGCCACCCTGTTCATCTTCTGTGGTCATCTGACCCCGTACCATCTACCGCAGATACTTCTTAATTGGATTTCCCTGCTTTTTCTCTCTTTCTAATCCATGAGTCAGGCCAGTTTTTGTGTAAGGGGCAGATAGTAAATATTTTAGGCTGTCTGAGCCATATGATTTCTGTCGCACCTACGGTACTAACTCTACCATTGTGGTGTGAAAACAGCCAAAGGCAATTTATAAATAAATGAGTGTGGCTGTGTTCCAATCCAACTTTATTTGTAGATGCCAAAATTTGAATTTCCTATAACCTTTGTGCGTCACAAAATAGTCTTCTTTTTATTATTTTTTTCATCAATTTAAAACGGTAAAAACCGGCCCAGTGCAATGGCTCACGCCTGAAATCCCAACACTTTGGGGAGCCAAGGCAGGAGGATCACTTGAGCCCAGGAGTTCAAGACCAGCCTGAGGAACACAGGGAGACCTTGTCTCTGTAGAAAAAAAAGAAAGGGTGCAGCACACCAACATGGCACATATATACATATGTAACAAACCTGCACGTTGTGCACATGTACCCTAGAACTTAAAGTATAATAAAATAATAATAATAATAATAAATAAAAGTAAAAAAAAAAGAAAAAAAGTAAAAACCAGTCTTAGCTGTGGGCCATATAGGCCATGGTTTGCTAATTCCTTGCTCTAATCCATTCCTCATGCAACATCCAAAAAGGCCATTCAGTTCCCTCCTCTGCTTAAATCCCTCCAAGGGCCCCCTCTTGCACTCGGAACAGAACTCACAAAGCCTGGTAGTGTCTGGGTGCTGCCTGCCTCTCCCACCTCATTCTAGGCCTCTCACCCGCTCATTCACCGTGCCCTGCCCACTCCACCCTTCTGACCTGGAAGGTCAAGTTCTCATGTAAGGACCTTTTCATACATCAGTCTTCAGTTGTTCCGCCTGGAATGCCGTTCCCTAGGTCCCCTCTTCACCTTCTTAACTTCCATTTGTCTTCTGGGTCTTTTTGGGTGGAGGCTTAAACTCCCTGAAGCCACACTCCCACTATCCTCTTCCAGCACACTGTCCCTTTTTTTTTTCCTTCAAACACTCATGACAATTGGTAATGATGTTTTTGGACCTTTATTTGATTTCAGTGGAAAATTCCATGAAGTAGACATCTTGTCTGCTTTCTTTTTTTGTCTTGAGACGGAGTCTCGCTCTGTCACCCAGGCTGGAGTGTAGTGGCGCCATCTCAGCTCACTGCAACCTCTGCCTCCCCGGTTCAAGCAATTCTCCTGCCTCAGTCTCCTGAGTAGCAGGGACTACAGGCGTGCGCCACTATGCCCGGTTAATTTTTGTATTTTTAGTAGAGACAGGGTTTCACCATGTTGGTCAGGCTGGTCTTGAACTCTTGACCTCAAGTGATCCACCCTCCTCGGCCTCCCAAAATGCTTGGATTACAGGCGTGAGCCACCGCACCTGGCCTGCTTTCTTCGAATTAAGGACTGAGCACCCAGCCTGGTGTTGGTCACACAATGGGTGCCCAAGTGCACCAGGGTAGGCTTCTGGAGCAGGAGCCTCCCGGCCAACAGAGCTGAAACCCGGAGTACACAATGGCAACTCCTGGGGCGTCTCCTGCTGAGGCGGGGACCAGCTAAAGAATCTGCCTGGGGCAATGGCAGATTCCCGGAACTACCGGTTCCTCCCCTTTTTAGACTATATAGGGTAACATCATTTTTTTTTTTTTTAATAGGGTAACTTCCTGACCCTGGAGAAACTTTCTCTATAGGCTGCACTGTTGAAACCTGCGATTCATTTTCACCCGAGTGCCATCGGTCTGCCTTGGTAACCTATAAACAGCCTGCCCCACTGAGGTTAACTGCTCTCAATAACTGGGACCAGTCTTTACACGGGACTGCCTGAGCTCTGAAAAACATAGCTGTGAAATTAGAATACTTTACTCAGCTGCCTGTCAGGAATCCTGGGGCAATGTCCAGAGGCCACGGAGGGAAACTCACAAAGCAGCCTTCAGAGGAGACAGCCCTGCCTGCAGCACTTAGCCGGCTCTGATCTACTCTCGGCAGGGTGGCCAGAGTTATCATTAAAAAGGGGAAATCTGGCTGGGCGCCGTGGCTCATGCCTGTAATCCCAGCACTTTGGGAGGCCAAGGCAGGTGGATCACGAGGTCAGGAGTTCAAGACCAGCCTGGCCAAGATGATGAAACCCCGTCTCTACTAAAAATACAAAAATTAGCCATGGTAGCAGGCATCTGTAATCCCAGCTACTTGGGAGGCTGAGGCAGGAGAATTGCTTGAACCCGGGAGGCGGAGGTTACAGTGAGCCAAGATTGCACCACTGCACTCCAGCCTGGGCGACAGAGCGAGACTCTGTCTCAAAAAAATAAATAAATAAAATAAAAGGGGAAATCTGATCTACCTACTCTCATGGACACTTCCCACTGCCTATAGGGTAGCGTCCAAATTCCCTAGCCCACTTTGCAAATCTTCACCATCCAATCCCAACCTATCTTTCCAGCTTCATCTTCCATCTGCTTCTGTTACCAGAAAGGTGTCCTGATCCAGACCCCAGGAGAGGGTTCTTGGGTCTGGTGAAAGAGAATTTGAGGCGAATCCATAGAATAAAGTGAGAGCAAGTTTATTAAGAAAGCAAAGGAATAAAGCATGGCTACTCTGGCCAGGAACGGTGGCTTATGCCTGTAATCTCAGCACTTTGGGAGGCTGAGGCAAGTGGATCACCTGAGGTCAGGAGTTTGAGACCAGCCTGGCCAACATGGCAATAACCCGTCTCTACAAAAATACAAAAATTAGCCAGGCATGGTGGTGCACACCTGTAATCTCAACTACTTTGGTGGCTGAGGCAGGAGGATCGCTTGAACCCAGAAGGCAGAGGTTGCAGTGAGCTGAGGTCGCACCACTGCACTCCAGCCTGGGTGACAGAATAAGACTCTGTCTCAAAAAAAAAAAAAAAGCTACTCCACAGGCAGAGCAGCAGCAAGGGCTGCTCACCTAAGAATACCTTTTTTTTTTTTTTTTTTGAGACGGAGTCTCGCTCTGTCGCCCAGGCTGGAGTGCAGTGGCGCTATCTCGGCTCACTGCAAGCTCCGCCTCCTGGGTTCACCCCATTCTCCTGCCTCAGCCTCCCAAGTAGCTGGGACTACAGGCGCCCGCCACCACGCCTGGCTAATTTTTTGTATTTTTAGTAGAGACGGGGTTTCGCCTTGTTAGCCAGGATGGTCTTGATCTCCTGACCTCGTGATCCACCCGCCTTGGCCTCCCAAAGTGCTGGGATTACAGGCGTGAGCCACTGCGCCCGGCCCTAAGAATACTTAAGTTATTTTTTGATTATATGCTAAACAAGGGGTGGATTATTCAGGAGCTTTCTGGTCAAGGGGTGGGCAATTCCCGGAACTGTGGGTTTCTCCCTTTTTTAGACTACATAGAGTAAATTTCTGACATTGCCATGGCATCCGTAAACTGTCCTGGCACTGGTAGGAGTGTCTTTTAGCATGCTAATGTATTAGATTTAGCGTATAATGAGTAGTGAGGATGACCAGAGGTCACATTGCCATATTGGTTTTGGTAGGTTTTGGCCAGCTTCTTTATCGCATCCTTTTATCAGCTGGACTCAGCATGCCTAACCTCCTTGGAATGCAGCCCAGTAGGTCTGAGCCTTATTTTACCCAGCCCCTATTCAAGCTGGAGTCTCTCTGGTTCAAATGCCTCTGATACCTCCACCCCATCATGACCTCATTATTCTAGAGATTCGAGACCTGCACAGTCCAATACAGTAGCCACTACTCACATGTAGTTGTTAATTTTTTTTTTTTTTTTTTTTTTTTTTTTTTGTGACAGGATCCCACTCTGTTGCCCAGGCTGGAGTGCAGTGGCCCAATCACTGCTCACTGCAGCCTTGACCTCTCAGGCTCCGGTGACCTCAGCCTCCTCAGTAGCTGGCACTACAGGTATGTGCCACGACACTCAGCTAATTTTTCTTTTTTTTTTTTGACATAGAGTCTCGCTCTGTCATCCAGGCTGGACTGCAGTGGTACAATCTTGGCTCACTATAACCTCTGCCTCCTGAGTTCAAGCAATTCGCCTGCCTCAGCCCTGCCCTGAGTAGCTGGGACTATAGGTGCATACCACCATGCCAGACTAATTTTTGTATTTTTAGTAGAGACGTGGTTTCACCATCTTGGCCAGGCTGGTCTCGAACTCCTGGCCTAAAGTGGTCCTCCTGCCTCGGCCTCCCAAAGTGCTGGGATTACAGGCATGAGCCACCACGCCTGGCCTAATTTCAAAATTTTTAAATTGGAGGAAGACGCGGTCGTAGGTGCTGTGAGTCTCTCGTCCGCACTCTCCTGCTCCTGACTCACTGCTGTTCACTCTCGCTGAGGAAAAAGTCGGTCAGGAAGCCACGCAGCAGCCATGGCTTTTAAGGATACCGGAAAAACACCCGTGGAGCCGGAGGTGGCGATTCACTGAATTCGAATCACCCTAACAAGCCGCAACATAAAATCCCTGGAAAAGGTGTGTGCTGACTTGATCAGAGGCGCAAAGGAAAAGAATCTCAAAGTGAAAGGACCAGTCCGAATGCTTACCAAGACTTTGAGAATCACTACAAGAAAAACCCCTTGTGGTGAAGGTTCTAAGACATGGGATCGTTTCCAGATGAGAATCCACCAGCGACTCATTGACTTGCACAGTCCTTCTGAGATTGTTAAGCAGATTACTTCCATCAGTATTGAGCCAGGAGTTGAGGTGGAAGTCACCATTGCAGGATGCTTAAGTCAACAATTTTAATAAATTGATTACCAGTTGTTAAAAAAATTTTTTTTTAATTAAAAGTTTATGTTTTCTCTTTTTTTTTTGAGACGGAGTTTCGCTCTTGTTGCCCAGGCTGGAGTGCAATGGAGCAATCCCAGCTCACTACAACCTCCGCCTCCCAGGTTCAAGCAATTCTCCTGCCTCAGCCTCCTGAGTAGCTGGGATTACAGGCATGAGCCACCATGCCCGGCTAATTTTGTATAGTAGAGATGGGGTTTCTCCATGTTGGTCAGGCTGGTCTTGAACTCCCAGCCTCAGGTGATCCACCCAACCTCGGCCTCCCGAAGTGCTGGGATTACAGGCGTGAGCCACTGCACCCGGCAAGTTTATGTTTTCAATAGCCACATTTCAAGTGCTCAACAGTCTCATGCTACTAGTGGCTATCATATTGGCCAGCACAGCTATAGAACATTCCCACCACTGCAGAAAATAATTGGACAGCACTATTTTAGATACAAATACCCACTCGCCCACCCCCCAGTTTTTAATTTTAGTTACATAATTTACACATAGGTACATTCTCATTGTAAATTTTCTAACATTACAAAAATGTCCCTTACCAATTCTAGACCTCTGCCTAAAGATAAACGCCAAAATCAGTATGAAGTATATTTTCTGTGAAGATTTAGTGTGTTTTGCATTTTGCTTTTTTCCCTTGACATCGTCTTGGAGGTCTTCTTATAAGAATACATCTCTTGGCTGGGTGCGGTGGCTCATGTCTGTAATCCCAGCAGTTTGGGAGGCCAAGGCGGGTGGATCATGAGGTCAGGAGTTTGAGCCCAGCCTGACCAACATGGTGAAACCCCGTCTCTACTAAAAATACAAAAATTAGCCAGGCGTGGTGGCACGTGCCTGTAATCCCAGCTACTCAGGAGGCTGAGGCAGGAGAATCGCTTGAACCCGGGAGGTGGAGGTTGCAGTGAGCTGAGATTGCGCCATTACACTCCAGCCTGGGCGACAGAGCAAGACGCCGTCTCGAAAAAAAAAAAAAAAGAATATGTCTCTCTCTACCTTGTTCTTTTTTTTTTTTTTTTTTTTTTTTTGGTTTGTTTTTGTTTGAGATGGAGTTTTGCTCTCGCTTCCCAGGCTGGAGTGCAATGGCGCAATCTCAGCTCACTGCAACCTCCGCCTCCTGGGTTCAAGCGATTCTCCTGTCTCAGCTTCCCAAGTAGCTGGGACTAAAGGCACACGCCACCACACCTGGCTAATTTTTGTATTTTTAGTAGAGAAGGGGTTTCACTTTGTTGGCCAGGCTGGTCTCGAACTCCTGCCTCTAGCTTGTTCTTGAGTTTTTGCAGAGTAATCCACAGCATGAATGAACTTTAGGTTGTTCAACTATTGCCTTCATGATGAACATTTGTTTTCAGTTCTCCCCTGTTGCAAACAGTACTATATGCAAACATCATTGTACCTCTTTCTGCATTTGTACATGTTCGTCCAGGGTAAATACCAAAAAGTAGAATTGCTAGGTCACAAAGTCATATGGTAACACCCCTGGGGCTTGGCACACCCTGAAGCTCCTGCCTAGAATGCCTGTCCACGTGACTAATTCCTACTCATCAAGACCTATCAGTGTCATGTCCTGTGAAAGGCCGTCCCTTCTGCCTGTTTTCTCTCAATACTTCCTATCTGCCTTGCATCATTACGGTACACTTGGACTCTGCCTTATTTAACTTTGTACTCCCAACATTCCTAGCATAGCCTTAGCATGGAGTAAAAACTCAAGTGTTTTCTTGGCTGGGTGAATGAATGCATAAATAAACAAATGAAGGCACAGTGGTTAGGATATTCCAGAAACTCAAGGTGAGTCTGTGAGTGGCGTGAAATCTGGCTATGGACCAATCTGCCCATTGGTACCCTGAGCCAAATGCCTTGCTAGATTTGTCTTTTTTTCTTTTTGAGAGAAAGTTTCCTTCGACCAGGCTGGAGAGCAGTGGCGCAATCTCAGCTACCTAAGCCTCCCGGGTTCAAGCAATTCTCCTGTCTCAGCCTCCCAAGTAGCTGGGACTACAGGCGTCCACGACCACGCCTGCTAGTTTTTTTGTGTTTTTAGTAGAGATGGGGTTTCATTATTGGCCAGGCTGGTCTTGAACTCCTGACCTCAGGTGATCCACCTGCCTCAGCCTCACAAAGTGCTGGCATTACAGGCGTGAGCCACTGTGCCCAGCCTTAGATTTCTGTCATTTTTTTTCTTTTTCTTTTTGAGATGGAGTTTTGTTCTTGTCGCCCAGGCTGGAGTGCAATGGCACGATCTCAGCTCACTGCAACCTCCACCTCCCAGGTTCAAGCGATTCTCCTGCCTCAGCCTCCTAAGTAGCTGGGATTACAGGCACCCGCCACCATGCCCAGCTAATTTTTGTATTTTTAGTAGAGATGGGGTTTCACCATGTTGGCCAGGCTGGTCTCAAACTCCTGACCTCAGATGATCCACCCGCCTCGGCCTCCCAAAATGCTGGGATTACAGGCGTGGGCCACCGCGCCCGACCAGATTTCTGTCTTTATGCAGCCCTCTGTCCACTGACATCTCATCTTGAACTCTGGGTTGAGGACAGCACTGATGGAGCAGTGTGGATGTTAAGGGCTCTGGCCATAGAGCGCAGAATGGGAGCCCTGGGGGTAGCATTAGCTTGGAGCTGGCTTTCCAAAGGCATGTCTGTCTACTTTCAGCTTAGAAGCAGCCCCCTATGCTCTGGGTTTTATTTTGTTGTTTTTTTTCCCCTACAGTACCTCAGGGGCAATTAAGATCAGCTGCAACATTTCTGCTTTCTGCTCCCAGACTTGAGCCCAAGGGAAGCCAGATGTTTTCCAGTCCACATCCCCTTCTCTTTGTGGTCTGATGAACAGCCCTGTTTTCTGAGTCTCTCTATGGCCTGGCTTTCCCAGATCCCACAGCCTGGCTGCCAACTTTATTTTTAATGAGGTTTTAATAGGTGGCTCCTGTAATTAATTTCATTCTTGTGTTTTCACACTTCGGTCTAGGTGCCTAAAGGCCTTCAGGCGCTAGGAGGGATGTTAACTGATTTTAAAGAATACAAAACCCTGTGGCTGTGATTTGCCATTTTCCCAGCTCCTCTGATCTGCAGTTGTTTTTTACAATCATTAATTAGCTGGGGCTCATGGCTCAGCGGAAGGTCAGCTGGTCACCTGTCATGTTTTATAGAGGTAGAAATAGAGATAAGGGACTTGTCCAAGCCCTAAGAGAGAGTGGGTGTTGAAATTGGTCTCAGAAACCACATCCCAGGTTTCAGATTCACTACTCAGCTATGATTTGCCAAACACGGCCAGAATCCTCAGGCCAAAGGTGGCGCGCCTTGGGTGCCCCACAGGTGTCTTGGGGAGGCAGTTTTACCCTTCCATTAGCACTGCCCAGCAAGTGAGCCCTCGGCAGGCAAAATTACCCCCATTCATTTTCTCCAGGTCCCTTTCCCGTTTTGTGAGCGGATTCATCTGCGTAAAGAACGCGTCAGTGATTCCTCCTGGATTTAGAAACAACATAATTTTGCTATTTTTAAAGCTGCCGTTTAAAACTCCGCGCGCACGCACTCACACTCTTCAGGGAGCTGAGGGTGGGAGGAAAAGTACGAGCTTCAGAGGGCGCAGCCAGGCGCCTCAGCTTCCCAGGGCTCAGAGCCGCGTCCCTGGGGGCGCACTCCTCTGAGAGCGCCGGGGCTCTCCGACCCGCTGCGATTCTGCGCGCCCGGGACCTTCTGCGTCCGGGACCTTCTGCGCCCGGGCGTTCGACCCCGTTGGTCCGCGCTCCCCCTGGTCTTCAAGGCTCAGGGCACCGCCGCTGGGTCACCGGGCCCAGGAGAGAGTGGGAGGGGCGGAGAGGCCGAGCAGGTGGCGATTAGGTCAGCTTCGGAACATTCTTGGACCGCTCCAGTGGATATAAATAACAGACGGAGCCGCTCTGCAAAATCTCACCCCCGGGGGAAAGCGGGGAGAGGGAAGTAGGGAGAGAGGAGGGAGAAGGGATTTATTTAGCGTGGGGTGGCATCGTGGCGATATGGAAAAATGTACCAGACTGATAAAGGGGGTGGAGGGGCGAAGGGTAAGAATGAATCGTGGTACAAAATCTGGAAATAAGAACTCGGAGCGGGAGGAGCTTAGGCCTTTTTGTCCCACCCCCACCGCGTGTTCGTCTCAGGCCTTAGAAGGCGCCCCAGATTAGCAGGGCAGCTGTGGAACGGTAGGGCACGGTTTTGGAGTCCCAGCCCTGCCTGACTAGAGGGAAATCTTGGGCAAGCCTCTGAAAAGCCCCCGAGCCTCAGTTTTTGCATCTGTACAGTGGGAATCCTAATGCTTACAAGGGGTGGTTGTGAGCCTCGCCTGAGCCAATTTCTAAACAAGCTGTGCAGCTAAAAATGTAAGGCAGTGTAATTCCCCCGGCCCCTCTCCAAGGCTGCCCGTGCCGGCCCGGTCCCTTCTTGCTCCCTCGGGTCTCCCAGGCTCTGCAACGGTCCGGGAGAGGCAAAGCCGAAATCTGGCTCCCTGCGGCACCGGGGCGCAACCCTGGGGAGCCCGCCCAGGCACTCCGCACACGGGCGAAGCAGAGAAACCTCGACCCGCGCCACAAGAGCCGCTGGTCGCCGCGATGCCTGCAGCCCCGCTGCCCCGCCGCGTGGGGTTGAGGCAGCGGCGGCCAGGAGAGGGGCGGGGCCGGGGGCCGGGGGCCGGGCTTCCCGGGGGAGGGCCCGGCGCGCTCCGGGAGGCCGCGGCGCGGGCCCAGGAGCGGCAGGACTCGGGCCGGAGCGTGGCCGGACCCCCACCCGCCGAGGGGCCCAGGGAGGACGCGGTGAGTGCCCTGGAGGGGACGCGCGGGTAGGCGGCGGCGGGTGCGGTGGCTCGAGCCCGCCCTCTCCTGCTCCGGCTTCTGAAGTTTGCAATGGAGCCGACTCCCGCCCAGGGAGCCCCCGGCCACCCCGCTCTGCGTGCCGACGGGAAGGGCCGTAGCCGCGCCGAGGGGCCGTCCCATCTGCGGTGCCGCGGGCTTCGCAATTCCGCAGGCCGCCCGGGGGAGGCGGCGCCGGCGCTGGAGGGCTGAGCCGTCTTCAGGGGCCCCTCGAGGGCCCCCGTCCGCTCGCCTCGCGCCCGCCCCGAGGCCCCAGAGGGTCCTCGCTCCCTGGCGATCCCTCGCCCTATGCAGCGAGCCCCGATTCCTGGGTCCGCTGCCCGGGGCCACCATCTGGAGCCCACGGCAAGGCCGGCCCAGGCAGGGGGCGTCCCCTCCCCTTGGCGGTGATCAGTGGCCCCACCCCCGCCAAGACCAAGTTCAACAAGTTTGGCCAAGAAGTCTAGAGCTTCGGTGGCTAGGCCTGGCCCTGCCGCTCCGCGTGGCTCCACGGGCTCCGAGTTATGCAGCTCCGGGCGGCAAGGGGTCCTGTCGAGGGGCGCGGTCCATAAGGGTTGAGGCCAGAGGCGCGTAGCCTCTGGGCGCCGAGCTCTGGAGTGGAGGCTGGGGTTCGGAGTGCGTCATCTGGAAGCAGGCACCCCGGCCGGCAGGTCGGGTTTCCAAAAGTGCCCCTTTGTTATGCCCCTCCCTGGCCCTGCCTCCTCCCGCTTTGGCTGCGCCACCCCCTCCCCCAGCCTCCTGATCTCCTGGCTGGCTCTGGCTTCTGGTTCCAGCCCCTCTAACCTCGCTGTCCCTCTTCGGACCAGCCTACTGACGCCCCCTCCCCTCCCCCCCGCTCTGTCCTCAAATCCTAGAGCTGCGGGCGCACCGGGAGGGGCTGCCCGGGAAAGAAGCCCTTGGGCGCAGCCTGTGACTCAGGTTCCAGGGATGGGCCAGGCAGAATGGCTGAGCTCCCTCCCAGGGGCAAGCCCCCAGCTTCTGGAAGAGGTTGGGGCTGGTCTGGGGCCGGGTACCTTCAGGCCTCAGGTAGGGAGACTGGGTCTTCCCTGAACCAGGGACTTCCTACCTTGGCCCGTGCAGCTGCAAGGAGACCCTGCCAAGCCCAGGAAGACCTCTCGGAGCCGAACGTGCTGGCTCCCGGGGCTGGGAAGATTGCATTACCTGCTTTCTGAGCTCTTGCCTGCGGTGGGGACTGATTTGGGTCTCTGCTGAGCTCAGGAGGCACAGGGTGCCAACCTGCTCAATGGGGGCCAAGGTGCAAGCCCTCCTTGCTTGCTTGCTGAGAGGTCAGGCTGGGGCTGTGGGGCCTGGCTGCACCCGGGGCTTGGGCCTGTGTTTGCTCTGGGAGGCCGGAGGGAGCTGTGCCAGCCCGGTACACACAGCTTGCTCTGTTCTGGGGCCAGAGAGAGGGAAGGGGTGGGGGGCAGCTCTCTGGGGAGCAGGGAACTCGGAGGCTGGAACAGGCAAGGGGCCCCAGGCTCCTGAGGCTGGACTGGGGCGGCTCCAGAGCCCTGTGATTCATGGCAGCAGCTCTCTTTCTCTCCATCGCCCTGTCAGGTCCTTTCTGGGCAGACAGGACACACTGCAGAGGGAACCAAGTGACGAGCTTGTGAGGCCCCTGGTGGGCACCTCCATTGCCTGGGTCTCCGCGGAGCCCCTAGCTCTGTCTCCTGTTAGCAGAGGGGGAAGCCCACTTGGACCAAGCATTCCCACAGCTGCTGGAGCGGGCGCGTTTCCTGCGCTCCAGGTGGACATCGCTTCTTTTCTCACTTAACTAATTATTGCTGATTCCAGCGCGTGGGGACACACAAATCAGAATCCTGGAAGCCTCTGTCGGTGACTGAAGATAGACACTGTCCTGTCAGCCACAACTCCATGGGTTATACACCCCGGCTGAAGGGTCACCCGGGGCTACAGGAGCAAGGACAGAGAAACAGGGGAAGTGACTGAGGAGAAGATGCCTTAATTGGAGGTTTGAAGGAGAAGCAGAGGTGCATGAGTTTGGAGGAAGCGCTGTGACAGCGCCCTGCTTTGGGGACAAAGGGCGCACACTGTCCTCCTGGGTCTGGCTGTGTCCCTTGGGCCTGCTCAGAGAGGAAGCGATTTCCTTCTAGGGTCTGTGAGTCAGTCAGTGCTGGGGACAGCTGAGACCCTGCCCAGAGGCAGGAGGGGAGCAGCCACATGCCACTGTGTCCTTGAGTCCCTGGGGCCATGGCTCTGGGGTTGGAATTGGCTTGCCGTCCTCTGCGATTCTAGGGAACTTTTTTTTTTTTTTTTGAGACAGTCTCACTCTGTTGCCCAGGCGGTGGTATAATCTCTGCTCACCGCAACCTCCTCCGCCTCCTAGGTTCAAGTGATTCTCATGCCTCAGCCTCCTAAGTAGCTGGGACTACAGGTTCCCGCCACCACGCCTGGCTAATTTTTATATTTTTAGTAGAGACGAGGTTCCTCCATGTTGGCCAAGCTGGTCTGGAACTCCTGACCTCAGGTGATCCACCCACCTCAGTCTCCCAAAGTGCTGAGATTACAGGCGTGAGCCACCACACCCAGCCTGGGAGACATTCTTATAGTTGGCCATCGCTTCTCACTTCCCCATGCTGCCCTGGACGCCAGGCCTTTGGAGGGCAGGCCCGGGTTGTGTGTTCCCCACGGAGCCTTGCGGGCCCTCAGTGGATGTGTGGAGTGAGATGAGTATCTTCCGTGACTGCAGGGCCCCTCGTATTTCTGGTGCGTTGCTTGGTTTGAGTTTCACACCAGCCCTGGCATGGCAGCTGAGCACACAGAGGAGTTCCATCTTAGAGGGAGCTGGGGCCTCCTTAGGAGGAGACAGTTACATACACTTGTTCGGGCTTCCTGGCCAACACAGAAGCCAGGCCTCTTGGTTCCCTTCGTGCCCTCCTCAGTACAGGGAGCTACTGGGATGTGGCCAGGCACCCTCTGACTTGGCCTCTCGGGTAACAGGGTTGTCTTGTCACTCAAGGGAAGGCAACAGAGGCCCTAGCCTGGGCAGGAGTCCTCTCATCGGCAGTTGGGGGAGTGGGGCCTTCTGCCCACCGCCCACCCCCGCCTGCCATTTAATCCCTGGCTGGATCGTGTGACCTGCCTGGCATTCTCCTCCCTGGAATCCGGCGCTTCTGACAGCAGTTGCTATATTGGGGGTGCCGGGCACCGCCCTGGACGCTCTAGGCCCCCACCCTCACCCCCGCTCTGTTCTCCTTCAAGGCAGAGTCACGGTGGCAGCATTGAGAGTTGGACACCCGGGTCCTTGAAGTGATCTCTAGGCCCCAGGTATGTGGGGGGGCGGGGGGGGAAGTGCAGAGCAGTGAGAGGAAGAGCTTTGAGACTCCATCCTCACCCATCCTGGCCCTTCTTAGGGTCTTCAGCACCCTGCCTGCTAAGTCCTAGCTCTGATGACTCCTTGGGTGGTGGGGATGGCAGTGGGGCGAGGCCCAGGTATAGAGAGGGTCTTTTCCTATCCCCAGAAACATAATGTCCAGCTTTCCTGCTTACCCCTCTGCCCTCCACAGCCCCAAATCCGCCACCATTCCGTGCTGCGGGGACACCATGGCTCCAGAAGAGGACGCTGGAGGGGAGGCCTTAGGGGGCAGTTTCTGGGAGGTGAGCAGCTGGGTCCTGGGCTCAGCTACTTGTCTAGGGGAGGAGCCCATCTGACAGCCCCAGCCCCAAAGGAAGCTTCTCCCTGGTGATGGCACCCTTTTCCTGTATGCCCAGGCTGGCAACTACAGGCGCACGGTACAGCGGGTGGAGGACGGGCACCGGCTGTGCGGGGACCTGGTCAGCTGCTTCCAGGAGCGCGCCCGCATCGAGAAGGCTTATGCCCAGCAGTTGGCTGACTGGGCCCGAAAGTGGAGGGGGACCGTGGAGAAGGGTGAGCCAGGCCCTCGCAGGGGGCAGAGGGCAGCTGAGTGCAGGACTGTCGGGCCAGCTTCTTTTTGCACGTCTCGTGGGAAGTTTGAGGCCTCCACGTCTACCCTCCCTTAGAAAGGGAAGATCCTCCTGGTCATCCTCATGGCTGTGGTGTTATTAAAGTTTATAAAGGATGCTCATGAGTTACTTTGATAGTTGCAACAACCCTGTGGAGATGGTTGTTTTACCCATTTTCTTTCCTTTCTTTTTTTTTTTTTTTTGAGACGTTTTGCACTTGTTGCCCATGCTGGAGTGCAGTGACATGATGTTGGCTCACTGCAACCTCCGCCTCTCAAGTGGTTCTCCTGCTTCAGCCTCCCAAGTAGCTGGGATTACAGGCACCCACCACCACGCCTGGCTAATTTTGTATTTTTAGTAAAGACGGGGTTTTACCATGTTGGCCAGGCTGGTCTCAAACTCCTGACCTCAGGTAATCCACCCACCTCAGCCTCCCCAAGTGCTGGGATTACAGGCGTGAGCCACTGCATCTGGCCTTCTTTCCTTTGTTTATTATTTATTTATTTTGAGACAGGGTCTCACTCTGTCACCAGGCTGGAGTGCAGTGGTACAATCATGGATCACTGCAACCTCTCCCTCTCCCACGCTCAACTGATCCTCCCACCTCAGCCTCCTGAATAGCTGGGACCACAATAGCTGGGATCACAGGCATGGACCACCACACTTGGCTAATTTTTGTATTTTTTGTAGAGATAGGGTTTTGCTATGTTGCTCAGACTGGTTTTGAACCCCTGGGCTCTAGCGGTCCTTTCTCCTTGGCCTCCCAAAGTGCTGAGATTACAGGCGTGAGCCACCGTGCCCGGCCTGGATTACAGGCATGAGCCACCGCACCTGGGCCTGTTTTATGCATTTTCTAGAGGAGAAACTGGAAGCTCAGAGAGGCTAAGGGACTTGCCTAAAGGCACACAGCTAGGAAGTGCTGAAGGTTGAGCCCAGGCCCTCTGACTGGGAGCATGGATCTTTCCACCCTGCAAGCTGTCTTCCTCGAGGGCACACACAGGCTCTTCCTTTGAGGCAATGGAGTGTAGTGTTTACACAACAGAGATGGGTTTGAATCTCAGCTCCTCTTTTTTTTCTTTTTTTTTGAGATAGAGTCTCGCTCTGTCACCTAGGCTGGAGTACAGCGGCGTGATCTCAGCTCACTGCAGTCTCCCCCTCTCGGGTTCAAGTGATTTTCCTGTCTCAGCCTCCCAAGTAGCTGGGACTACAGGCGCCCGCCACCATGCCCGGCTAATTTTTTGTAGTTTTAGTAGAGACAGGGTTTCACCGTGTTAGCCAGGATGGTCTCGATCTCCTGACCTTGTGATCCACCCGCCTTGGCCTCCCAAAGTGCTGGGATTACAGGAGTGAGCCACTGTGCCCGGCCCTCAGCTCCTGTTGTAGCCATAATGCTTTGGGCGAGTTCACATCTCTGGTCCTCAGTGTTTTGCCTGTTCAATGTTGGCAATGTCGCTGTCCTCACGATGGTGGCTGAGACAAGGAGTCAGTGAGATAAGGCACATGGTCCTCATTCAATAAGCCCAGCTGACAGGGTTGTCATTCACCTTTGCACCCCATGCGCGTACCCCATGCCTCCATGCCTCACACCCAGTGAGAGGGGCTAGGCTCATTTTGGGTGGTACCCAGGCCTGGCCTAAGCCCTGTCCCTCCCTGCAGGCCCCCAGTATGGCACACTGGAGAAGGCCTGGCATGCCTTTTTCACGGCGGCTGAGCGGCTGAGCGCGCTGCACCTGGAGGTGCGGGAGAAGCTGCAAGGGCAGGACAGTGAGCGGGTGCGCGCCTGGCAGCGGGGGGCTTTCCACCGGCCTGTGCTGGGCGGCTTCCGCGAGAGCCGGGCGGCCGAGGACGGCTTCCGCAAGGCCCAGAAGCCCTGGCTGAAGAGGCTGAAGGAGGTGAGGCTGGGTGGGGGAGGTATCCGAGACAGGCTCCTTCCTGTTTGTTTGCAAGGGATCGAGGGGGCCAAGGTGTGGCATCCAGGGTCCAGAGTGGTCTCCATGCATGCCAGGTTGAGGCTTCCAAGAAAAGCTACCACGCAGCCCGGAAGGATGAGAAGACCGCCCAGACGAGGGAGAGCCACGCAAAGGCAGACAGCGCCGTCTCCCAGGAGCAGCTGCGCAAACTGCAGGAACGGGTGGAACGCTGTGCCAAGGAGGCCGAGAAGGTACAGGCCACAGGTCCCAGCCCTGGCCCCCGCCCAGGGCACGGCTTCCTGAATGAATCTTGCTCCCTGAACATCTTGTCCAGTCCCCAGCACCCTTATTACCCTATTCCTCACCTGCCACCCTCTCTCCAGATGATCATTTAAAGGAGGAACCTGACAAAAGGTGATGCTTTACTAGGGAAAGAAATGGAGTTTCAGGCACTGGGATGACTTCAGCAGTTGAGAACTTCCAGCTCTTTTCCTTGCACAGTACCCTTTGCCCGAAGTGTCCTTTCCTGCAGCTCTGGATATGCAAATCCTCCCCATCCTGAGATGCTGCAGTTTCCACCTCCTCCAGGAAGCCTTTTCTGATTTCTCCCATC
The DNA here is from genome assembly GCF_000001405.40 of Homo sapiens. Lineage (NCBI taxonomy): Eukaryota > Metazoa > Chordata > Mammalia > Primates > Hominidae > Homo > Homo sapiens. The sequence continues at coordinate 47,179,823 of NC_000011.10, read as the reverse complement.
CTTTCCTGTAGGTTGACCTCATTTCAATCCTCACCAGACTCTTTTATATGCTGTGCCTGATGTCACCTCCCTTGTTAGGCTGCTGGGGTCCTTGAGGGCAGGAGCTGGGTCTTGGGACTGATTGCCCCTAGTGGCTAGCCCTGGGTCTAGCAGCCTATGGCAGTGTCTGGTAAACACTGGTGGAGTCCTGGGTGGAAGAAGGTCTGGTTCTCACCAGGCCCCTCCTCTCCCACCCAGACAAAAGCTCAGTATGAGCAGACGCTGGCAGAGCTGCATCGCTACACTCCACGCTACATGGAGGACATGGAACAGGCCTTTGAGACCTGCCAGGCCGCCGAGCGCCAGCGGCTTCTTTTCTTCAAGGATATGCTGCTCACCTTACACCAGCACCTGGACCTTTCCAGCAGTGAGAAGTATGAACTGCCTGGTGGGCATGGAGATCTGGGGTAGTACTGGGTCTCCTCCATCTCCCCGAGGCCCTGGCTGGGACTGAGGGATGCAGGGTCTAGACTTCCTAGACTGAGGGGTGTGCCTTGGGTCATAGGTTCCATGAACTCCACCGTGACTTGCACCAGGGCATTGAGGCAGCCAGTGACGAAGAGGATCTGCGCTGGTGGCGCAGCACCCACGGGCCAGGCATGGCCATGAACTGGCCACAGTTCGAGGCATGTGTTCCAGGCGGGGTGGGGATGGGAGGTGGGATGGGCTCCCACTCAGCTCGGCCAGGGCTAGGGATGAAGTAAGTGAAGGTGGTTCAGATGGCCCCACCTGACTATAAGCACTGTCCCCACAGGAGTGGTCCTTGGACACACAGAGGACAATCAGCCGGAAAGAGAAGGGTGGCCGGAGCCCTGATGAGGTTACCCTGACCAGCATTGTGCCTACAAGAGATGGCACCGCACCCCCACCCCAGTCCCCGGGGTCCCCAGGGTGAGAGCCAGGAGCGCGGCTGTGGCAAAGAAACAGCTCTGCCTCCCGCCCTCCTTTCCTTTCTCCTTGGTTTCATTTCTTTCACACCTGAAATGGGTTGAAAATTGGTGCCAGGGACCTGAGGGCCTACTTAGTAGTTGTAATGATACTGGTTCTCATAGTGGTTTAGATTTGCTGGGCATTTCCCACATTCCCTCTCGTTTATGCCTTAAATCAGCTGCGTGTGGCAGGAATTGCCTCTTTGCTCACAGTCGGGCATGGCGAGGTAGAGCTAGAATCTTTAGTACCTCACCTGACTCTCCCAGGTGCCTCTGGGGGTAGGGAGGCCTTTGCCCTGATCCTGGGTGAGATCTCCAGCCCCGTGTTCCTTGCACTCTGAGCTGCTCCCTTTGCCTCCCCTCTCCAGCACGGGGCAGGATGAGGAGTGGTCAGATGAAGAGAGTCCCCGGAAGGCTGCCACCGGGGTTCGGGTGAGGGCACTCTATGACTACGCTGGCCAGGAAGCTGATGAGCTGAGCTTCCGAGCAGGTACCCTGGGACCCCTTTCCTAGCTTCAGCCTCTGCCTTATCTGCCTGAGCAGGGGTGTCAGAAAGGGAAGCCAAATACCCACTTCTTAAGGGCCAGTCCTCTGTCCCTTCAGCTGTTCCAGGTCCAGATAGCTGGTGCCTGGTGGCTGCATTCAGGGTCTGGGGTGGGGCAGCTTGCTGACCTTGACCTGCCTCTGCCTGAGCCATGTCTTTGCTAGCTGGGCTCTGGGACCACACCATCCCCCTCAGTCCTTGACCCAGTTGCAGGAACAGGGCCTGGGCCAGGGCCACTGGCAGTGACCAATCCCCTTTCCCCCAGGGGAGGAGCTGCTGAAGATGAGTGAGGAGGACGAGCAGGGCTGGTGCCAAGGCCAGTTGCAGAGTGGCCGCATTGGCCTGTACCCTGCCAACTACGTGGAGTGTGTGGGCGCCTGAGTGTCCTGACAGCCCTTCTGCAACGTTTACCCACCCTGGTTCAGAGCCCAGCTTCTCCTGGAGAGCCGGACCCTCAGGGCCCTGAACCGTCGCTCTCTGGCTGCTCCTCTGTCCCTTGAGGGAGGAAGTCCTGGGACCCAGGGAGGGGAGGGGCCTTTGTCTAGGGAAGGGACTGGTAGGGAAGGGACGAGTCTAGGCTGAGGGCAAGATGGGAGGTCAGAGGTGACAGAAGCGTTCAGGGGTGCCTGGGCCTCCCCAGGAGCTGTGGACTCAGTTCCTGACCTCTGCTTTGGGGTTCCTGGGGTGGGCTTGGGGTGAGTGTAGTTCTGGCCTAGCAGCACCCTCTTGTGGCTTGTTCTAGCGTGTATTAAAACTTGACACACACCCACACACAAAAACAAAAACACCACTGTCGGGCTCATGTGCATTTTTTTGATAGGACACCCTTGCCAGGCCACCAGAGGGCATCTAGAGAGAGGCCTAGCGTCTGTTATGGGGCCGGGGTTGGAAAAGGGTTTGCCTGCTTGGTACCTGCTCTGGAACTTCGAGATACTAATCTGGAGTGGAGGGGACTCGCTGTCAGGCTTGCTGTTAACCGAGAACGGCTGAAGGCTGGGCGAGACGCGGGCCAATGCGTCTGCCCGTTCGGGCCGGAGGGACGAGGAGTGTTTGGGCAGCCTAATCCTTATTCATCGATCTGTAATTAGCTGGAGTGGGGGTCCCCGCCCCCAGCCTCCCGCAGCCTGCGCGGCGTGGGGGCGACTCCACCTGGGGGTTGCGGCGTGGGAGGGGCGGGGGGAAGGGTACTACGCGCGCGAGGAGGTTTGGGCCGGTCCGCGCGCCGTCGCCCCGCCCCGGCTGCGGATTGGCCCGGCGCGGCGTTGATTCTTGCGGCCGCGGTTGTCGTCGCCGCCCCCGTCCCGCCGGCTGCCCATTGGTCCAGATCGGACTCCAATCACCCCACCCCTCGGCTGGCCCAGGCACCGCTGAGGCCGGCCTGGTGAGCCCGCCCTCCCCGCCGTGGATTGGCCCGCGGCGGGACCCGTCAGCCGCGGTTGTGTCTGGGAAGGAGAGAAAATGGCGGCGGAGCCGAACAAGACCGAAATCCAGACTCTTTTTAAGAGGCTTCGCGCAGTTCCAACCAACAAGGTGCGTGAGCAGGGGGCGCGCGGAGTCTCTCGTCCCGCTGGGGCCTGAGGGAGGGAGAAGGGCGGAGGTGGGTTATGTTTCTGGGGTGTCGGTGCCTGGCCTTTACTCGGGGCCCCTGACGATTCGCTCATCGCCGCCTCCACCCAGGCCTGTTTCGACTGCGGCGCCAAGAATCCGAGTTGGGCCAGCATCACGTACGGTGTTTTCTTGTGCATTGACTGTTCCGGGGTGCACCGCTCCCTGGGCGTCCATCTGAGCTTCATCAGGTAGGCTCTCCGCGCGGTTGCCGTGTTTCCACCCGGCCGGCCAGGGGTGTCTGGGCAACAAGGGAGAGTGGCTGCCTCGACTTGGGCCGCTCTGAATTCGGTGGGAAGCCTCTGGGCCGAGAGGGTCCGGTAGCCTCCTGCCAGAGGGAACCACCTGTGTGGGCCCTTTGGCACATGGGCGGTCCGTCTCCGCCTCTGGGCCAAAACTTCCTCTTTTTTGACGGTCAGGCTTGAGACTCTGAGCGTTAGTTGAGGGGAAAGGGAGGCATTGACCTTGTTGTTGCTGATATGTTGTTAGACCAGTATGTCTCTAGTGAGACTGTGACCATCCATTAGGGGAAAGCCAAATCCAGGCGTGCGTGCCTGAGAATGTGACCTCCTTTCGGATCTGGGGACATAATTAGTACTCTTTGGAGTAAATGAACGAAGAGGAGAGTTTTCATGGACAGGGTAGTGTGGAGGAAATGGGGTGATGGCTGATTAATGTTTCCTGGGTGCCTACAGCAGCCTGAGGCCAAGTGACAGGTATCCGGGTTGCCAGGGAAATCCTGCTGGTATCTGCTAGTGGGTGAGACGCAGCCCTTGTACACAGGTCCACAGAGTTGGATTCCAACTGGAACTGGTTCCAGCTGAGGTGTATGCAGGTCGGCGGGAATGCCAATGCGGTAAAGCTCCTTCTACTTCCCTCACCTTCCATTCTTCTGCCTGGTTACTAACTTTGCACGACTCCCTAAGAGGCCCTGTCGTTTTCCCTGTTCAGAGGGTTCTCTGTTCTATAACACCACCATAAGCTATTTTCTGAAAACTTCGAAACTGGTCACAGCTTCTCTTAAATGGGTTTCAGATTCCAATTAAACTGGGCAGGTGTTCTTGGGGAAAAGCCACAGGAGTTGGGAGCCTTCACAGTCATTGGGTCTTGTGGGCCTGCCCTGGATGAAGGATGGGGAGGCTGGGTATGGGATGTTGTGCTCAGGCAGCGTTCAGTGGGGCCTGGACTTCAGTCATATCAGAGGATGGCCCGCTGCAAGGTGTTTTTTGCAGGAATTTCGAGAAACTTTATCTCTGAAAAACCGGTGTCAGTAGCGTGTATCATCCTGTATAGATAATAACTTCGCTGTCATAAGGAGATGTCTCCTACAGCCAACACGTTTCCTTCTTGAGAATCACCCGTAGCACGCGCTGCTCTCTTCTTTGCTCTCCAGACGGCTTTTTTTCGCCAACATGGATGCACAGCCAATGATGCCAACACCAAATATAATAGCCGAGCTGCCCAGATGTACCGGGAGAAGATCCGGCAGCTGGGGAGTGCGGCCCTGGCTAGGCATGGCACTGATGTAAGTGCCTGTTCTTGGGGCTGGGGCAGGAGGGTTAGGAGTATTCAGAGCCCTGTGTTTTAGGGGTGTCTTCTCCTTTCTAGCTTTGGATAGACAACATGAGTAGTGCCGTTCCTAATCACTCCCCAGAGAAGAAGGACTCTGATTTCTTCACAGAACACACTCAAGTGAGTGCCCACAAGGAACCGTTTTCCCAGTTGTTCTTGACAGGCAATTTACCAAGGCCCAGGCCTTCTGTGATCATGGTTGTAGATTCCATTTGCTTTGATGTGATGTCTTGGACACCACGTATGAAGTCCACTGTTCCTGCTGGGTAGGCCTAGGTGTTTCCTCCTCCATAAATGGAGGTGCAGTGTAGCCCTCCTTAGAAATCGACTCCTATAAATTGGGCTGGCGGGGAAGAGAGGCAGCTTCTTGAAGTTTCAAGAGGTGTCCGGTGCCCCAAACAAATTTTCCTGGATTCTTCCCCTATAAGAAAGGCACTGTGGGCCGGGCGCAGTGGCTCACGCCTGTAATCCCAGCACTTTGGGAGGCCGAGGCGGGTGGATCATGAGGTCAGGAGATCGAGACCATCCTGGCTAACAAGGTGAAACCCCGTCTCTACTAAAAATACAAAAAATTAGCCGGGCGCGGTGGCGGGCGCCTGTAGTCCCAGCTACTTGGGAGGCTGAGGCAGGAGAATGGCGTGAACCCGGGAAGCGGAGCTTGCAGTGAGCCGAGATTGCGCCACTGCAGTCCGCAGTCCGGCCTGGGCGACAGAGCGAGACTCCGTCTCAAAAAAAAAAAAAAAAAAAAAAAAAAAAAAAAAAAAAAAGGCACTGTGCTTGGGGACAGTGAAAGGATTCTCTCCTCCCCGCCCCACCCCTTTGAGGAGGGTTTCCTCTTTACTGGCCCTGGGTGCTGAAGTTAGACTCTTGGCTTCAATTCCTGTTCTCTACTCCGCATTCCTGTGATGGTGGCCAAGTCACTCAACCTGTCAAAACCTCAGTTTCTAAAATGGCGATGTAGCTCCTTCATAGGGGTTGTAGTGATAATTAAATATATTCATATATGAGGAGCCTTTAGATCTGTGCCTGCCTAGGTGGTGGTAGTTAACTGTCTTTAAGTTAGGAGAATGGGCTCTGGCTCTAAGTAAATAGTGAAGGGGTTGGGGTGGGGGCTGCTTGTCTTCCTGCTTTCTTCCACAGTGAATAGCAACTGTGATCTTGTTTGCTACCCTCCAGTCCCTTTCCTCATGGGTTTGGAGTATGATTTCTTGTCCACAAGGTGCTTGTAGGTCTTGGTGCTTCTTGCCAGCAGGAGTGGCTCACCGAGGCATCTGTGATCTGGCCTCCTTTTCAGCCCCCTGCCTGGGATGCGCCAGCCACTGAGCCTTCAGGGACCCAGCAGCCAGCCCCGTCTACAGAGAGCAGTGGCCTGGCACGTGAGTTCAGCCCAGATTCCAACCAGGTGCCCTGGTCCTAGGAGAGGACTCAGGGTTTGGAAGGGGACATCTGGCCATGACAATAGGAGCAGGGGTCCTCCTGTATCTTTGGGTGGGCCGGGATTCATTTTAATCCTTGGAGGAAGTGGTAGATATTCCTTTTATCTTTTGGTGGCAAGCTGAGGAAAGCCACCGATTCTTGTCCCATCACTTCTTTCAAGGGGAGGTTGCAGGAAGCTAGGAGCTCATCTCTAACTCCTACCATTGCATCCACAGAGCCGGAGCATGGCCCCAACACAGACCTGCTTGGCACCTCACCCAAAGCCTCACTGGGTCAGTATGCCAGCGGGCAGGCGTGGGGTGTCTGGGAGAGGGTGGACCTCAAATGTTCTTTTCAGAGGTCCTACTGCCTGGCCGTGTGGACAGAGGCCACAGGAGACTGAGCATCTATCTGATTCTCTGGAGTGGGGACTGTGATTGAAATAGTGGATGCAACACTGATTTTAGAGCCAAGCCCTTTGAATTGATGAATCTGGGTGGGCTGGTGTATAAGGCCTGGGGTCTGCCTCTGAGTGTGGGGCTGGGTCTAGCCAAAGTGTTGGGGAGGCCAGCATGAGACTGGACACCTATCCCTGGGCTCTGAGGCAGGGCTGGCTTGTCTGGTGCATTTCCGGGGGTGGAGGGACAGCTCTGAGCTGCCGAAGGCTGGAGGTGACATTGTTCTTTCTCAGCCAGTACCCCAGCCTGTCCTTTAACTCTTTCCTACATTTTCCTTAGTGTCTTTCAGACTTGGTTCAGGGCGAACAGTCCATTTGCTGACCTCGGTTTGTTCTGTTGACTCTTGGGGGTTGGGGCTGGAACCCAGCAGAGTGACTGTCAGACTGATCCATGAGAAGGCTGGCATAGCTTGGTCTGAAGCAGGGCTTCATAGAGACCGCTGGGCTTGGGAGCTCTGTGGAGGCTCTGGGGTGGGCCTCTTGTTAGCCACAAGTCTGTTTCTCCTCCAGAGTCCGTGTATCTGTCAGCTAAAGGGGCCCTTCCTGCCAGAGGTAACTGACAGCTGCTTGGGGAGCCCAGCCCCTGTTCTCAGCTTCCTGCTTTAGAAGCGGAGCCTGGTGCTCACCATATGCTCCCTGCCTCGCAGTCTTTGTTTTGGTTCAGGGAATTTGGACGTCTCTGGTGCTTCGGACGTCTCTGGTGCTTCAGGTCTAGGTTCCTGTCTCACTCTGCTGGGTGCCAGTAAATACCCCAGCCACGTCTGTCTTTGGCTTTGACACCGCTGGTTGGAGCTGGTGGTGGCAGCTTTGCCTTCCCTTGCCTGAAGCTGTTCTTAGGAGCTCTTGCCATGAAGCTGCATGGTGTATACTGAGCTACTGCCTCTGAGCTGCCTTTGTCTTAGCTCATGCCTACCCGTTTCTCACGCAGAACTGAAAAGCTCCATCATTGGCAAGAAGAAGCCAGCAGCAGCTAAGAAAGGGGTAGGTGGGGAGAGGTGGTATGGTAGAGGGGTTAGGAGCTGGGTGCAGGCTACCTGGGTTCACTCCTTGACCTTACCACTTACCAGCTATATGACTTTGGCAAAGGTACTGTGTTTCTCCGAACCTCGCCTGTGAAAGGGATTTAAAGATTTAAAGGGATTTAAAGCCTGTCTTCAAGGGCTGCTGGGAGGAGTCGGTGAGATGGAGCACATCTAGTGCTTGGCGGAGTGCTTGGCACATACTTGGCCCTGTCAGCATTAACTGCCGTCCTCAGGCCCGGGCTCTGCTGGGGCTGTGTGAGCCGCCCATGCCCAGCTCCAGCGGAGCACTATTGTCTTGGCCATGCTGGTTGGGCTCCTGTTTTTTACCCTAAATTTTAAGAAGGGCCTTTTCCTTGTGGGTGTGGCTACAGTGCCTGAACCTGGGAGGGATCTGAGGAGAGTGTGATTGGGAAGGCCCCTTACATGATTCTGTTCCCAGCTGGGTGCCAAGAAAGGCCTAGGGGCCCAGAAGGTGAGCAGCCAGAGCTTCAGTGAGATTGAGCGGCAGGCTCAGGTGGCAGAGAAGCTCCGTGAGCAGCAGGCAGCCGATGCCAAGAAGCAGGCGGAGGAGTCCATGTAAGTGTTTGCTGCCGGGGCCTCAGGCTTCTGCGGGGCTTGGTGGGTGGGTATGTTGGACAGGTCAGGATGGGTGGTGGCCACTGACACCTTTGTTCCCCCTAAGGGTCGCCTCCATGCGTCTGGCCTACCAGGAGCTCCAGATTGATCGTAAGAAAGAGGAAAAGAAGCTACAGAATCTGGAAGGGAAGAAGCGAGAGCAGGCAGAAAGGTTGGGCATGGGCTTGGTATCCCGAAGGTGAGGCTCAGCTCCGGGTGTGGCAGGGAAATGCCGTTGTTTTCTGGGAACCATTGCGGGGCCTTCCTAGCAGTTTGGGATGCTAGGCTTATTGTTTCTCCAAGTCTGAATAGATCACTTGGCTTATTGTTCTAAAGTCCCTAATACAGTGCTTGGCGCATAGTAGGTATGTGCTCAGTAAGTTGAATGACTGAATAGGTATGTGAACAAAACACAGGATCAGGTGTTATTTCAGTATCTTCAAGAGACTAGGGTGGTTTTTCTTGATGGCACTTTGAGTCATGGGACAGTTTATTTTTCCAGACCTCCCTGAGAATTGCGGTGCATTTAGTATCATCCTTAATTCCTGTCTAGAGATGCCATTTGTGCTCCCTGTAATACCCTCACATATCCCCCACATTTCAAATGCCCTCAGTTTGGGTGGAATCCTTCCTGTTTCAGAACCACTCGGTTTGCTGTGGTTTTCTTTCTTTTTCTTTTGAGACAGATTCTTGCTCTGTTGCCTAGGCTGGAGTGTAATGGTGTGATCTCAGCTCACTGCAACCTCTGCCTCCTGGGCTCAGGTGATCCTTCCACTTCAGCCTCCCAAATAGCTGGGACCACAGCCGGGAGCCACCATGCCCAGCTAATTTTTTTACTTTTTGTAGAGACAGGGTTTTGCTATGTTGTCCAGCCTGGTCTCGAATTCCTGGGTTTAAGTACCTTGGCTTCACAAAGTACTGGGATTACAGATGTGAGCCACCATGTCTGGCTGCTATGGCTTTTTATTTTTATTTTTTGAGACAAAGTCTCACTCTGTCACCCAGGCTGGAGTGCAATGGCACGATCTTGGCTCACTGCAATCTCTACCTCCTGGGTTCAAGTGATTCTCCTGTCTCAGCCTCCCAAGCAGCTGGGATTACAGGTGTGTACCACCGTGTCTGGCTAATTTTTTGTATTTTTAGTAGAGATGGGGTTTCACCATGTTGGCCAGGCTGATGTCGAACTCTTGACCTCAAGTGATCCACCTGCCTCAGCCTCCCAAAGTGCTGGGATTACAGGCATGAGCCACGGTGCCCGGCTTTCTTTTTTCTTTTCTTTTCTTTTTTTTTTTTTTTTTTTTGAGATGGAGTCTTGCTCTGTCACCCAGGCTGGAGTTCAGTGGTGTGATCTCAGCCCACTGCAGCCTCCGCCTCCCAGATTCAAGCAATTCTCCTGCCTCAGCCTCCTGAGAAGCTGTGATTACAGGCATGTGCCACCATGCCCAGCTTATTTTTGTATTTTAGTAGAGATGGGGTTTCACCATGTTGCCCAGGCTGGTGTAAAACTACTAGCTTCAAATGATCTGCCCGCCTCGGCCTCCCACAGTACTGGGATTACCGGTGTGAGCCACGGCGCCCAGTGCTTGGATTACGGGCGTGAGCCACATCCAGCCAGAGCATAACATTTTAACTTGAAAGGACATTGGGTCTCCCTCCTTTCCCTGCTTCAGTCACATAGGAATGACTGGGTTAATAGATGACTGGGTTAAGGGATGACCAAGGGGTTAAGGCATATGAACAGTTTTTTAGCAGTGCAACAATTGTTTACTTAAACCCAACTCACCCTATTTATTTATTTGAGACAGAGTTTCAATCTCGTTGCCTAGGCTGGAGTGCAATGGTGTGATCTCAGCTCACCACAACCTCCGCCTCCGGGGTTCAAGCTATTCTCTTGCCTCAGCCTCCACACCTGGCTAATTTTGTATTTTTAGTAGAGACAGGGTTTCTCCGTCTTGGTCAGGCTGGTCTCGAACTCCCGACCTCAGGTGATCCGGCTGCCTCGGCCTCCCAAAGTGCTGGGATTACAGGTGTGAGCCACCATGCCCGGCCCAACTCAGCCCTATTGCAAAATAATCACTCCTTGGGGTTCTTCTAGCTAAAAGCTATAGATATTTTTTAATGAATTGATTTAAATCAAATTAGTCCTTAAAGTGTCCTTGTGGAGCCTGACAGAGGAATGAGAGGCATCAAGAGTTGTATTGTATTGCCTGCCAACCCTAGACCCCTTTTCTTTGAGAAACGAGACAGCAATTCTAGGTCTTAGTGCATAAGGCCAGTCTTTGTGCTTTGAGGTGCTTTTTTTTTTCTCTCTGAGACGGAGCCTCGCTCTGTTGCCCAGACTGGAGTGCAGTGGTGCGATCTCGGCTCACTGCAAGCTCCGCCCCCCAAGTTCACGTCATTCTCCTGCCTCAGCCTCCCAAGTAGCTGGGACTACAGGCACCTGCCACCATGCCCGGCTAATTTTTTTGTATTTTTAGTAGAGACGGGGTTTCACCATGTTAGCCAGGATGGTCTCGATCTCCTGACCTCGTGATCTGCCCGCCTCGGCCTCCCAAAGTGCTGGAATTACAGGTGTGAGCCACGGTGCCTGGCTTTTTTTTTTTTTAATAAAGAGTAGGATGATGAAGAACTCATTCTTTGATGCAGTTATGTTCATTTCCCTGGTGCTGGGGCATTTCTTCATCCATTCCTTTGCTTTGTGAACCCCATCAGTGAAGGATGGGGTTCATAGTGCACAAGGTAGGGAGTTGTTCAGGACAGAGACCACTGGCATCTGGTGCACAATATTAAAATTACAACACGAGCCAGGCACAGTGGCTCACGCCTATAATCCTGGCACTTTTGGAGGCCAAGGCGGGTGGATTGTCTGTACTCAGGAGTTTGAGACCAGGCTGGGCAATGTGGCGAAACCCTGTCTCTACTGAAAAAACACAAAAAATCAGCTGGGTGTGGTGACGTGCACTGTAGTCCCAGCTGCTCGGGAGGCTGAGGCACAAGAATCGCTTGAACCTGGGAGGTGGTGGTTGCAGTGAGCCAAGATTGCACCACTGGACTCCAGCCTGGGCGACAGAGTGAGAATCTGTCTCAAATAAATAAATAAAATTAAATTATAACAGGCAAACCGTCACTGGCCAGGGAACTCCTACGTGGAATAAACAAAGCTGATGTGTAAAGAATTCTGAGGTGTGCTTCACAGGTCACCACACACAGCTAGCCTTCTGTTGGGGTCTGGCCCAGCCCTGTGCTTGGGTAAGGACAGAAGGCTCTGGGTGACGCTCCGTGAAGGAGAACCCAGTTGCTGGGCATTGTCTCTTGTGCGGTGATGCTGATGCCTATCCTTTGGTCTCATGCCTGGCTCTGCTTTGCTGCGCAGCTCTGTCTCCCACTCCGTGCTGTCTGAGATGCAGGTGATTGAGCAGGAAACCCCAGTGAGTGCAAAATCCTCTCGCTCGCAGCTGGACTTGTTTGACGATGTTGGTACTTTCGCCTCTGGACCCCCAAAGTAAGGCTGTTTTCTAGCTGTAAACTTGGCTGCTGTGTTCCTCATCAGGCTTCTCTGAGCCACTCTACTGTCTCCCTAGGTACAAGGACAATCCCTTTTCCTTAGGGGAAAGCTTTGGCTCCCGCTGGGATACAGATGCTGCCTGGGGTATGGACAGGGTAGAGGAGAAGGAGCCAGAAGTGACCATCTCAAGCATCCGGCCTATTTCAGAAAGGTAGAGTGGGCTGTTTTTTCTTTTTTCTTTCTTTTTTTTTTTTAAACAAGCTGAAGGTAGAGAATTCTAAGGCAGCACTGTCTAGAAGAACTTTCTGTGTTGATGGGAATGTTCTCTGTGTTGTTTAATATGGTAGCCACTACTATGTGGCTATGAGCCCTTAAAATGTGGTTGGTGCAACTGAGCAACAATTTCTGATGTAGTTTAATTTCTGATAAACGTAAATAGCCACCAGTGGCTGGTGCCTGCCTCATTAGACAGGGCAGCAGTCAGGCTTCGGTTTGAGTTGTGCTTTGTCATCATAGAGGGCCTGGCAGCTTCTTTTGCTTGGGGTCCATTTCTCTGGCCGGAGGAGCCTGATTGTATGCTTCAGTCCTGACCTCCTTTCAGGGGTTTTATGTCTCCAGCCCCCTTCTTATTTTTTAAAACCCTACTCCATCTTAATCTGGGATCTGTTTAGTTGACATAATATCTGTGAGTTATCCCCGTATAAAATGGGAACGTAACTACTTCATAGGGTCTCCGGAAATACCTGGCCCAGTGTCCACATACTCAGCGTGAGATGAGAGCAACCATCTCCCTTTCCACACCAGGATGCTTTTGAGAGTAAAGGGGGCAGTTTGCTATTCATAGTTATGACAAGAGTAGGTATAAAGCCAGGCAGACCGACACATATGCTCATTGTAGTACTAGGCAAGTTGTCACTAGGATTAGGGTAGCAGCAGTTGTGTGGCCTCCTGAATGCTGACGAAGCTGTGTGCTTTTGGGCAGGAGCCTAGGCCACTGCAGGCTGTATTTCCACCCTGCCTAGTGCAGGTTCCTAAGCTCTCTGGGCCTTGGCCTCAATGTGGAGAAGGGTGACTCCTCACCAGGGGAGAGGGGCCCAGAGCCACAGAGCCACAGACAGAATGGGACCTGGTAACCCATCACCAAAAGGCCACTGGTGCTCTGTTTGGCCTCTGTACTCTGCCTCCCCTGATGATAATGGGAGGAGTCCGAGATATTCCACATCTTCCCCTCAGAGCCACAAACCGGAGGGAAGTGGAGAGCCGGAGCTCAGGCCTCGAGTCTAGTGAGGCGCGTCAGAAATTCGCAGGAGCCAAAGCCATCTCATCTGACATGTTCTTTGGGCGGGAGGTGGATGCAGAGGTAAGTGGGGCTGTCTGCCCTGAGGTCCGAGGCAGCAGGCAGAAGCATGAGCTTTCTCCCTGCCGCTGCTTTGGGCTTTAGCACCAGGAGGGCCTGGCCTGTGTGAGTCCTTGGGTCATCAGCCCCAAGATCCCCAGGCCTGGCCTTTTCCTCACCACAGTATGAGGCCAGGTCTCGGCTGCAGCAGCTCTCAGGCAGCAGTGCCATCAGCTCTTCAGACCTCTTTGGGGACATGGATGGAGCTCACGGAGCAGGTAGGGCCCTGGTGGGGTGGCAGGCACCAAGTGAGGCCTGGGAGCAGGGCGGGAGGGCCCTGCTGTGACTGGGAAGGGCTTCTTGCTGGGCTCTGGGTCACCCTGCTCTTGTTTTACAGGAAGTGTATCTCTGGGGAACGTGCTGCCTACAGCGGACATTGCCCAGTTTAAGCAGGGTGTCAAGTCTGTGGCTGGGAAAATGGCTGTGCTGGCCAATGGTGTGATGAATTCCTTGCAGGTGAGGCTGAAGTGGGGCCTAATGAGGAGTGCTGGGAGGTTTGCCCTTCGCCACCACATAGAGACACTGCTACTGCTCAGCCCCTCTGAGCCTTAAGAGCATTTTCGGCCGGGTGTGGTGGCTCACGCCTGTAATCCCAGCACTGGGAGGCTGAGATGGGTGGATCACTTGAGGTCAGGAGTTTGAGACCAGCCTGACCAACATGGCAAAACCCCGTCTCTACTAAAAATACAAAATTAGCTGGGCATGATGGCGTGCACCTGTAATCCCGCTACTCGGGATGCTGAGGCAGGAGAATCGCTTGAACCTGGAGGTTGTAGTGAGCTGAGATCATGCCACTGCACTCCAGTCTGGGTGACAGGAGTGAAACTCTTGTCTCAAAAAAAAAACCACAAACGAAAAAGCAAGAGTCTAGAGAGAGGCATTTTCTTGGAGGGCAGCTTCCTTCCTTTCAGCTCCGTGCCAGGGCCGGGCCTCTCCAAGATGCCTCTGTGTCTGCCATGATCTTCCCTGGCCTTGTCACCTGTACCGCTCTTTCTCTTCTCTTCCCAGCTTCTGTGAGGCCAGGCAGGGCTTCCCTGTTGTCGGGTGCCCGAGTGGCCGCTGCCCCAGCTCTCACCGTGGACTCCTGCCTCACCGGGCTGTCCAGCCCCTGCCTCCCCAGTCTTGCTGTGGGGTGCTGGGGCAGGCAGTGTGTTTGCTGGGAAGCTGCTGCAGCTTAGAGCCTCTGACTTTTTTTTTTTTTTTCTCCCCCCTCGCCCCCAGGATCGCTACGGTTCCTACTGATCCGAGCTCTGTGACTCAGGCTTACGATGGTGACGGCAACAAGAACTCCACAGTTCCCAGGCTGGGGATGCTTTGCCTTGTGGAAGCTGGGGAGGATTTGTTACTTCGTATGTGTGGTGTGTGTGTGGGGTGGCCTTTGAGGCGCTCACTCCTGTGAGGGGAATGGTCAGTACCAGCCCTTGTCCTCTGCCTGTGGACTGAGCCCTTTATTCCCTCTCACACCACCCTCCGTGTGTTAGACTCTTGTCCTTCTGTCCTGCCCCCACAGCTGCTGCTCACTTATCCTGCCATACTGGGAAAGGGGGTTCCCCCACGATGGCTTATTCTGGGTCCAGACTTTCCCCAGGTAGGGAAAGCGGAAGGTAGAAGGCTTTTTTTGCTGGCTCTAGGGTTCTTCTAGTTCGAGGCCTTGGGTCCCCATCCTCTGGAACCAGGGGGAGGCCTGGAAGGAGTTCACTGTAGACCCGTCCCATGGGGAAAGAGGCTGCGGACTTGCTGCTGCTGCTGCTGCCAGTGGCCTCTTCTGGGTGCCAGGAGAGGGGAAGGACCTTTGTCTGGGCGTTACCAAGGGCTGGAAACTTTACCTGGTACCTAAAGGTTTCATTTGGGATCAGACCGGAGACCCTTGGGTTCTCCCGTCTCACCACCCCTTTCTACAGTAAGCACTTGGAAGATTGTTTCAGGGTGTCTCAGGGTCCCTCTGTACCATCTGCTGTGGAATGCAGGACCCTCTGTGACATTCTTTATCCCTTCTTCCCCGGGTTGGTGGCCATGGAGGGTCTTGTCTGCTGTGATTCGACTCTGGATGCTGTGAGCTTGATGCTGGCCAGGGAAGCAGAGGATGTGAGAGGCAGAGGCAGGCTCCTGGGGCTGAGCTCCTTCCTCTGCATCATTCTGGGCTTGGCCTGGACAGCACCCGCCAGTGAGAGCTGTGGGCCTCACCCTCTGGCAGCTGAGCCAAGCACTGTCATTCTTGGTGCCATCTTCCCCTGCCGCACCGGCAGTCTCAGCCCAGCCCCCACCTTTGGGTTGTAGGTTGGGCTCCCAAGCAACACAGACCACTCTTCCCCTTGCCCCTCCCCCAGAGGGACTTGACTTTCTTTCTGGACTGTTTGTATTGAAACAAAGTGGTGTCAAAATAAAGCCCCTGCAGGGCCTGGCTCCCTGTTGGTCTGAGTGAAGCAGTGTCCTCTGGATCCTGCCTCCCTGCCCAGTGCCGGCCCCTGGCCTCACTCTCTGGGCTCCCACCGGTAATGGTAGGGCGTCGGTACCGAAGCTGAGGACACTCTCTCCAGGGCCTCCTGCTTCTCTCTTCTCTGAAAGCCAAAGGCCCCTGGCTCCTTGGCTCTGTGCTGCCGTGAGGTCCGGTGCAGCTTCGACCTCACCACCCTGTGGCACGCAGAGGAAAGAGCTGGCATTAGTTGGCCCTTTAACTCGCTGGCTGAGGGCGAGCGAGCAACCTCAGCAGTCCTGCCCCTTGTCACGGCAGTAGGCTTGACTGGGGATGGGTTTCAGTGGAGTTTAAGAAATATTTAACGCCGGGTACAGTGGCTCATGGCTGTCATCCCAGCACTTTGGGAGGCTGAGGCGGGTGGATCACTTGAGGCTAGGAGTTTGAAACCAGCCTGGCCAACATGGTGAGACCCCATTTCTACTAAAAATACAAAATTAGCGGGGTGGGGGCGGTGTGGTGCATGCCTGTAATCCTAGCTACTCAGGAGGCTGAAGCAGAAGTCACTTGAACCCGGGAGGCAGAGGTTGCAGTGAGACTAGATCGCGCCACTGCACCCCAGCTTGGGTGATAAAGTGAGACCCTGTCTCAAAAAAGAAAAAATTACATATATATACATACACACACATACTCTTAGACGTTAATGGGACCCTTTAAATTTAGGGAAGAAAAGGTGTGTGTTTGTGTGTAAATCCTTAGCTTGGCCACCCCTTTCTCTTGGGGGCTTCTGAAACATCTCTGTGCCACCTTAGGAGTCCTCACGGTAGTTACAGACCACTGGTCTGGGAAGTGGATGATTAGAAAGGATGGGCAGAGGGAGCCAGGGGGCTGTAAGCCAGGGATTTGCAGAGTGTAGGTTTGGGACTCATTCAGCTTTGGGATCATCTGGAATTTCTGGACTCCATCCCAAGTTGATAGAGTTAGACTCTCTGGAGCTTGGTAATTTGCATCGTCAGTAGGCTTTCCTGTGATTCTGAGGACACCAGGATTTGAGAACCATGTCTCTTATGGGCTGTGCATCATTGTGGGCCTACAGAGCTCATCACGCAGCCTGAGCTTTTTTTTTTTTTTTTTTTTAAGATGGTCTCATTCTGTCAGTCACTCAGACGGGAGTGCAGTGGCACGATCATGGCTCACTGCAGCCTCAACCTCCTGGGTTCAAGTGATCTACCTCGGGTCTCCCAAGTAGCTGGGACTACAGGTGCAAGCTACCATGCCTGGCTAAGGTTATTTTGTAGAGATAGGGTCCTACTATGTTTCCCAGGGTGGTCCTGAACTCCTGGGCTCAAGCAGTTGGCCCACCTTGGCCTCCCAAAGTGCTGGGATTACAGGCAATGAGCCACTGCATCCTGGAGCAGCTTCGGGGCTGGAATGCCTAGTCTTGGCCTCAGCTCTGCAGGGGTTTGGGAGGCAGTTCCTGTAATGATCCGTTCTGGGTAGGGATGAGCCCAAGGAAATGTGTATGCCTAGTAGTGGTGACATCCACCTTCAGAGGAGGCAGTCCTGTTCTGCTTGGGCTTCTGGGTGGGTTTTGCTTTCTGGGGGACCCCGCCCCTTCAGCCCTCAATCCAAAGAAGTTGAAGACACTCGTCCTTACCTGCCTCCAGTCTTGGCTGGGATGTGTCTGCCCCAGGCTGTGTCTGTCTGTCTTTCACAGCTGCATCCCACTGTTCTAACCCCAAGCAGGTGCTTGGCAAATGTTGACTGAAACCCTGGCTGGAAGGCTGTGCAGTATTAACCCTTTATGGCCACGGTCTTTAAAGTTATGGGAACCTGGCCTTGAACCCTCTGAACCTGTTTCCTGAAGGCCGTTCCAGCTGTGAGCACTTTTCCTCTGGAAGGTTGCTCTTGTGCGAAGCTAGGCCCCTCTGCTCGTTGTCTGAGGCAGGTCCCCAGGTCTGAGTGGGCCACTGGCCTACCTCCTAGTCCTACCAGAAAAGCACCGAAAACCCAAACTCCCCCTCTCCCTTCTCCCCTCAGCCTAGGAGCTTTAGACTCACCAGTTACCAGACATGAGGGACTTTTTATTCGTTTCACATGTTTGTTTAGCTATTAGACACAAAGGGGTCAAGACTTGAAGCAGTTTTTGCAAGTGAAATCATCTTCTGGCCCACCCTTCATATTACCAAGGCTACTGGCTGTTCTCCAACAGGCCACAGCGGTTATGTCCTCCTGGTACTTGCGTCGCAGGTGTCACCCTTGATGGTGCAAGGCCCTGCGTGGCTATTCGGGTTCTCCCCCTTAATGGAGTTGCTGTGAGGAGATGAACCTTATTGGGGGACCCGCAGAGGCTGGCTCAGAAGAGACTGCTCTTAAGAGGTTAGGAGGACTAACAGGCTACGGCGTGACAAGGTGGCCTCAGCACAGTCTGTCAGCTTGGGGCCTAAGTGAAGTTCACAGGCTGATAGGGCCAGGGAGAGCAGGCCATTCACCTTCCGGGGCCACTGGCTGGGCTGATCATCAGAGCCCCTCTGGCTGGTCTTGGGGCTGTTATTCACCTTGTCAGCAGCAGAGGGCAGCACAGCAAGGTGCTGGAGAGGAGGCTGGGTGGGCACACCAAGGGCTGGGTGGGAGCAGGTACAGGGCGCTGTGGGCAGGACCCTTTGGACTCCTCAAGTCTCCGACTCGTCTGTCTCTTCAGTGGAGCCATCACTCTCTCCATCCACTTTTCGGGAATGATGGAGAGGTCTCCAGGGAGAGCCAACCCGGGGAGGGGTCCGGGAAGGCAGGCAACTGGCCTCTGGACTGGCTGTGACCGAGTTGACCAGGCCTGGGACCTGGGCCAGCCTGAAGAAGGGAAGAAGCCTGGAGGGCAGCGAGAGGCCTCCTGTACAGAGAGCAGGGCCTCCATGCCCACTCTTAACACTAGGGTAAACCCCTGGGCTGCAGCCCCCAAAGGACTCAGAGGGAGGGACACCTCAGGCCTCCACTGGCCCCCAGACCCTTCCCTGGCAGATGTGGGATGTTACAGACAAGTGGTGTTGGCCCCAGATGGGGCACAGCCGTGTCCGACCCGTCTGGCCCCCACAAGGGGGCAGTATCCTCCCACTTGACACTTACAGCCGTTCCAGCTCTTCATCCATTGCTGGGTCGTGCATCAGATCCCCCTTGTCAGGCAAAGCTCCTAGGAGATCATTGGGGGCACAGTAGTTAATCTGAGGGCCCTTCAGCCAGGCAACAGATTCCTCCATGCCCCTCACCTTCACGGCTGCCTGTTCTGCTGACCCTGCGAGGGCCGATCTAAAGATCTGAGGACTGCTAGAGGGGCCAAGAACAGTCACGGAGCAGGAAGGTGCTCGCTGTTGCTTGATACATTTATTGAATCCCACTGCCTACTTTCCCTGCCTGGGGCAGACACCACAGCCAAGGAGTGTGGTGATCCCCTTCCAACACCAGGTGGTGGTTGTGACCTGGTGCTGGGAGTTGAGTTCCTTCTTGAGGCCTCAGGTACTGGGCTGAAAAGGATATGGTCCAGGCTAAGCCCAAAGGTCAGACATTACCTAATTTTGTGTCCCTAAATCAGGATGACCCCACTTTGGAGACAGATGGTTAAAAAAAAAATGCTGCCTCTGCTTCTCCAAGGAGGATCCCAGGGGCAAGAGGAGAAGGCTGGGTCAGGGCCAGAATTAACCCGGCACAGGCAGATTTCCCCTTTTTCCAAATCTTTTTCAGATGATGCCTCCTGGCCCCTCTTGCCCTAAGTTAGTGGTTTTCAAAGTACATCTCATAGAACCCTCTCATTTGTGGGGTGCCCTGGGGACTAAGGGAACAGGGCTGACCTCCGTGACGCGTCAACCAGTGTATCTCCGGATTTCTATTTCATACGCTGGAGATGCAGGTGAGGCCTGAGACCACATGCTTCTTTCTGTCTCCCATTCCATCCAACCACCCAATGTTAGTGTGCAGTAAAAGTGGTTGAATGAGAGTGACTTTTTTTTTTTTTTTTTTTTTGAGACAGAGTTTTGCTTTGTCACCCAGGCTGGAGTGCAGTGATCATGGCTCACTGCAGCCTCGACCTCCCATGCCCAAGCGATCTTCCCACCTCAGCCTCCTGCGTAGCTGAGACCAATGGTACATGCCACCACACCCAGCTAATTTTTGTTTTTTTTCTAAAGAGACGGGGTTCTCCCTATATTGCCCAGGCTGGTCATTAACTCCTGGGCTCAAGCAATCCTCTTGCTTTAGCCTCCCCAAATGCTGGGATTACAGGTGGAGCCACCATGTCTGGCTATTAGTGTTTATTTATTTGATGGAGTTTCGCTCTTGTTGTCCAGGCTGAAATGCAATGATGCGATCTTGGCTCACTGCAACCTCCGCCTCCCTGGTTCAAGTGATTCTTCTGTCTCAGCCTCCCCAGTAGCAGGAATTACAGGCATGTGCCACCACAACTGGCTAATTTTGTATTTTCAGTAGAGACGGGGTTTCTCCATGTTGGCCAGGCTGGTCTCGAACTCCTGACCTCAGGTGATCCGCCGCCTCGGCCTCCCAAAGTGTTGGGATTACAGGCGTGAGCCACCACACCCAGCCAGTGTCCTTTTTAAAGGCCCTTAGAAAAGGGGGATGAGGTTACTTCAGGCTGTGACCCAGTTGCTAATTGGCTTCTCCTTCCTAGTGGCTGCTACTGGTGGGAAGAAAGAGTGGTCATAACGAGGAGTATGAAAGAACACCAGGGCAGATCCCACCCGCCTCCCCCTTACTCTTGATTCCTGACTCTCGCCTGTTTTTGTTTTTTTTTTCTTTTTTGAGACTGTCTTGCTCTGTCGCACAGGCTGGCGTGCAATGGCGTGATCTCGGCTCACCGCAACCTCCGCCTTCTGGGCTCAACCGATTCTCATGCCTCAGCCTCCCGAGTAGCTGGGATTACAGGTGCGGGCCACTATACCCAGCTAATTTTTGTATTTTCAGTAGTGATGGGGTTTCACCATGTTGGTCAGGCTGGTCTTGAACTCCTGACCTTAGGTGATCCACCTGCCTCAGCCTCCCAAAGTGCTGGGATTACAGGCGTGAGGCACCACGCCTGGCCTGTCAATTGCCTCCTTTCTAGTCTTAGTCCAGTGGGTAACCTTGGCTACCAACTTCAGTTGAGGGCTCCCCAGACCTGTGCATGCCCCAAGCACTGACTCAGAATAACCAGGCTGTGGGTGGCATGCAGTTCAGCCTGCTGGGGTTTGTGCTTGTGTATCCCAGAGCATCCCTGGCTAACTGTATATTGTGTAAGATAAAAAATATAAAGCATCCAGCACAGTACTTAGCCTGCTGTGGTTGGCATTTAGTGAATGTTAACTTTCCTTCCCTTAATCCCATTCCCTCAACTGGCAAAAGGAAGGGGGATGCTGTGTGTCTTTTCCTTGAGACTCAGGCACCTGGGATCCCAAGCACAGCAGGAGGATCTCTCGAGACACAAAAAAGAACTCCTTGCTGGGCGTAGTGGCTCACAACTGTAATCCCAGTACTTTGGGAGAGCAAGGTGAGGGGATCCCTTGAGCCCAGGAGTTTGAAACCAGCCTGGGCAACATGGTGAAACCCAGTCTGTACAAAAAACACAAAAATTTTCCAGGATGGTGGCGCATGCCTGTAGTCCCAGCTACTAGGGAGGCTGAGGTGAGAGCATCACTTGAGCCCGGGAGGTCGAGGCTGCAGTGAGCTGAGATTGTACACAGCACTCCAGCCTGGGCAACAGAGCGAGACTCTGTCCCAAAATAAAACAAAAAACAAAAAACCTTAAACTGTAGTAGAATGGAGGCTTACTGGCTCTTCTCTTAGGAGAGCAGTGGCTGTGGGAGGAGGAACAGTGGGGTGGGTGGAGAAGGCTCAGTGAAAAAAAACAGCAGGCAGGAAAAACTGGGCCACTGCAGACTTCCCCTACTTTTGTTTTTCTCCCTTTCAGATTAATCAGATTTTTTTTTTCAGCTTGGAAAAAAGGTCTCCGCAGACACACCTGTGCCTTGTTTATAAATGGGATTCAGGTCTCTTTGATATATAATCTCTAGCGTCACTGAGTAAATAGTCCTGTGTCTGCCCGACCTGCAGGCTGCTCCCCAAAGCAGAGCTGGGGTTCTCTGAGGAGGGGCTGGGCGCTTCTGCTATGGGGAGGTGGTTTCATGTTGGGGCAGGGCTGCAGGCAGGGAGGGCTGTCCCCTACCATGGGAATGTGTAAGAGCCATGTTTTGTCGCCATATTCCTGCTCCCTGGGATTGAGTCCGGCCCTGGGAAGTCAAGGCAGAGATGGTGATGCCCCTTCCCCTCTGGAGCCGTGTTGCTAACAGAGGCCAGCTGCTCCCTGTGTTGTGCGGCAGGAGAGGCTGACGGCTGCTTAGCTCTGACTTACCGAGGGCTTGGTTGATTCCACGGTGCTTTGAGAGAGCCATGAGGAATCCATAGAAGGTCAGTCTCTGAACATTGCTGAGGGCCTCTTTGACAAGTGCTGGGGGTGGGCAGCTAAGAAGGAGAGATGCCACATTCAGAGCCTAGCCAGCCTCAGGGCCACCTCTGCATCCATACTTTCAGGTTCATGAGGATACCCACAGCCAAGCCAGGGACCTGCCTTGGGAGCCCCAAGGCCCTGGGGGATCAGGCCTTCACTATGGTCAGGAGGGGCTGGCATGTTCACTAACTGGTGCTTTCACCGGGGTGGGGAGTGGGGGTGGGAAATGGCTACGGGAAACCAAACCTGTTGCTCAGTCCCTAAGGGTACTTGTGCCACACAGGACAGCTTACCCCTCTCTTTGTGTAGAAAAGTTTTATACAAGGAGTACTCTTTCCTTCTCTCTAAAATGTTAAGGCCAGTCTGTCACCCAGTAAATTGGTCAACTACAGTGGTCTTGCCTGAGTGAAAGCAGTCCTTTTGAAGTGAGCTAATTGAGAGCCTTTCAGTCAACAACTGGTTTGGGGGCAAATGGCACTGTTACATTATGACCAGCAAGGGCCCTAGAATGCCTGGGCCGCGCAGAACATCCTGCGGAGCTCTGTTCCGCAGCCAGCAGTCCGACCCCCTGGGGCTGGGGGGCTGGGGGCTGCATGCCCGTTCCTCACCTGTACTTGTGCCGATCACACAGGTTTTCCAGACACTGGTAGAACAGCGACGCCTCCACGCCCTCCAGCGTGCCGGCCCCGCCCAAGGCAGGTCGTTGGCGGTGCTGCCCACTGGACGACGTCGGCACAATCACTGTGTTGGGGTTCTTGCCTGACAGCAGGTCCTCATAGATGGCAGCCACACTGTCCAGGAATTCTGGAACCGTGGGGGTGGGGGTGTGGGTGTGGACGGCTCAGGCAGGGAGGACATGTTTTGTCTGTTCACTATGTCTTCCCTTCTCTGTCAGCCCAGTTCCACACCAGCCTCAGTGCTCAGGGCATGGTGTCCTGAGAGCAGAAGTTCTCAACCTTGTTTGACAACACATTGATGAGAGATGACACTAATCTGTGTTTTTGCTCAAATGTCCCATCCTTGGCTCAGTTGTTCCTGGACCAGGTGAGACCTGCCATTGCACACTTTCATAGCACCATAGGCTTTTTTTTTTCTGGCACTTAGCCAGTGAGGAGCTTTCTGTGTCATTAATTGTCTAATCTGTCTCCTTGCTGGAATGCACAAAGGCGGGGTCATGCCTTGTTGGCCTCTCCTGCCTAGCACTGTGCTTGGCACATATTAAGGCCATAAATATTTTTTGGAGGAGTGAACATGAGTATGCTCCCACTGGTAAGCCCCATGGTGTGTGGCCACCTGCCTCTCTACCTCAAGAAAGCGTGTTGGAATACCAGCGAGGAACAGAGAAAGCCTGAAAGCTGCTGATGAGTCAGTCATTTGAAATGGTTTTCAAATTTCGTAGTTGAGCCATTGTTAGAACTGCTGACTTATGGCCCATCTCGTCTCTACACACACCGCTGGGCAGTGTCAGTAATGCTCCCAGCCCAATGTGGTGGCTGTCCCATCCCTCTGGGGGTGCTGTGAGAAGAGGGCTGGGGAGACAGTGAGGGAAAAATGTTCTCCCAGACATGGCTGCTCCTTCTCTAGGGCCCAAGAGCTTCAGAGAAATGGGAAATGACTGGTGCTGCTAAGAGCAGGTGGCGAGACCCCAGGCTCCAGCCCCTAACTGTACAGCCCTTGGGCTGCCATCAAGTAAACAGAATGTGGCGCCCAAATGAGGCCAGGGCTGGCTGGGGACACCAGTTGGCAGGAAGGCCACCTCTAGGATCTAAGGACAGCCTTCTATTTACTGGAAGAGCCTGTTTTAAGCAAGTTTGTTTATGAACACAGTCAGCAATTTGTAAACCCGGCACTCCATTTGATGTCTCTGTGCGTGAGCTGGTGTATATTTATATTTATTTGTCTATATTTATTCCATCTGATTCCAGAGAGACTTAAGGGTGCAGCTGTGTGAATTGGGGAGCAGAGTGGGAGTGTGACAAAGGACTGGTGTATGCTTTTTTAAAGCTGTGGGGTGGAGGAGAATGTGCACCCAAACGCACGATCAGTTGCCAAGGGAGAGACCCTTGAAGGCAGTAAAATAGCAGCGAGGTTGGGAACGCTGGCTTTGGAGTCAGCCTTCAGGTCTGGTCTCCACCACTTATGAGCTGCATGACTGGCTACTACTTCTGTGAGCTTGTCTCTGAAAGGACTCTCTCTCAAGGCTGTTGTCAAGATTAAAGTCAGTGCTGTGCCTGGGACATAGTAAGTTTTCAGTAAGCAGTGAATGCTGTGGATGCTATGGATGTTGTTATTGTCATTATCACTTAAACTGATTTGTTGCGTTGCTGACTGAAAACACTGCGGTGTTCAGTGTCTTCAGGAGGCTGAGGAAGTCGGCTCTGCAGACTGAATCTTGTGACCACCACTGAACACTAGACATCCTGTTAGCGACCCGCAGTGAAGCACACCCCCAAAGGAAGTGGGGAAGAGAAACGTGTGTGCCAGGCACACAGATGGGCAGGGCAGCAGGGCAGGACAGGGAGACAGGGTCCTGTGCGGAGCCAGATGGAGCCCCGGAACACTCACCTGAGTAGTAAAACTGGATCTGGAAGGCAAAGAGGAAATCTGAAAAAGACATCAAGCAGTCCATGGCATCGTCCATGAGCACAATCCTGAAGGGGAAAGAGAGAATCTGAGAGAGAGAATGGGGGAGAGGTTTAAGGAGGGGAGGGAGAGAGGGAGAGGGAGGAAGGGAAAAGTGCGGGGGAGAGGGAGAGAGAGAGCTGTTCCTGGGCCGCCAGTCTCCCCTGGGGCAGCAGGACATTTAGGAGAGGGCTCCCAAAAGCAAGCTCCTCCCAGTCACCTCACTGCTCCATCAATTGGACTCTGCCACCAAACTGAACTGACCACACTGTACCCAGAGCGGGCTCCCGGTTCAGTCTCAGTGGCACCAGCTAGCGGATGGAGCATGGGCAGGGGGTGGCGAGGAGAGGGTGCAACTGTAATGCAGCCAAGGTTTCTTTTCATATACTTAAGCAGTAAATCCTTTCATTCTGCCGTGAGGACCATTTAGTTCAGAATAAATACAGCTGATCAGAAAAGGCAAAAAGAACAGCTAAGGGGTTTAAAGGGTCTTGGCAAGTGGTACTGAGATTTAATAAGCTACCAAAGGGCCAGAACAGCGACAGACACCGCCACCCTGGGGCACAGATGGCAGACAAGGGGAGAGGGCAAAGAGCTATTGGGGAATCTGCACTTGTGAGGGTCAAAACCCACACTCATCTTGTGCTGCCGCCCTGCTCCTCCTTGCATCCATGTTCACAGGTTGCCCACCCAACGGTTTTCCTGTCTCTAGTCCCTCCCACTGAGGACCCACCTCACAGGAAGAAAACCGTCTGACTCATAAAGGGATCCGACCAAGGCTATGTTCATCCTCTGCTCAGCACCTCATCTGAGCCAGGACAAGAAGAGAAGGAAACGAGCGTTTGCTGGGCTCCATCACATGCCAGGCAGGCGCCAAGCTATCAGATGGGGTGGGGCGGGCCCCCAATCTGTTTCTGATCAGGTCCTTCTGGCTTTATCTTTCTTTTTTTCTTTTTTCAGTTGTTTTTGGCCAGGCGCGGTGGCTCATGCCTGTAATCCCAGCACTTTGGGAGGCCGAGATGGGTGAATCATTTGAGGTCAGGAGTTCGAGACCAGCCTGGCCAACATGGTGAAACCCCACTTCTACTAAAAATAGAAAAATTAGCTGGGCATGGTGGGCACCTGTAGTCCCAGCTACTCAGGAGGCTGAAGCAGGAGAAGCGCTTGAACCTGGGAGGCGGAGGTTGCAGTGAGCGGAGATCACACCACTGCACTCCAGCCCGTGAGACAGAGAGAGACCCTGTCAAAAAAAAAACAAAAAAAGTTTTCTTTTGCTCTCTCATATTTTTCTAAATCTCTCTCCACTTCCCTGAGTCAGAGGTTTCCCAGACTGGCAACTGGATCAGCCCCAGAGAAAGCCAGGATTGCTCACTGCTGGGGAAAGGGCTTCACAGAGACTACGATATTGTGGTGCCACTCCCTTTGCTGCGATCTTCCTGAAGAGAGACAGTGGTTCCTGCCTAGTCTTTATTGTAATACAGATAACAATAGAAGCAGGTGCCATTTCCTGAGTGCCCTACTGCGTGGCAGGCTATTGAGGTATTTAACTGCATTCGTTAAATTTTATCCCACAACAATCCTACAGGTGGGTCTTATTATTTCCATTCTACACGTGAAGAGTCTGAGGCTCAGAGGTCAGCCTGCCAAAGTCACACACACAGCTGGGGAGCTTGCTGGACTCCACAGGCCACACATCTTCCATGAGAGCACACTGCCTCTTTGAAAATAAAGCTGCAGAGCAAAAACACTAACATTTTACCTCCTAGTTTCTGTGGCTGATTTATTTTCTTTCTTGTTACTGATATGTTAGGCATCTCCTGGGGAGAACGACAGCTGCCTCCACCACCAGAGTTCAACACTAGAATTCCAGCTGGAAGAAATTCAAGGCTGGAGGGCGGGAAGAAGCAGTGCCGCTGAGGGCCACAAGAGGGTGCCCTGGTCCCTCTGTCAGTAGTTCACAGGACTAAGTGCAGTGCCAAAGGCCAAGTGGTTACCCCATCTCATAACCCAAGGAAAACCCAGGCAGCAGAACAGCTCCCTCCCCACCCAGATGGCAGAATCTGTTTTGACATCTGGATTGAGGGAGCAGGGAGACAGCAGAGAGCGGGCAGCTAGAGAGGACTGGGGTTAGCAAAGACCTCCAAACTGCAGAGGAAGAGTGAGCTCCCCCGGGAGCGCTCAGGGAGCAAGGGCCACCAGCACCTCAAAGCTTTTCCTTGGCAGGCTCAGCAGGGCAGGCAAAGGCTCTGGACATGAGAAGCCACTGACTTTCCTTTACTGCCCTGTTCTCAGGACAGCTGGAGCCCCAATAGTCTAAAGTGAATTACGACAGAACAGCACTGGGCTGTGAATATCCCCAAGCAGGAAACCACCAGGGAGCCCAAGGCTTTCCCCGTGTTCCATGGCTTCTGTTGATCATCAGTTGGAACACAGCACTCCCATAGCAGCAACTTCCACTTGCTATTTATTTACATTGTGATATAATGACACACCATAAAAGTCACCCTTTAAAAGCGTACAATTCAGTTTTTTAGTATATTCACAAAGTAGCGCCACCATCACCACTGTCTAATTACAGAAGTTACCTCCATTTGCAATTCTCACCAATAGGCCCATTCCAGAGCCTGCCTCGGAGCAGAAGCTTGAGCTCGTACTTCCCAAAGGGCTACCCCTGCCTCGCAGCCTCGCGGAAGCCTTAATGCTGAGTGCCACTAGCATCTTCCTCTTTCAGCCACAGATGGGACTAGAAGCTATAAACAGGGCACACCCTTCCAGCCTCAGAAGTGGTCTGCAGCTTTCTGCTAGGGGCCATCTTGACCTCAAACATCAGCAGTCCCTTTGGAGATGGGCCGTTGCAGAAGAGGGGGCGCACACCGTGGGAGGGTAGGAGTGTCCGTCAGAGCAGGGCAGCCCTGCAGGTGCCCTTAATACGGGTAACAATAGAGGCATTTTTTTTTTTTTTGAGTCTTGCTCTGTTGCCCAGGCTGGAGTGCAGTGGTGCAGATCGGCTCACTGCAACCTCCGCCTCCTAGGTTCAGGTGATTCTCCTGCCTCAGCCTCCCTAGCAGCTGGGATTACAGGTGCCTGTCACCATGCCCGGCTAATTTTTGTATTTTTAGTAGAGACAGGGTTTCACCATGTTGGCCAGGCTGGTCTCGAACTCTTGACCTCAAGTGATCCGCCTATAGAGGCAGGTATCTTTCCTGAGTACCCTACCTCATGGCAGGCTATTAAGGCATTTGACTACATTAATTAAATTTTATTCTACAACAGTCCTACGGGTGGGTCTTATTGTTATTTCCATTCTACAGGTGAAGAGTCTGAGTCTCAGAGACTGGGGAGCTGAAACATATGCCGAGCAGGAGGGAGTAGGGGGCGAGTGAAGCGGGTGCAGACAGAGGCGAGGGCTTTCTTTCTGGGGGACATGTGGCTGGATCCCAGCAGCACATGTATAAAGGACTGAGGGTTTTTTTTCAACTGCAAGAAGTAAGACTGGCTACCTTTTAAAAAGCCAAATGGATCCGAGCTTGTGTTAACAGCAACACCGGCTATGACTCTCCTCAACCAGAAACGCTGGGCATACTAGACATCCTGGAAACTTCCCCCCGCCACCCTCTGCTCCAAGCCAATCAACCAGTCACCAAGTCCTATCAATGCTATTGCTGAAATTTCTCTTGAATCCATCTACTTCTTTCCACGTCCACAGCCACCATCCTACCCCCAGCCTTCACCTCTCTTTTCTTGATGATGGCATGACCTCCTACCCAGTTTCCCTGCAACTACTCCTCTTGCTTTTTTTTTTTTGAGATGGAGTCTCACTCTGTCACCAGGCTGAAGTGCAGTGGCTCACTGCAACCTCCGCCCCCTAGGTTCAAGCGATTCTCCTGCCTCAGCCTCCCGAGTAGTACTGGGACTACAGGCGTGCGCCAGCATGTCCAGCTAATTTTTGTATTTTAGTAGAGACGGGGTTTCACCATGTTGGCCAGGATGGTCTTGATCTCTTGACCTCATGAGCTGCCCACCTAGGCCTCCCAAAGTGTTGGGATTACAGGCGTGAGCCTTCTTCTAATTGAGTATCCATCCTGTGGGCAGAAAGATTTTCCTAAAATGTGAATGTGACCATTTTACCATTGTGTTGGAAACCCTTCACAGAGGCCGGGCACAGTGGCTCATGCCTGTAATCCCAGCTACTCAAGAGGCTGAGGCTGGAGAATCGCTTGAACCTGGGAGGTGGCCATGTCAGTGAGCCAAGCTTGTGCCACTGCACTCCAGCCTGGATGACAGAGCAAGACTCCATGTCAAAAAAAAAAAAAAAAAAAAACCTTCACAGTCTTCCCATTGCCCTTAGGACACGTTCCCCCATTTGGATCTGGCCTGTGAGCCCGCTCCATCTGCCCCCTGCCTCCCTCGACTCCCCCACTGCATTCTGGCCACACTAGTCCTTCCATCCTCCCTGAAGCTGTCCTTACTCATGCCCTCCAGACAAGTCTGTCCCTCTAGCCATAATGCTCCCTGTCCCTTCTACCCATGATGCTCCCTGCCCTCCATGCCTCCTCCTCACCTACCGGATATCTCCATATTCTTCAGGCTGAAGCCTCCACAGCATCTCTTGGGGAAGATGAAAGAGGAAAGCACCTTTTCTAACCCAGCCTAGAATAGGCCCCCCTGCTACTGGCTTCTGCAGTTCTCGGAAACCTCCTCACACTGTTGTCTTTGTCCTGGGAACATAAGATCTACCAAGTGACACCTCTGTCTCCCTGCTTGTGGCTTGACTCTGGTATGGTGTCTGGCACATAGTAGGCACTCAGTCAACGTCTGTTGAATGAAGAAATGCATGAACAAATGAGTGAGAGAAGCCACGGTCCCCTTTTCCTCTGGCCAGGTGGCACCTGGAGCAGTTTCTTAATCCCTCTCATAAAGATACTTACAATCTTTATGGAGAATGCAGACATTCAGAGGGATTAAGAAACTTGGCGAAGGTTACAAGCTAGGAGCAAAAGAGCTGTCATTCAAATACTACTACCTTCAGGTCTGGACAGTCCGTTTAAGGGGAGTAAACTAGAGTCCTGGAGAAGAGGGTCAGGCTGATGGACAGTCTAAAAACCAGGATACTGGATAAATGGCTGCATTTAGATCTTTTGCTTAGAAGTGAAGACTAGGGAGGAAGTGAAGGCTGAGACCCAACTCTCAAAGGACTGCCTCTTGGGGAGATGCCACGGGGATCTAGAGTTTGGCTCTAGAGACATTTTCAAGCTGCTTAGTTCTAGGATTGTGGCTGATTTGTAAAGGAATGAGATGTGTATTGCCAGAAATGTTCAAGCAGAAGTTTGAAGGCTCATACTTCCCAAAGGGCTTCTTCCAGCTCTGACAGTGTTGTCCCAAGGGTGGACAGAACTAACAGCTCCTCCTGTTAGTGTTAAATCTAGTGGGGGGACAGTTTGATGTTCAGAGGTCTATGGCTGCAGAAGACTTACTGAAAGGTGCTTTTAATCACATCATATGCTGTGCTGTCTGTCTCCAAATGAATGCTGAGACCATGAAAGTTCTAGGCATCTGTGTCTTTAACCCACCTATGGGATCTTTCTGGCTGTGGGCATCTGCATCTTGCTTTGGAATCTCAGCAGAACTATGGGAAAAGGCAAGCAGGAAGCTCCTGGTCTGTCTTTGCCTCTTTGCCTTTGCCTGCAACCCTTCTATCCCCACAGACAGCTCCTTCCTTCTGAACTCAAGCTCATTGCCACTCCCAGAGGGCTCGGGAAAGAATCTTCTTGGAGACGAGGTCATCCCCATGTGCTGTTTTCCAGTTGCTGGCAGTTGGCTCAACACCCCTTCCTGCCAGAGGCCTTCTGCTAACGTGCCAGCTGCTTCTGACACCTGGAGGTGCCCGGCCGCCCCTGCTTTGAAGTGGAGCCAACAGGGAGCTGCTGCCAGTGAGAGTCTGCACAAATCTATTGGATCATGGAGGGACCCTTGCGGACCATGCCTCCGGGCTAGAGAGAGGGACTCTTGGGGAGAAGTAGAGGCACTTTGGTTCAGGCTGTGCTGAGCAGAACCATGTGTGGGGTGGAGCCTAGGACAGGCAACTGGAGTGGAGAAAGAGCACGTGGCTGGTCTGAGAGACTGGCCACTTTCTCCCTCCCCTGCTGACTTCCAGCAGCTGGGATAGGCAGTCTGGCTGGGAGTTCTAAGGGTGCCAAGGAAGCAACAGCTTCCAGCCTGAACCTACTGACTTGCCAACTTCCTATTCACCCCTAATTAGGGTCAGTTTCCCTGGTCTAGTGGCACGGGCTGCACCGGTTTTCCTGAAGTTCTGGATTAGTTGACCCCAGGATTAAGTCCTAGTTCCACTACTCACTGGCCAAGTGACAATTTCCCTCTGAGCCTCAGTTTCCTCATCTGTGAAGAGGATATAATCATAGTTCCTGTTTCCCAGGATTCTTGTGGAGAGTCAGCATGATGATGTTATATATGCTAGTGTCTAACAGGTGCTCAGAATGAGCGCCGGCTGTAATCAGTAAGTATATTCTATCTGGTTTAAAGTGCTGGGAGAGCCCAAAAGAGCAAATAAAAATAGAGCCCAGAGGAAATGCGTGCTGCCAGCATCCACCAGGCAGAGGTCTCAGGCAGAAGCCAGCGATCTAGTTTCCAGTTTACTTTTGGGGGAAGCCAGCCCTCAGCCACGGCCAGAAAGAAGAGCCACTTTCCATGACTGGACTTCTTTGAGGAGGTCACATGACTAGTGTCAGTCATGTGGTGGCTGGAGGGTGTCCCCAAATCAAGGTGTCAGTCATGGGGTGGCTGAAGGGTGTCCGCAAGTCAAGGTGTCAGTCATGGGGTGGCTGGAGGGTGTCCTCAGGTCAAGGTGTCAGTCATGGGGTGGCTGAAGGGTGTCCCCAGGTCAAGGTGGCAGTCATGGGGTGGCTGAAGGGTGTCCCCATGTCTGTTTGGGCTCACAGTGCACCTCTAGGGTTTTTGTTTGAATGTCAGGGCCATGAGAGAAGCAGCGATGACACGATGTCTGGTTACCTTCTCCAGGTGGGAGGAAAAAGGCCGCTATGAAGGTGTCCTGGGCCATTTCCTGAGGGTTGCTCCTCTTCTGGACTGTGTTGGAGGCACACTCGTGCTGCACAAGCTGCCTCTAGCCTAGGGCCTTGAAGTGGCGTGGGGTGTCCAGGTCATTGCTCTGCCCTAGCTCCAGCCCGCACCTCCAGGGTATCCCAAACCCTACTTGCCCTGAAATGCCTAAGACGCTTG
The DNA here is from genome assembly GCF_000001405.40 of Homo sapiens. Lineage (NCBI taxonomy): Eukaryota > Metazoa > Chordata > Mammalia > Primates > Hominidae > Homo > Homo sapiens. Next base: position 47,147,950 of record NC_000011.10, on the reverse strand, counting down.
ATCCAGAGGGTGTGGGAAACAATATGATGATGATGATAATAATAGTGAATATTCACCAAGGGCTTACTCTGTCAGCACTACACACCCATAAGTTCATTTTCTGCTCGTATTAATCCTATGAGGTCAGTTCAGTGAGTATCTTTATGGAGAACGCAGACATTCAGAGGAATTAAGAAACCTGACTCAGGTTACAAACTAGGAGCAAAAAAGCTATAATTCAAATACAGGCCTCTCTGACGCTAGTCACAGTTCCGAGACCACCTGCAGCCACTTCTGGTAAGAAAGAGTGGACTCTGTGCTGTCTCGTGGTAATGAAGCCTTCCTGCTGCCCCTTTCCCTTCTCCCAGCCTGAGTGTTTGTTAGAGCAGCTGCCCGCAGAAGGACTGGAAGATTTGGCCTGGGTGCTGCTGCTTCCCTGTAGACAGCCTGAAGGTGTCATTACTCTGGAACTTCCCAAGAAGCCTGAGAGCTAGGGGTGAACTGGTCCACAGACCTTAGAATAAAGACCCAAACCCAATGTATGGCCTGTAAAGCCCCACTTTCCCTCCCTCTGCCCTCAAATGCCTCAAATTCCAGACCTACTGGCTTCTCTTGGTTCCTCCAGGCCATCATTGGTGAGAGCCTAGCTTCTTTTCCATGCTGCTTACTTTCCCTGAAATGCTTTTTGCTCTCATTGCTCTCTACCTAATCCCCCCATCATTTTTTATTTAAAGGAAATGTTTAGAACCTCAGAAAACTACAGAGAATAACATAACAAACACTTGTGTCCCCACTAGCCAATTTTATCAGACCATAACGTCTTACTATCTTTGCTTCAGTTTTTAAAAGCTTTGTAAAATGCAGCATTACAGATACCATTTCAGCCACCTGTGCACCCCTCCCTCATCCTATCCTCTACCTTTCTTCCTGGGGGGATCACCATGATTTACTAAAACTTGGGAGTCTAGCATTCCTCTGCATGTCTTTATACTATAATTAACTCATGCAAATGTCTGTGTTCTTAAAACATTATATAGCTTTGTTTTGCTTTTTCTCAAACTCTGTGTCATTCTGTAACTTTGATATTTTGAGATTCATCAGGATTGATGCATATATAGCTATTCATTTTAGCTGCTGGAAAGAATTCCACAACTATGGTATGAATATGCCACACTTTATTCTTTCCTTCAGCAGAGGGACGTGCAGATTGTTCCAATGGCGGCCATTACAAACAATACTGCATGTTTCCTTATTCCCAGGAGTAGCTCTTGAACTTTAAAAATTTGCCTAAATTGTCTGAAAGTAATTGTAACAATTTACACTCCCACACACAGTTTATGAGAGTTCCCACTATTTCACATCCTCACCAATATTTGTATTATGAGACTTTAAAATTTTTGCCAATTTGATAGGTATGAAGTGGTATCTCAATTTAGTTGGGAGTTTCCTGATTACTAGTGAGTGTGGGCATGAAAATATGCCCAAAGGTTTATTACTAATGTTCTTCTGTGCATTGCCTGTTTATATCTTTGGACTATTTTTCTACTGAGATCCTTAATCTTTTTCTTATTGATTTGTAGGAATTCTTTTTTTTTTTTTTTTTTTTGAGACAGAGTTTCATTCTTGTTGCCCAGGCTGGAGTGCAGTGGCACGGTTTCGGCTCACTGCAATCTCCACCTCCCGGGTTCAAGTGATTCTCCTGCCTCAACCTCCCAAGTAGCTGGAATTACAGGCGCCCGCCACCATGCCCGGCTAATTTTTTTGTATTTTTAGTAGAGAGGAGGTTTCACTATGTTGACCAGGCTGGTCTTGAACTCCTGACTTCAGGTGATCCACCCGCCTCGGCCTCCCAAAGTGCTGGGATTACAGGCGTGAGCCACTGTGCCCAGCCAATTTGTAGGAATTCTTTATTAAAAAGTTCTTAGCTGGGTGTGGTGGTGTGCACCTGTAGTCCCAGCTACTTGGGAGGCTGAGGCAGGAAAACTGCCTGAGCCTGGGAGCTTGAGTCTAGCCCCAGCAACACAGCAAGACCCCATCTTAAAATAAAATAAAATAAAATAAAATAAAATAATTTACGGAAAGCTGAGGCAGGAGGAATGCCTGAGGCCAGGAGTTCGAGACCAGCCTGAGCAACACAGCAAGATCACTGCCCCCATCTCTACAAAATAAAAAATTAGCTGGGCTTTGTAGAACGTGCCTATGGTCCTAGCTACTCAGGAGGCTGAGGTGGGAAAATCACTTGAGCACAGGAGTTTGAGGCTGTAGTGAGCTATGAATGCACCACTGCACTCCAGCCTGTGTGACAGAACAAGACCTCATTTCAAAAAATAATAACATTTTTTAAATAATTTTTTTTGGGAGGGACAGAGTCTTGCTATGTCACCCAGGCTGGAGTGCAATGGTGCGATCTCAGCTCACTGCAACCTCTGCCTCCCGGGTTCAAGCAGTTCTCCTGCCTCAGCCTCCTGAGTAGCTGGGATTCCATAGGTGCGTGCCACCCCACCCGACTAATTTTTGTATTTAGTAGAGATGGGGTTTCTTTTTAGTAGAGACGGGGTTTCACCATGTTGGCCAGGCTGGTCTCGAACTCCTGACCTCAAGTGATCCACCTGCCTTTGCCTCCCAAAGTGCTGGGATTACAGGCGTGTGCCACCATGCCCAGCCAGAATAAGAATGCAGGCAATACAGCCGGGTGCGGTGGCCCACGCCTGTAATGCCAGCATTTTGGGAGGCCGAGGCAGGCAGATCATAAGGTCAAGAGATTGGGACCATCCTGGCCAACAGTGTGAAACCCAGTCTCTACTAAGAATACAAAAATTAGCCAGGCATGGTGGTGCGTGCCTGTAGTCCTAGCTACTTGGGAGGCTGAGGCGAGAGAATCGCTTGAACCTGGGAGGCGGAGGTTGCAGTGAGCTCAGATCATGCCACTGCACTCCAGCCTGGTGACAGAGCAAGACTCTATCTCAAAAAAAAAAAAAAAAAAAAAAAAAATGGCAGGCAATACTTTAAATCAGTGGTTCTCAACGTGTGTTTCCCAGACCATCAGTATCACCTGGGAATTTTTTAGAAATATAAATTATTGAGCCCCGCCCTAAACCTACTGAACTCTGGGGATGTGGTCCGGCCATGTGTGGTTTAACAAGCCCTGCAGGTGACTCTGATGCATGCTCAAGTTTGAGAACCAGTGCTTTAAATCTTCACCCTTGGAGCAGAGCTTCCCAACCCTTTGTCACTTCGGCCTCAAATGACTTACAGATGTGATGGTCCCCTTGGCCCAGCTGGGAGGAGGCCAGAGCCTGCAGGCCAATCACAAGAAGTCTTGTCTTTACTGGAGATTTTTGTTATATATTATTTTCTGATTGCTGTGAAGTGCAAAAAGGCCAGGAAGCATTGCCTTTGGAAACCCAGGAACATCTCATTTTTCTTTTAATCTGGTACTATTAATAATACCAACATAATTGTAACAGCAAGAAATTACTACTGGCCAGGCGTGGTGGCTCATGCCTGTAATCCCAGTATTTTGGGAGGCTGAGGTAGGCAGATCGCTTGAGGTCAGGAGTTCGAGACCAGCCTGGCCAACATGGTGAAACCCCGTCTCTACTACAAATACAAAAAATTAGCAAGGCGTGGTGGCGGGCATCTATAATCCTAGCTACTTGGGAGGCTGAGGCACAAGAATCACTTGAACCCAGGAGGCGGAGGTTGCAGCGAGCTAAGATCACGCCACTGCACTCCAGCCTGGGCAACAGAGCAAGACTTCATCTAAAAAAAAAATTATTACTGATTTAATGTCTACAATGTGGTAAGCAGTGTTCATGGTTTTGTTGGTGTTACTGAAATCTTACAAACACCCTATGAGTTAGTTACTATTATTATTATCATCCCCATTTTACAGATATAAAAACAGGGCTCAGAGAAGTTAAGAGATATCCTCAAGGTCATCCAGTTAATGGGGCACAGGTGGGATGTACAGTAGATCTTTCTAATGCCATGGGGCCTGTGTTCTTCTAGGTCAAGGTTAATATTACCATTTCTAACGATTATGACAAGTTTACTCTGTGCCAGCCACCATTTTAAGCACATCATATACTTCTCCTTCAATCATTACAACTATTATTATTCCCATTTTACAAGTGAGGAAACAGGCTCAAATTAAATACCTTTCTCAAGGGCACAGCTAGTATATTGTGGAACCAGGATTTGAACTCAAGAAGTCTGGTTCCAACTGCATGCTCTTAACCATCCAGAAAGCTTCCAGTCCATGGAGGATGGGGAGTGGGAGATGCTGTGGTGATCATCTGGGGATAAAAGAACTACTCCAGTTGCTGCAGGAATATGTGAGGTGGAGGGGATCTCTGGCTTGGCTGCTGTCATGGAGTCTGTTTGCTTTTTCTTTTCCTGTTTTTCCAGCTCACACCTGCTGCCCCAGGGCCTGGCCATGATGCTTGTAGCACATAAGGCAGGCGCATGTGGAGACACCATGCCCCTGAACAGGCTCCGGCTTCCAGCTGCATGTGGATTACATTCTTTTACGCACACATCATCACAGACTGGAGCCTGCTTCTGCAGCCTGTCCCCAGACTTCAGTGTCCTGAATAAAGTAAGCCTGGCAGTGAAATGGGAGAGGGCAGTTCCTCTTCTAGCAATAGTAACTGCCTTGAAGTCTCTACCACCTCCATTTGCAGTTCTGATCAGATGCATAGGTATGTGTGTGGGGAAGCTGGGACCCTGATCTTCAGGACAAAATGAGAATAGTTTACAAAATCAGGGGATGCTTTCTGGGATACATACAATTTTTCTACATATGCACCAGCTGCAGTACAGTGGGGAAAGCATGGCATTGGGAGGAGAAGTTGACACAGAAGCTTGATGCTCATACTCGGGGAGAAAACAAACTTATCCTAATTCTGAATTCATCTCTAACTGCAGCCAGTGCCATGTGGGTTACCCTTGGCCCTTCTGTTGTTACTGCCATTCCCATAATTCCCTCAGACTGCTATTGATATGGACTGGCTACGATGCTTCCTCCTGCTCAGACAGAAAGGTCTGAGGTGTCTGTCAAACAGCAGGCCTCTAGGTGAGGAGTGGGTAAGTTTCCAGCCGCAAATAGAGGAATACCATTCCAGAAGCCCCTTGGTATCAATAACTGTACAATTCTACCTTGGTATCGAGAATTTTTGGTTCTTACAGGATTCTACCACCTACACTCAAATCTTGTGGTGCTTTCATGTATCAGATTGTTTGGAAGGGTCTGAGGAGACAGCTGGGGCAAATGCAAAGCTGTGGCTGCGGGGGGCTAAGATGCATTTTGAAGCCTCACTCTCATAAGCTCCCTCACATCATGGGAAAGGGAAAAGAGGTCAGTATTCTGGAGTGATTGATCAAAACCAAGGTCATACGTCACAGAGTGGTGGCAGCCAATGACCAGTACCTAAGCAGTCCCCTTCTATATCAAGTTCTTTGAGGGGCAGGAACTATATCTTATTCATGACTGTATCCCCATTTGCAGAATAGCTCCCGGCACAAAATATGCACTCAAGAAACATTTGGCGAAATGAAGTACTGATACATACAGCAAGATGGATGAACCATGAAAACATTGTGCTATTAGGTTGGTGCAAAAGTAATTGCAGTCTTTGCCATTGAAAATAATGGCAAAACCACAATTACTTTTACACCAACCTAAAACATGAAACTAGTCACAAAAAAAACACTTTTTTTTTTTTTTTTGAGATGGAGTCTCACTCTGTCACCAGCCTGGAGTGCAGTGGCGCGATCTCGGCTCACTGCAACCTCTGCCTCCTGGGTTCAAGCGATTTTCCTGCCTCAGGCTCCCAAGTAGCTGGGACTACTGGCGTGCATCACCACGCCCAGCTAATTTTTGTATTTTTAGTAGAGATGGGGTTTCACCATGTTGACCAGGATGGTCTCGATCTCTTGACCTCGTGATCCACCCACCTTGGCCTCCCAAACTGCTGGGATTACAGGCGTAAGCCACTGCACCTGGTCGTGGTTTTTTTTTTTTTTTTTTTTTTTTTTGAGACAGAGTCTAGCTCTGTTGCCCAGGCTGGAGTGCAGCAGCATGATCTCGGCTCACTGCAACCTCCACCTCCCGGGTTCAAGTGATTCTCCTGCCTTAGCCTCCTGAGTAGCTGGGATTATAGATGTGCACCACCATGCCCAGCTAAGTTTTGTATTTTTAGTAGAGACAGGTTTCACCATGTTGGCCAGGCTGGGTTTGAACTCCTGACCTCAAATGATCCTCCTGCTTCAGCCTTCCAAAGTGCTGGGATTACAGGCGTGAGCCACTATGCCTGGCCAAGACCACATATACAATTCTACTTATTTGATTTTTTTTTTTTTTAAAGACAGAGTCTCACTCAGTTGCCCAGGCTGGAGTGCAGTGGCACAATCTCAGCTTACTACAACCTCTGCCCCCCAGGCTCAAGCAATTCTCCCACCTCAGCCTCCCAAGTAATTGGGACCACAGACGCACACCACCACGCCTGGCTAAGTTTTTGTATTTTTGTTAGAGATGGGGTTTCACCATGTTGAGCAATCCTCCCCACTTAGCCTCCCCAAGTGTTGGGATTACAGGCATGAGCCACTGTGCCTGGCCTCAATTCTACTTATTTGAAATGCCCAGTGGATAAATCTACAGAGCCAGAAAGTAGATTAGGGGTTGCCTAGGGTTGGGGAAGACGGTGGAGTGGGGACTGAAGAGTAATGGCTAAGGGGTGTAGGATTTCTTTTTAGGGTAATGAAAACATTCTACAATGGACTGTGGTAATGGATGCACAACTCTGGAAATATATTAAAAGCAATTGAATTTTATACTTTAAATGAGTGAAGTGTATGGTATGTGAATTGTATCCCAAAAAGCTGTTAAAAAGAAACATTTGATGAATAAACAAATGAACAAATGAATATAGGATATAGTTGTTGCAGGTTCACACCATTCTCCTGCCTCAGCCTCCTGAGTAGCTGGTACTACAGGCACCCGCCAACACGCCCGGCTAATTTTTTTGTATTTTTAGTAGAGATGGGGTTTCACCATGATAGCCAGGATGGTCTCCATCTCCTGACCTCGTGATCCGCCTGCCTTGGCCTCCCAAAGTGCTGGGATTACAGGCGTGAGCCACCGTGCCCGGCCTTAAGTTCGGTCTTTAAGGATGCTGAGTTTATCTCCCCAGATTTTGGGGCTGAATATTCCTTAAAACAATCTGGGCCCAGGCTGGCTGTGGTGGCTCATGCCTGTAATCCCAGGCACTTTAGAAGGCCTAGGTGGGCAGATCTTTTGAGGTCAGGAATTTGAGACCAGCCTGGGCAACATGGTGAAACCCCGTCTCTACCAAAAATACAAAAAAAAAAAAAATTAGCCGGGCATGGTGTGCACACCTATAATCCCAGCTACTCAGGAGGCTGAGGCAGGAGAATCACTTGAACCCAGGGAGAGGCGGGGTGAAGGCTGCAGTCAGCCAAGATTGCACCACTGCCCTCCAGCCTGGGCTACAGAGTGAGATTCTGTCTCAAAGAAAACAAACAAACAAACAAAAATGTTTTTAATAAAATGATTTCTGCCCAAAGGGGAACGATCATGGAAATTTAAAGCTAACTCCATTTGGCTGCTTTTAAATTACAAGAGATAATCTCCCATACTTTTTTTTTTTCAGTGAAGAAAAAAAATATCCAAATCTCCTTTGGATAGCAGATAAATTAAAATTATAAAACCTGAACTGCGGCTTTTACCAGTGGCCAGTTGCCATCAGGAAAGAAAATTATCCACTGAATAATGAGGGAGAAAAAAACCTACAAAATTTTGCATGTGTGATCACTAAACAGGTTTTGCACATGACCAGCAAAAGTAGGTCATGAGCTGTTAGCTGCAAAACACCGTGCCCCACCGTGAGGCTGGTGTCTGTCACTGGGAGCAATGGAGTTCCCATCTTCCAAGTCAATAGAGGAGCTGGTTGGCACATTTCAAAAGGAGCGAGGTGATTCTTGGTGCAGTGCAGCCAATGCAGCTTTGTTTTCAGTGGGTCAAACCACAAAGCAGAAATGATGCCATGACACAGGGAGGTGGGAGCATGAAGAGACTCCTTGTGCTCCCGATCCCCCATCTCTGGATTCAGGCTGACTGCGGTTCCAGTTCTGCCACTGCTACTTACAAGCTATCAGTATATTCGCACAACATTGTCACCCGTCTGAGCCTCAGTTCCCACTTCAGTGAAGTGAGCAGTAACAGTACCCTTCCCTCAACTGGGGTTCATCACTTTCATGCTCCCTTTTTTTTTTTTTTTGACGTTCAGTCTCACTCTGTCCCCCATGCTGGAGTGCAGTGGCACAATCGGCTCACTGCAACCTCTGCCTCCCAGGTTCAAGTGATTCTCCTGCCTCAGCCTCCCAAGTAGCTGGGATTACAGGTGCCTGCCACCACGCCAGGCTAATTGTTGTATTTTTAGCAGAGACAGGGTTTCACCATGTTGGTCAGGTTGGTCTCGAACTCCTGACCTCAGGTGATCCATCCACCTCGGCCTCCCAAAGTGCTGGGATTACAGGCATGAGCTACCACGCCCAGCTGCTTTCAGGCCCTTCTGGTCTCCAACCGCAACCCTCTTCATCACAAGTCACTGCCAACCCTTGCCTCCTCTTTTCTCAGAATATCCTCTAGGGGTGTGTGTGGGAGTGTGGGTATGTATTTGTGTGTGTGTTTTGTTGTTTGCCTAATACTCTCACCACCCTCCAACTCTGTCTTCAGAGCCGGAGGCTCCCCACAGAAACCACAAAGGATCATTTTAAAGGGAAGTAACAGTTTTTACAAGGATTAGGTGAGATAGTTAAGGTAAACAAATTTAAATAGAACAATGAAGGTAAATGCATTCAGTATGATATAGGGAAGGTAGGCATTCTTCGATAAACATGATTTTTGCTGTACGTCCATTTGCAACCCTAGCTCAGGTTTTTTTTTTTTTTTTTTTTTTTTTTTTTTTTTGAGACGGAGTCTTGCTCTGTCGCCCAGGCTGGAGTGCAATGGCACGATCTCTGCTCACTGCAACCTCCGCCTCCCAGGTTCAAGCGAATTCTCTTGCCTCCACCTCCCGAATAGCTGGGACTACAGGCAAGCGCAACCGTGCCTGGTTAATTTTTTGTATTTTTAGTAGAGATGGAGTTTCGCCATGTAGGCCAGGCTGGTCTTGAATACCTGGCTTCAGGGGATCTGCCTGCCTTGGCCTCCCAAACTGCTGGGATTACAGGCGTGAGCCACCGTGTCTGGCCTAGCTCAGGTTTTGAGTTAAGTAAGTAAAAGTTAACTGAGGCATAGTCCAATTACCTCATGTGGTTAAAAATTGTGAATGATGGTGAAACCCAACACAGAAATTAGGGGCTTCTAACTATTTCTGCCAAGTCCTGGTTCTGGACTGATCTTGAAAACCTTCTTCTGGCATAAATAATATAATGTGCCTTTCCTTCAACTGGGGCTTTATCACCTTTATGCCCTTCCAGTCCCCAACCTCAACTCTCTTCATCACAAGTCACTGCCAACCCTTGCCCCCTGATATGGTTAGGCTTTGTGTTCCCACCTAAATCTCAACCCGAATTGTAATCCCCAGGTGTTGAGAGGGAGACCTGGTGGAAGGTGATTGGATCACATGGGCAGTTTCCCCCATGCTGTTCTTGTGATAGTGAGTGAGTTCTGAAGACATTTGATGGTTTTATAAGCGTCTGACATTTCCCCTGTCTGTACTTCTCTCTCCTACCACCATGTGAAAAAGGTCCTTGCTTCCCCTTTGCCTTCCACCACGATTGTAAGTTTCCTGAGGCCACGCGGAACTGTGAGTCAATTAATCCTCTTTTCTTCATAAATTACCCAGTCTTGGGTAGTATCTTTACAGTAGCGTGAAAACACACAAATGCAGCCCCTCTTTTCTCAGAATATCCTCTAGGGTGTGTGTGTGTGGGGGTATTGGAGGGGTCTGGGCTTTTTCTGCCTCTTCATCTCACCACCCTCCAACTCTATCTTCAGACCCTGAGGCTCCCCACAGAAACCACAAAGGATCATTTCGCTTCCCTTTGGAAATGCAGAATGTATTATGTTTTGGGGCACATCCCAAATAGACCCCTCTCCCACTGCCAGTTTCTTCCCTAAATGCTCCTTTTTTTCATTTGTATACACTCCAGGTTTCTCTAGGAAGCAGTGGCCCACAGAGAGCTGAGTTGGTTTCAAGAGTCCAGGAGACGTACCTGGCTGCTTTCTGAGTGAGCTCCAGCGGGAAATCAGGACACAGTAATTGCAGCAAACAGTGATATTCTTTCATGGTCAGCAAATCTGAAGTGGAAATGGAGAGGAACACATTAGGTCTCTGCATTTCAAGTCACTGCCCTCTTTTTGTTCATTTCATGAGTTTCAGACCTGGTCTTGGTAGAGCTGTTCTTTTAAAAGCAAGTCAGTGTGAAGGGTATGCTAGTCTCTAACCTCCAGGTGTGAGATTTTAAGATCAGTATTTCTACAAAGCTTTTCCAGGGTGGGAGGCATCCAGTTACACCATTTTGACCAAAGGAGCTTCACTGGTATGAAAATTGGTCGGGTGAAGAGAGCAAACAAGAGAGGCACCTTCATCAGTCTTCTTTAGTTTGGTTTTCCTTGTATATAAAAATCTGGAAGAACAAGTCATTTCAAAGCCGGTTAAATTTGCTGAAATTCTCTGGCATGGTAACGTTTCCCACCACATGCCCAAAGACCATCCACAGAATATCTGGAAGCAGTACTAACGCAAACAGTCTTGCTGTGTAGGGAGAAGAGTACAGCATAGAAACCCACAGACCTCATTACTCTGTCATCCAGTACTGCAGCAGGCTGGCTTCTTTTGAATGGCTGAACACAAATCTGGTCATCCTATTATAGGAAGCCAAGACAAAGGTCCAAGATATACAGTCAAGGCAACCAAATGATTCCTGATATACAGAAGCAATGCTTTGTGCTTTGGGAGAGGTGAGCCAGGATGAGGCTCTGTGGTCCAGCAGAGAACCCAGAGAGGTGAATCTCAGAGAAATTTATAGGATCCTGAGGGAGAAGAAATACACTGATGCTTAAGTTATTTTGTTGCTGCATGTACTGAAGGCAAAAGATTTTAGATCAGCCAAGGAGTAAGAATGTGTAAGTATTATCATATATCAAAGCATTTCGAATATGGAAGGGCCTGGTAATGCTAAAGTGAGAGCAATCCACCCGGAAGCCTGCCTAATTGGGAGGAGGATGAGTGAGAGGAGGGAATCCAGAGGGCATGGCTACATTTGGGGAATGAAGATGATGATCACAGGCACTTGGTTTCTTTGGACCTAAGTTAGCCCAAGCCACAGGAATCCAGATCTCCTGCCCCCGTTAGTTTGGTTGATGCTTTTCCAAGACAAAAACCCCAAATCTCCAGGGAAAGGCCTGGGTTCCTAGTACTTTTTCATCAAAGCTTAATTCAAGGTGGGGACAGAGAGTTTGACTAACCACACTGCCAAAGTCAGAAACACCAAAGGAACAGACTCAGCGTCAATATAGGTCAAAGGATCAAGATGGTTTTGTGGCACTCTCCTCTTCCCACTTGCCTGACCTCGGGCACAGCCTGGCAGGAGGTCTTGTTCTTCAAGGGAGGGAGTCATTGCCACTCGTGGTCTCAGGCTTGGGGTGAGGAAAAAGGCGAAGGGAAGGGAGAAAATCCACTGAGTCTAATGTGTTCCCACTTTATTCTCACTCCAGAACTCCCCATGTAGAGAAAAGAGAAGAGTGATTTCTGGCAGGGCAGGGAGTAAATAAAGGAAAGTTCTATCTTTGAATCATCGTGCTTTTCTAGGCTAAACTTTGGTGGATATATCTGATAGCATTCTTAGGGAGAGTCAGAGTGTTTCATAGGAACTTACATTTATCCCCCAAATTACCTACAAAATATCCTTGGGAAGATAACAGAATGAAGGAAAATGAAAAAATGAGAGAGAGAGAGAGAGAGAGTTACTTAATTAAGAAAGACAATGCTAGGAGTCAACATTAGCTTCCTGGTTTCTAGACCCTAGGCCCTCTTCAGGTTTTTGATATTATTCTAACTCATGTACTTCAAGTACTTGCTTCCAAGGACAGAAGAATGATTTACAAAAATCACTGCGTGCTTCTCTAACACAACAAAAGCTCTTAAAAATATGAAAAACAGAATACATCCTGCTCACCACTTCTGGAACTTGACTCTTCTAAATGTTAAGTGAGGACAGTAGTCAGATAAAGAGATTAATGAAAATGCAAGCAAATAAACAACTTTTAATTGTGGAGAGAGTAGTTCTATTAGTTGTTATTATTATTCTTCCATGCAGACTCTGTGTTGGGATGTGGAGAGAGGAGTTCTAATTCTACTGAAGTAGTGACCAGATAATGTCAAGGGCAGATGATTTCTGCTACTTCGAGACACTCCTCAGCTGTTGTACAGTGGGTATTGAGAGAACTATAAGTGGTAAGACTTATTTCAAAATCAGAACACTGATAGGCATATGGGAGCTTGTTCCCTTTCTGCTCCATAGGCTAGGATTCAAATTTTGGCTCTGCGATTCACCAGGTATGTAATCTTGGGCAAATTGCTTAATCTCTCTAAGTCTCAGTTTCTCATCTGTAAAATGCAAGTGACACTGACACTTCTCAGGGTTAAAGTCAAGTGTAAGAGAGATGATGTCTATAAAGTGCTTAGCAGAATGTCTAGAACTTAGTAACATCAAACAATGGGAGTTTGTTTTGGTTCTGTTTTCAAATTCTGGAGGTGAGAAGAAGAGAGGAGGAAGGTATTTGTTGCTGAGTTTTTTTTATTTTAAATTTTAATTAATTAATTAATTAATTAGTTTTGAGATGGGGGCCTCACTCTGTTACCCAGGCTGGAGTGCAGTGGCATAGCTCACTGCAGTCTCGAACTCCTGAGCTCAAGTGATCCTCCCATCTCAGCCTCCCAAGTAGCTGGGACTACAAGCATATGCCACCACACCCTGCGCATTTAAAAAATTTTTGTAGAGACGGGGTCTCGTGCCGTCACCCAGGCTAGTCTTGAACTTCCCGCCTCAGCTTCCCAAAGTGTTGGGATTACAGGCATGAGCCTGGCTGTTGCTGAGTTTGGACACTTAAACACCTAAAAGTTTTCTGCCTTGAAAGTTCTCTGTTGGGTTGCCTGAGCCAAATCCGTTTTGAACACTCTCCTGCAGTGGCCACTCACTTCCTATTCCCATGTGCCTGCTCTGTTCCAGGCTCCCCATTATGATGAACAAGGTAGCAGTCCCCCTAGCTTCTGCAGCCTGCATTTGGGCACCAGTTCACCCTAATGCTCCTGTCTATTTTGGGCCCTTTGGCTCTTAGAACTGTCCAAGATCTCAAAGGCCCTTCTCACAGCCCTTTGTGCTCCAGCAATAACTGTAAAGAGAGTGAGTAGCCATGGAGATCTGTGCTCAGCTCTTGAATTAACTCACTTAGGCCAGGCGCAGTGGCTCACGCCTGTAATCCCAGCACTTTGCGAGGCCAAGGCAAGAGTTCACCTGAGGTCAGGAGTTCGAGACCAGCCTGGCCAACGTGGCAAAAACCCATCTTTACTAAAAATACAAAAATTATCCAAGCATGGTGGCAGGTGCCTGTAATCCAGCTACTTGGGGGGCAGGAGAATCTCTTGAACCTAGAAGGCAGAGGTTGCAGTGAGCTGAGGTCATGCCACTGCACTCCAGCCTGGGTGACAGAGTGAGACTCCTTCCCCCCTCAAAAAAATAAAAAATAAAAAAAAATTAACTCACTTAGCCTTCACAGCATACTACCTTATGAAGTAGACTCCATTATTTCCAGTCCCATTTCACAGATGAGGATGAGAAAGTTTAGAGGGATGAAATAAGCTGGTGAGCAAGGAAAGAGAGGAGGGTCCAGGGTAGGGGAGAGGAAGGGGACCTGTCTTCCCTGAGCAAGATCTCAGGGTGGGAGGGAGAGAAGGGAGGCTGATGGCAGGAGGGGCTTAACAATAACACAGCTAACATTTATTGAGCACTTGGTCTTGGGGAGGCACTGTTCTAAGGGGTTTACATATGTCACCTCACTAATCTTCACGACTATTATCCTCATTTCACAGACACAAAAACTCAGATTGTGCACACTTAAGAGGTAGAACTGGAATTCAAACCCAGGCAGTCTGGCTCCAAAGCCTACCCAGCTAACACTGTCAGCACCTTGATCTTATCAGCTATAATGTGTGAGGCTTAAGAGCTTGTTTTCCCCTCCAAACTAACTGCAGGAACTAAATAGCTCCAGTTGAACTGGATCAAGGAGACAATTCAAGTGAATTGAGATTTTCCATGTAAGAAACCGAGTCTGAAAAGTTCTAATTACTGTCAACAGGGAAGACTGAGGCTCCAGCACAGCAGCCTCAGGCCAGAGGGCATGGGCTGGGGGACCACTGTGCTGGTGGCCACACCGTGGTCTCTCATCCCCACCCACCTGCCAGCCACTCTTCTACCTGGCAGGTGCAGGGGAGGTAAGTATTGTGTATCAGTAGACACCTTCTCTAGATCCCCCCACAATTAGAAGAGTGTCAGCCAGTAGGTCCTGCAAGTTCAAAGGCAAAGACATAATAAGGCTTTGGTGTAAGATCAAAATCAGAACACTCTCCACAAATTTGTGTGTCTCCTTTTGTGGGTGGTCAGACTGCTAAACTTTCTTCTTCTAAGCCTTGCACTAGTCTCACCAATTATGTGGCTGGCTCCAGACCAGAGGTGTTTTACACCCTTGATCCTATCTTCTCCAGAGGCAGCACAGCATAGCATTGTGGTTAATAGCATGGACTTTGGAGTTAGATTGTTCGGGTCCAAATCCTAGCTTTGCCACTGACTTCAAGTTACTTGACTTTTAAGCTCTCCATGCCTCAGTTTCCCCATCTATGAAATGACAGTATGAACATTGCAGAGTTGTTATGAGTTAATGTAAAGTGCTTAGAACAGTGTCTGACCCATCGTAAGGGCCATCTGTTAGTACTTGCTATTATTATTTTAGAAATAAAGAAACTAGGGCTCAGTGAGGTGTAATCATTTTCTCAAGGAAACAGCTAGGAAGAGGGCTGAGATTCAGACCTAGGCCTAGCACAGGCTCTGAAGGTCCTGCAAGTTCCACCCTAGCAGGTGGGATCCAGCTGGTTTGTGAAGGACTTCTGATGTTAGGATTATTCACACCAGGTGACTGACAGATTTTCTATCTAAGTTAAACATACAGGTACCCTTCAGGCAGGCCACTTTAAACAGCACAGGGTAGTTGGGCAGGGCAGTTGTATTAGTGCAGAACTCTGACTTTGCAATCAGATGACCTGGCTTCAAAAACCTGGCTCCACTACTTGCCACCAGCATGACTTAGACAAGCTGTACAACTTCCCTGAACCTTGGTTTCCTTGTCTTAAAAGTGTAAGAACTACAGTACCTACCTAATGGAATTGTTGTAAAAGATCAAAAGAGGTAACATATACACTTTTCTGAAAAAAGTTAGCAAAGTGCTCAATAAGTGGTAGCATTATTTTATAATTATTAACTGATTAAAACTTGAAGTCCTGAAATTAAGGAATCTTTGAACTTAGCTAAAGCAATCAGCACAATGCCTGGTGCATTGCAGTAAACACCTGTTGAAGGAATGAATAAATAAAAACATGCCTCACACAGTGACCCAAATAAAAATTCATAGGGAAAAAGTTCTGGTTACTGTGTGAACACAAAGATAGGGGGTCTCCAGGCACAGGAGGCATTTCTGCAAAATTACAGGGGTATGAGGAGAAACCAGGAGTTGTAAAGTGTGAAAAAAGGAAAATCCCCTACGTGCTAGGTACTATAACTGTCAGTAAACATGATAAACCATGACCAGTGTACTACACTTCATGGGCTTGTTGGCCTTTGCACCAAGTGCTCAGTTCAATCAGCTTGAATATTTCTTTTCATAAGAATGTATCACTGATTTTCCTTTTTTTTTTTTAACAGAGTCTCACTCTGTCACCCAGGCTGGAGTGCAGTGGCACAATCTCGGCTCATGGCAACCTCTGCTTACTGGGTTCAAGCGATTCTCCTGCCTCAGCCTCCCGAGTAGCTGGGATTACAGACATGCATCACTACGCCAGGCTAATTTTTGTATTTTTAGTAGAGGTGAGGTTTCACCATGTTGGCCAGGCTGGTCTCGAACTCCTGACCTCAGGTGATCCACCCGCCTCAGCCTCCCAAAGTGCTGGGATTACAGGCATGAGCTACTGCGCCAGGCCATGTCACTGATTTTTCCATGAAAACCAAAGGAAGCCTAGGGTTCACTTCACAGAAATTCACTTTATTGCTGTTACAACTCTAGCATGAATACTACTGCTTTCAAGATAAGCACTGCCCTGACTCAAAATATTCTTCTGTTGGTTATATCCACTCTAATCCTAGAGAGTGTTAGATGAATTTACTTTAGCTAAGAAAATTAGTCAGAAATTATTGATTCCCAATATATTCAAGGGCTAACTCATTCTCATTTGTAGGAAAAGGATGTCTTTTTGACATCTGGTCTGCCTTCTTGCTGTGGCAAGTCCTGCTTCTGAAGCTCTGTGGGAGCAGCTTAGTCATTTCTACATCCTCCTTGCAGACCACCATGCGTGTCCACATTTGCTCAGAACTGTGGTGGAATATAGCTGTAGATCGGATACCTCTCCTCTTCCTGGGAAATGGTACCTTTGCCAGGATCACAGTGGTGTCACTAAAGAATACCCATGGAGGAGTGCCAGATGGAAGGAAGTGGGGCCATATATTCATTCCTTCAGAGAAAACCTTCCCTAAAGCCTGAAGTCAAAGACTTTTAGCTCTAAATTTATGGGGGATGAAATGGGGCTCAGTCTAAATTCATTTGTGTGAGTGCCTATATGTTGGTTGAGTGAGCTAGTGCTGGACAAGAGCTAAAGATAATGAAATGCTACAAGCCATGGGAGTCCCAGAGGACTGAACAGCCTCTAGTTTGTTGGCTGCATGATCTCAATAGTACTACCACAGAGGCCAGAGAATACCACAGCCCATGTGTGGACTCTCCAATTTTCAGCTGCAATTGTTTTTATGTTCTTTTATGCAGGGGTTGTGAAGGCTCACTCTAAATGACACTCATCCTCAGCCAGGCTGCTCTGCCAAGAGATGCTCGGAAGGACATGGATAGTTCGGGGCATGACCACACCACCCCTTCCAATCCCTGGGGCACCAAGGCTTTGTTACCAGGCCACAGCTGAGTAAATACTTCTCAGTGCTACTCTGTGAGGAGGGGGAAGGGAGTGAGGGACAGTGTGGGGGAAGGGAAGAAGGAGGCAAGACATCTGACGACTTCACTCCCCATGTAGCAGTTGGTATCACATGTCACAGAAAGATTGCTACCCTACTAGGGCCATGTTCCTGTCAAGCAAAGCCCCAGAAGAAGAGAAGGCTGTGTTATTCAATTTTATCTCCTCTGGCAGCACTGTTGTTTTATATTATAAATGGAGGGAAATGATAATTAGTTGACTGAATGGGAAATGACCTTACAAAAGGAATAAGAGGCAATGGCCTCGAATGACACCTGTGGGGTAAAGTATTTGGGCCATTATGAACACTACCCTTTGCCAGCTCATTACTCCCCAGAGCATCTTCAGTGTGTTCCAATGGGGGCAGAAAGCCCCTTTAGTTTTTTTTTGGTTTTTTTTTTTTTGAGACAGAGTCTTGCTCTGTCGCCAGGCTGAAGAGCAGTGGCGCTATCTCGGCTCACTGCAAACGCTGCCTCCCGAGTTCAAGCGAGTCTCCTACCTCAGCCTCCCGAGTACCTGGGACTACAGGTGTCTGCCACCATGCCTGGCTAATTTTTGTACTTTTAGTAGAGATGGGGTTTCACCATGTTGGCCAGGATGGTCTCCATCTCTTGACCTCGTGGTCCGCCCGCCTCGGCCTCCCAAAGTGCTGGGATTATAGGCGTGAGCCACCGCACCCGGCTGCCCCTTTAGTTTTATATTTTATTATGACTAAGCCAGACACCAAGCTAGAAATGTATTTAGTCTATTTCTATTTGGCAGTATCTTTGTTCTAGGCAAAGTATTAAATCAGACACAGTAACAATTTTATGGCAACGTTTAAAATGAACAAAAACAACTCTCCAGGAACTGTTTATATACAGCAGGTAAAGATTTAAAGAAATGCAGGCATTTCTAACCAGGATCTCAACATTCTACCCAGGGTCATGTAGGACATACCATGGCAATCTGATCAGGTTTTTAGGCTAACCATGGCCATCCTGAACCACCACTGGTGGCTTAAACCACAGGCCTGGTCTGATAAGAATCCCCTATACTGTGTCGAACCCTTGGGGGTCTGTTCATCACGATGGGGCCATTAGGGATTGGAGGACCAAGGCAAGGCTTTGTTCTGGGGGAGGTCCTGTCTTAGAAAGTGTGAGGATATGAAACACAGGCTGCATATGGCGAGGGTGGGCAGCCGTATGCATTGTGGAAGGAGGCACCAGTGCTAGGAGAAAAGAAAGCCTCTCTAGTAGCAACGGGGCTAGCTACTCTGGCATGGACACAGTTTCCTACCCATTATTGAGGAAATGGAAGGCAGTTTTGGACACTAGAATGTAGAGCAGGATCTTGGCACCATAAGCTCTCAAAGGCTCCGGCAGCCCATCAAAGAAGTGACTCCAGCCTAGAATTTGCACCACCACTCACGTGCTCATGCAGCTCCACCAGGTGTTACCACTTCCAGTTTTTCTTTGGAAACAGGAGGACAGGGTGGGCCCTTTGAAACGGACAACTCAGGGCCAAGTTATAATTCTCCTCCAAGAAGCAGGTGTTGTTACAAACTCCTGCAACCCATTCCTGTTCTTAATTGAACAGAAATGGTTAAACAGGCACAAGAGCTAAACTGGAGAATAAACCTTAATCCCTCCTAATGGTGACTAAAGGCAAGAGAAAACATCACACCCTCCCAATGGTGATATACCTCACTCAACCTTTGAAAAAGAGGCAGAATTTTAAATTTATTTCTGGGGGGTGTTTAAAGCCAGAATGAAGGTTTTTATGTTGTTTTAGGGGGGCAAAAGTTTACTACAGAGACACATCATGATAGAGAAAAGAACTTGGTCTGACTTCGGCAAAGGATTATACCTATCTGGGCACAATTTTTCTAGGCCTCAGTTTTCTCACCTGTAAAATAAGGATGTTGTGAGCCACTGCTCCCGGCCTGAAAAAAATGTTTTAATATATATACATTTTAAAAAATAGAAATCTAGGTCTGGCGCAATGGCTCATGCTTGTAATCCCGGCACTTTGGGAGGCCAAGACGGGAGAATCGCTTGAACCCAGGAGTTCAAGACCAGCCTGGGCAACATAGTGAGACCTCATCTCCACAAAAAATAAAAATGAAAAAATTAGCTGTGCATGGTGGCACACGCCTGTAGTCCCAGCTACTCAAGAGACTGAGATGGGAGGATGGCTTGAACCTAGGATGTTAAGGCTGCAATGAGCCATGATTGCACCACTGCGCCCCAGCCTGGGTGACTGAGTGAGACCCTGTCTCAAAGAGATAACAAATGAAAATCTTGTAAGGAATCTCAATATTTAATATTTATAAAAACAAAGCCTTTTTTAGCCAACTTTCTCTTCAACAGCTCTCACCCAGACGAGAAGTCGAGGAAAGAAGGCCTGAGGTGCTACCTTAAAACTCTAGAGCTCTACAAAGGGCAGTTAGGCCCTAAAACCTAAGTGGGTCTTACATAGTGCAATGGTTAAGAGTACAGGCTAAGGCTGGGCATGGTGGCTCACACCTGTAATCCCAGCACTTTGGGAGCCAGAGGCGGGCAGATCACTTGGTCAGGAGTTCAAGACCAGCCTGGCCAACATGGTGAAACCTCGTCTATACTAAAAATACAAAAAGTAGCTGGGCCTGGTGGCGCATGCCTGTAATCCCAGCTACTTAGGAGGCTGAAGCAGGAGAACTGCTTGAACCTGGGAGGTGGAGGTTGCAGTGAGCCAAGATCACACCACTGCACTCCAGTCTGGGCAACATGACACAGCGAGACTCCATCTCAAAAAAAAAATAATAATAATAATCAAGGCTCCTGAATCAGCCGATCTGGGTCCAAATCCTGGTTCTTCTGCTAACTAGCCATGTGACATTAGGCGAGCCAATTGAAAATGACAGTGAATAATAGTAATAATGGTATGAATAATGATAATGCTAATCATGAATTTTTGAGAGGATTAAAAAATCTTTTTTTTTTTAAAGGAAGAGATGGTAAATTAAGGTGCTGGTACATGGCATAGATAAGCATCCAATCAACAGTACCTGCTCTTGTTATTACTTTTATTACTTTCCTTCATTTAAGGCACACAGACACAGGTGGGATGGCACCTGCATAACAAAAGGCACAATTTATCACAGTTCTCCTTCAGCTCCAGCCAGTGGGTGGCTGAAACGATCTTATTTCTTATCTCATGATTATTTTGTCAAGCCTTTGTTCTTTATTGATGAATGAATAACAGAGTTCCTGCCTGAAGGCAGGTGCGCCACTTTCCCAGACTGTCAGTGCACTGCCAATCCTCTATTGCCTCACTTTTAATAGTGCTGATGGCTCATATTTGCAGACAGTGTAGAATTATGCAAACCATTTTCATATGCATTATCACTTTTGATCCCCATAAGAATTTTGTGGGGCAGGGAAAAGAAAATGGTATTAATTCCCATTTTTATAGACATGGAAAATGAGGCTCAAGCAAGGGACAAAATTGCCGCATAAGTGGTAGTTCCTGGATCAGATCAAGCCTTCTCATTCAAAGGCTGGCCTTTCTCTGCTACACAGACTGGCTCCCTATGATGTCCTTTTCTTTTTGCTGTAAGTCTCTGGGAACCCAACCTGCTTTTCCTTCGTCTATGGATGAAAAACACCTGGCACAGTGAATTCCCACAGTGAGAACCCAGTAAATGTTAGCTGCAACTGGCTATTATTATTTTGTTTATTATTTAATTTTATTCTTTTTTTTTTTTGAGATAGGATCTTGCTCTGTTGCCCAGGCTGGAGTGCGGTGGCGTCATGTTGGCTCACTGCAACCTCCACCTCCTGGGCTCAAGCAATCCCCCCCACCTCAGCTCCCCAAATAGCTGTGACCACAGTCACACACCACCACGCCTGGCTAATTTTTGTATATTTTGTAGAGACAAGGTTTCGCCATATTGCTCAGGCTGGTCTCAAACTCCTGAGCTCAAGTAATCCACCTGCCTCGGTCTCCCAAAGTGCTGGGATTACAGGCATAAGCCACCGTGCTGGCCATTATTTTAATTTTTTTAGAGATAGGGTCTCGCTCTGTTACCCAGGCTGGAGTGCAGTGGTATGATCATAGCTCGCTGCAGCCTGGAATTCCTTGGGTTCAAGAGCTCTTCCTGCCTTAGCCTAGGCGGGAAGTAGTTAGACTACAGGCATGCACCATCATGCCTGGCTAATTTTTTCATTTTTATTTTTTCTAGAGACAGAGTCTTGATATGTTGCCCAGGTTGCTCTGGAAATCCTGGCCTCAAATGATCCTTCTGCCTTGGCCTCCCGAAGTATTGGGATTATAGGTGTGAGCTACCGCACCTGGCCAGTGACTATTACTGTGAACATTTAAATCTCCCACTAGCTATTCCATCTCTTTCTATCACTTTTTGTCCTAGGGTGGCTCCAGGGTCAGATGTAGTCTGTCTGGCTTGTAACTTGCTTCCCCTCAAACTGACAGGCCCTTTCTATTTTAAGTGACTTGCTACTGATGCCTATAAGAAAATAGAGAAGAGACAACAAAAGTAATAAACAGTTAAAGCCATTATAAGCCTGTATCTGCAATTTTAACAGGACTAGACACAGATTAGGAAGAGAAAAGTATATTTCATTTATATATATAAAAAATACTTCCCACTTTTTTTTTTTTTTGAGACAGAGTCTTGCTCTGTCACCCGGGATGGAATACAGCGGTACAATCTTAGCTCACTACAACCTCTGCCTCCTGGGTTCAAGCAATTCTCATGCCTCAGCCTCCCATGTAGCTGGGATTACAGGCACGTGCCACCGTGCCCGGCTAATTTTTGTATTTTTAGTAGAGACGGGGTTTTGCCATCTTAGCCAGGCTGGTCTTGAACTCTTGACCTCAAGTGATCTGCCAGCCTTGGCCTCCCAAAGTGCTGGGATTACAGGCGTGAGCCACTGCTCCTGGCCCCACTACCTTTTTCTTTGCAATTTAAAATCAGGCTTATCATTAGGATGAAATTTTATGTTATTAGCAAAGCTGTCTGATGAGAACTTAAGAGAGCAAGCCACAGAAAACAAAAATGAATAAAAGTTATTATACTTCCTCTGAGCTTTCCACTGTCCAAAGCAGCCACAGAATAAATAAGAAGTGGAACAGATTATGCATTTGATTTTCTTAAAATGCATTTTCCTTCTTTTCTAAATAAATATAAACAGAAGCAGTGGCTAACGGGGTTACTCACTGAGGGTGAGTGGAACCAAGACAGACTAAAAATAAAAAAGCAACAATCTAAGTTCTCCAGTTCTTGATGGGTGTGCGAGCAGGGGAGGGTGGTGGCCAGCATGTAGGCGTGCTTATGAAGACCACAGCCTGTTTTCTCGTCAGAATCCACTAGCTTCCACCAATGATGATGGATTTACGGCTACCTATCAACTAAAAAAACAGACGTAAGGAACAGAAACAGCAAGAACCAGAAAGAAGACTGGATATAGATAAACACACACATCTCTTCAGATGAATCTACCTTTGTCTTTCCTGCTGTTTTGTCTTTTATGGGTATATGTAATGTACCCTATCTATAATTATATGGATATGTATCGGGAAGAGAATGAGGCAGCTAGAGAAAGAAGAGTGTCTGACTCTTTTGGGACTTGATGGGAAAGGAAATTGATGTTAGTAGTTACTGTTCCTTAAAGCCATCAGCTTTGTTTTTCAAAGTATGGTTTCCTGGTAAAGGATCCTTTGCCTGTAATGTGAGTGAATCACTCATCTTATTTTAATAAAAATGTGAACCAAATGATAGTGCTCTCCATCCTGGGAAACGACACAATAGTTAGGCTTTCTGAACCCTGATCCTTATCTTTCACTGAGACTGGCAGGCATACAAAAAGTAAAGAAAAAAAATGAAAAATATCCAGTGGCATCAGGATGAATCTACCCAACTTCATTTATGCACAAGAATTCTGAAAGACAAAGTCTGGTTTTACTCACTGGGGTTTGGTTTCTCCATCAATGGGTGGCCTTCCATTGGATACCAACTCTGTGCCTCAATTTCTTCCTGTCATGCCTCACGTATAAATAAATGATCACGGCTGATTAGACTAAGTAAAATACATTTTAAAGTATATAGGATAGACTAAGTAAAGTATATTTTAAAGTATATAAGATTGTATACCCTTTTGAATTTTGTCATTTTCATGTATAACCTATTTTTAAAATTAAGAAAGTAAACAAAAGTATGAGCAATGAGAAGACATCAAAGGATTTTTTAAAAGTAAGACCATTAAGGCCGGGTGCGGTGGCTTATGCCCCAGCACTTTGGGAGTCTGAGGTGGGCAGATCACGAGGTCAGGAGTTCGAGACCAGCCTGACCAACATGGTGAAACCCCGTCTCTACTAAATATACAAAAACTAGCCAGGCGTGGTGGCACGTGCCTGTAATCCCAGCTACTCAGGAGGCTGAGGCAGAAGAATTGCTTGAACCTGGGAGGTGGAGGTTGCAGTGAGCCGAGATCGCACCACTGCACTCCAGCCTGGGTGACGGAACGAGCCTCTGTCTCAAAAAAAAAAAAAAAAAAAAAAAAAAAGTAAGACCATTAAGAACTATTTGAAAATGTACAAACCTTTTAATCTCAATAATTGTGACGGTTGCTTTTGGGTTTAACATTCTAGGATTCTTTCATTGTCATTCTCTGTGGTTGAGGAAGTAGCACAAAGACTGGGTAGCGCATAATTTGTTTGTTTGTTTTTTGAGACAGAGTCACTCTTGTCACCCAGGCTGAAGTGCAATGGCATGATCTCGGCTCACTGCAACGTCCGCCTCCCGGGTTCAAGCCACCACACTGGCTAATTTTTGTATTTTTAGTAGAGGTGGGATTTCACCACATTGGCCAGGCTGGTCTTGAATTCCTGACCTCAGGTGATCCACCCACCTCGGCCTCTCAAAGTGTTGGGATTACGGGCGTGAGCCACGGTGCCCAGTCATAATCTGACCATCTAGCACATAACTTGCTAGCAGAGTGGGAATGCTGTGAACTCTCCCTCTACCCCCATCTTGTTTTCCTGCTTTATTTTTTCTCCAGAGCAGTAACTGTCTCCCCAACAGAAGCTCCAAGAGAGCAAGGATTTTGATTTTTTATTCATTGTTGGTTCCTAATAAATAACCATTAGAGGAGCAAGACTGCTGTGAAGAATACATGAGATAATGCTTGTGAAACTCTTAGCACTCACTGTCTGGGACAGAGAATATAGCTGGCAGCCAGGTTTTGTTTGGCTTGAAGTGTACTTTTTAAATTTTGAGGCAAAACATTAAGATATTTCCCACAACACAATCTAGATTTCAGATAGCTCTCTTTTTTAGAAAAAAATCAGAAGACCTGGTAATGATGGGCCAGCATTCCTGCATGACCACAATCAGCTGGAGCTGGGGAAGAGGATGCTGTTGCCAGTTTACCACCGAATAACACGTATGCTTCTTATATGACCTGCCTGGCCAGTGTTGGCATCTGAATTTTCAACCCCAGATGAGGAATTTCTCTTTGGAAGCTTTTACAATAAAGATTTAATTCATCTGATGAAATGAGTTTAAGATGAAAACAAAGTACATGACCTCATGATATTAAGAGGAAAGAGCAAAATAAAAATTGTCATATAGAGTATGGTTCCATGTTTGCTTTAAAATAACAACAAAAAAAAGAATAAAAATTTGCATAGGGAAAAGAATGGGATACATCAACAGAGTTAAAAATAGTAGTTAACTCAGTGTTTGGGGACCGTGGATGATATGTGCTTTCTTGCAATCAGAAGAATAAGATTTATTTTTTGGTTGGCTGCAGTGGCTCATGCCTGTAATCCCAGCACTTTGGGAGGCCGAGGCCGGTGGATCACTTGAGGTCAGGAGTTCGAGACCAGCCTGGCCGACATGGCAAACCACGTTTCTACTAAAAATACAAAAATTAGCCAGGCACAGTGGTGCACACCTGTAATCCCAGCTATTAGGGAGGCTGAGGCAGAACTGCTTGAACCTGGGAGGCGGAGGTTGCAGTGAGCTGAGATCATGCCACTGCACTCCAGCCTGGGTGACAGAGCAAGACTCTGCCTCAAAAAAAATAAAAAATAAAAAAGAATTATTTAAGAAGATTTATTTTTTAAAAAGCCATTTTGATTTATGGTATATAAATTGTATCTTAACAAAGCTGTGGAAGGAAGGATGGCAGGCCGGCAGGCAGGAAACCATCCACAGAGATGGTCAAGTATGTATCTTCCTTCAGAAACCTGTTTCCATGTCCCTCGTTCTCAGTGGCTCTTTCTTCCCCCTCTAAGTCACCTGAATGCCATTTAGTTCCTTCCCTACACCTTGTTTCATCCATGATGAAAAGATCATCATCTTTTATAATTCTATGTTTTTGGATCTTATTATAATGCCCCTTGGTCCTCCCTTATAGAGATGTTCAGGCTCACTGATGGCATACTAAGGTTATAAACCCCTTCAAATGAGGGCAGGAGTGACAGGAAAAACATCTATCAAAATAAGGGCATAGAACTGAATAGTTACAATATCCTCCATAGATCTCATTTTTCTAATATATATATATATATATATATATATATTTTTTTTTTTTTTTTTTTTTTTGAGACAGGGTCTTGCTCTGTTGTCAGGCTAGAGTACAGTGGTGTGATCATAGCTTATTGCACCCTCGAATTCCTGGGCTGAAGTGATCCTTCTGCTTCAGTCTCCAGAGTAGCTGAGAGTACAAGCACATATCACTATGCTCAGCAATTTTTTTTTTGTAGGGATGTCACTGTGTTTACTATGTTGCCCAGGCTGGTTTCAAACTCCTGGGCTCATGCAATCCTCCCAAAGTGTTGGGATTATAGGCATTAGCCATCGTGCTGGGCCATTTTTCTAATCTTTAACCATATTTATTGATAGTTTTCCTTCCTTTCTACAGCCTAAGATGATTGTTTCCTCCTGGGAACAGTGTGGCAGAGCGGAAGGGCAGGCTTGGGAGACTTGAAACTCTGCCTTGACTTTGCCAGACTACCTCACTTGAACAAGCTACTTACACTTAGGGATCAATTTCTTTGTCTGTAAAAAAGAGATAATAATCAATTGCTATTTACTTGAGAGTAAAAGGCCAGACCTATGAGCCCATGATTCCCAAGGCTCTTTTAAGTTGTGAAGTCATAGATTGGATCAACTTCCAAAGCTGAGAATAATGGAATTTTTTTTCAGGTATCTGTACCTTACACAGTAATATCTAGTCAATTTAAAACTTAACTAATAGGCAATGCCAAATATCTAAATGTCAATAAGTCTCCAAGTAGGCAAGAAGATTTCATGAAGTCCACATACAAAAGCTCGTGTGGCTAACTTACAGGGTTCCAAGACATACTCTGATTATACTCGCAGTTTTAACAAGCTTGGCCACTAGTTTCTAAGCCCAATACAGATTAGACAGGGTAAACAAGGAGAGGAAAAAGAACTATAATTAGGCATTAACTACATGACCTAACAGAGAGGCAGAAAAATATATTTTAAATATAATCTGGATACATTTAGGGTACATTTCAGTGGGTCCTGAAGGCAATGATCTTTTCCAGCAGAGTAAAATAATTTATGATGACAAAGATGATGCTTAGATGCCTAGAGGAGTTAAATTACATAAGATGGCAGGGAAGGCCACTGTATACGTATCATATACATTTTAAAAAGATTTCCATGTAAGTTATATTAAAAACAACAAAAAATGTAACCAAATTTAAACTATAAAATAGTAGGCTGTAAAACTGTAAAACTCTTCTGCGTCTTTGGATGTTTACTGTCTCTAAACCATTTATTGATCACTGCTTCTGTAGTGCTTCATGGTGTTACCTGTTTTTAAGCTGCTGTACTGAGTGCTGTGCATCATTACTCTCATTGAATGTCTCGCAGCAGTCCTATAGGGTAAGTACTGTCCTCATTTTACTTGCAGACACAGGGCAGTGAAGTAATTTGCCCAGTTACGTAACTAGCAAGAGGCAAGCACATTCGAGCTTTGAATCATGGATCTGCCAGATTCCAAAGCGCATGCTTTTACATATTCCACTATTTATTGGTGGTTGAATTATTGATTTATTTGTCTATCTGACCCATCACCACCCCATCATTGTTCTCAGCATTGGAAGTTAGTCCACCCTGTGACTTCACAACTTAAAAGAGCCTTGGGAATCACAGGATCATAGATCAGGCCTTTTGCTCTGAAGTAAGTAATTGACTATCTCCATTTTACAGATAGAGAAACTAAGGCTTAAAGAGTAAGTGGCTTGCTCAAGTGAGGTAGTCTGACAGAGTCAAGGCAGGGTTCCAAGGTCCCATTAGACCAAGTCTTGAGGGTAGGGACTCCATCTCACTTGCTTATACATATCAAGGGGACTGGCACACAGTACACAGTTAAAAAAACGTTCAATGAATTTTATCCCTATGCCTCCCTATACAGATGTGAAACCCTAAAAGCAATGTAGTATATCTCAATGCATCTCAACATATGATCATGAATCACCTGTACCCTAAACCCACAGAAGCAAAATCAGAATCCCTGGGGTCAAGAGAGTGAGAATCCACATTTAATTAAATAGCTCAGGTGACTCTTAGGATTGTCCTCATGGTTGAAAGCACATTTTTTGGAGTTAGTCAATCCTGGGTTCTGGGTTCATAGCTCAGCTCCACTGGTTACTAGACAAATGATCTGGGGCAAGTTAGTTACTTAAATTTTTTGAGCTTCAATTCCATCATCATTAAGATGGGGATAAGGCCGGGCATGGTGGCTCACGCCTGTAATCCCAGCACTTTGGGAAGCCAAGGTGGGCAGATCATCTGAGGTCAGGAGTTCGAGACCAGCCTGACCAACGTGGAGAAACCCTGTCTCTACTAAAAATACAAAATTAGCTGGGCGTGGTGGTGCATGCCTGTAATCCCAGCTACTCGGGAGGCTGAGGCAGGAGAATTGCTTGAACCCGGGAGGTGGAGGTTGTGGTGAGCCGAGCTCGCACCATTGCACTCCAGCCTGGGCAACAAGAGTGAAACTCCATCTCAAAAAAAAAAAAAAAAAAAAAAAAAAGAAGTGGGCAGTGTTCCAAGATGGCTGAATAGGAACAGCTCCGTTCTGTAGCTCCCAGCATGACCTATGCCGAAGATGGGTGATTTCTGCATTTCCAACTGAGGTACCTGGTTCATCTCACTGGGACTCATTGGACAGTGGGTGCAGCCCATGGAGGGCGAGCTGAAGCAGGGTGGGGCGTCGCCTCACCCAGGAAGCACAAGGGGTCGGGGAGTTCCCTTTCCTAGCCAAGGGGAGCCGTGACAGACTACCTGGAAAAACGGGACACTCTCCGCCCAAATACTGTGCTTTTCCCAAGGTCTTAGCAACTGGCAGACAAGGTGATTCTCTCCTGTGCCAAGCTTGGCAGGTCCCACGCCCACAGAACCTTGCTCACTGCTAGCGCAGCAGTCTGAGATTGATCTGCGAGGCGGCAGCCTGGCTGGGGGAGGGGCATCTGCCTTTGGTGAGGCTTGAGTAGGTAAACAGAGCGGCTGGGAAGCTCAAACTGGGCGGAGCCCACCGCAGCTCTACAAGGCCTACTGCCTCTAACTCCACCTCTGTGGGCAGGGCATAGCTGAACAAAAGGCAGCAGACAACTTCTGCAGACTTAAACGTCCCTGTCTGACAGCTCTGAGGAGAGCAGTGGTTCTCCCAGCACAGCGTTTGAGCTCTGAGAAAGGACAGACTGCCTCCTCAAGTGGATCCCTGACTCCCATGAAGCCTAATTGGGAGACACCTCCCAGTAGGGGCCGACAGACACCTCATATATAGGTGGCTGCCCTCTGGGACGAAGCTTCCAGAGGAAGGATCAGGCAGCAATATTTGCTGTTCTGCAGCCTCCGCTGGTGATACCCAGGCAAACAGGGTCTGTAGTGGAACTCCAGCAAACTCCAACAGACCTGCAGCTGAGGGACCTGACTGTTAGAAGGAAAACTAACAAACAGAAAGGAATAGCATCAACATCAACCAAAAGGTCATCTACACCAAAACCCCATCTGTAGGTCATGAACATCAAAGACCAAAGGTAGATAAAACCACAAAGATGGGGAGAAACCAGAGCAGAAAAGCTGAAAATTCTAAAAATCAGAGCACCTCTTCTCCTCCAAAGGATCGCAGCTCCTCACCAGCAACAGAGCAAAGCTGGACAGAGAATGACTTTGAAGAGTTGACAGAAGTAGGCGTCAGAAGGTTGGTAATAACAAACTTCTCCGAGCTAAAGAAGAATTTTCGAACCCATCGCAAGGAAGCTAAAAACCTTGAAAAAAGATTAGTCAAATGGCTAACTAGAATAAACAGTGTAGAGAAGACCTTAAATGACCTGATGGAGCTGAAAACCATGGCACAAGAACTTCGTGACGCATGCACAAGCTTCAATAGCTGATTCGATCAAGTGGAAGAAAGGGTGTCAGTGATTGAAGATCAAATTAATGAAATACAGCAAGAGGCCAGGCGCGGTGGCTCACACCTGTAATCCCAGCACTTTGGGAGGCCGAGGCAGGTGGATCACGAGGTCGGGGGTTTGAGACCAGCTTGACCAACATGGTGAAACCCCGTCTCTACTAAAAATACAAAAATTAGCTGGGCGTGGTGGCAGGCACCTGTAATCCCAGCTACTCAAGAGGCTGAGGCAGGAGAATTGCTTGAACCTGGGAGGCGGAGGTTGCAGTGAGCCAAGATCGTGCCATTGCACTCTAGCCTGGGCGACACAGTGAGACTGTCTCAAAAAAAAAAAAAAAAAAAAAAGAAAAGAAATACAGCGAGAAGACAAGGTTAGAGAAAAAAGACTAAAAAGAAATGAACTAAGCCTCCAAGAAATATGGGACTATGTGAAAAGACCAAATCTATGTTTGATTGGTGGACCTGAAAGTGATGGGGAGAATAGAACAAAGTTGGAAAACACTCTGCAGGATGTTATCCAGGAGAACTTCCCCAACCTAGCAAGGCAGGCCAACATTCAAATTCAGGAAATACAGACACCACCACAAAGATACTCTTTGAGAAGAGCAACCCCAAGACACATAATTATCAGATTCCCCAAGGTTGAAATGAAGGAAAAAGTGTTAAGGGAAGCCAGAGAGAAAGGTTGAGTTACCCACAAAGGGAAGCCCATCAGACTAACAGTGGATCTCTCGGCAGAAACCCTACAAGCCAGAAGAGAGTGGGGGCCAATATTCAACATTCTTAAAGAATTTTCAACCCAGAATTTCATATCCAGCCAAACTAAACTTCATAAATGAAGGAGAAATAAAATCCTTTACAGACAAGCAAATGCTGAGAGATTTTGTCACCACCAGGCCTGCCTTACAAGAGTTCCTGAAGGAAGCACTAAACATGGAAAGAAACAACTGGTACCAGCCACTGCAAAAACATGCCAAATTGTAAAGACCATCGATGCTTTGAAGAAACTGCATCAATTAACAGGCAAAATAACCAGCGAACATCTTAATGACAGGATCAAATTCACACACAAAAATATTAACCTTAAATGTAAATGGGCTAAATGCCCCAATTAAAAGACACAGACTGGCAAATTGGAAAAAGAGGCAAGACCTATCAGTGTACTGTATTCAGGAGACCCATCTCACGTGCAAAGACACACATAGGCTGAAAATAAAGGGATGGAGAAAGATCTACCAAACAGGCCAGGTGCGGTGGCTCACGCCTATAATCCCAGCACTTTGGGAGGCTGAGGTGGGCAGATCACGAGGTCAGGAGATCGAGGCCATCCTAGCTAACATGGTGAAACCCCGTCTCTACTAAAAATACAAAGAAAATTAGCCAGGCGTGGTGGCAGGCGCCTGTAGTCCCAGCTACTCGGGAGGCTGAGGCAGGAGAATGGCGTGAACCCGGGAGGCGGAGCTTGCAGTGAGCTGAGATGGCACCAGTGCACTCCAGCCTGCGTGACAGAGCAAGACTCCGTCTCAAAAAAAAAAAAAAAAAAAAAACCTACCAAGCAAATGGAAAGCAAAAAAAAGCAGGGATTGCAATCCTAGTCTCTGATAAAACAGGCTTTAAACCAACAAAGATCAAAAGAGACAAAGAAGGCCATTACATAATGGTAAAGGGATCAATTCAACAAGAAGAGCTAACTATCCTAAATATATATGCACCCCCAATACATGACCACCCAGATTCATATAGCAAGTCCTTAGAGACCTACAAAGAGACTTAGACTCCCACACAATAATAATGGGAGACTTTAACACCCCACTGTCAATATTAGACAGTTCAACAAGACATAAGGTTAACAAGGATATCCAGGACCTGAACTCAGCTCTGCAACAAGCAGACCTAATAGACATCTACAGAACTTTCCACCCCAAATCAACAGAATATACATTCTTCTCAGCATCACATCACGCTTATTCTAAAATTGACCACATAATTGGAAGTAAAGCACTCCTCAGCAAATGTAAAAGAACAGAAATCACAACAAACTGTCTCTCAGACCACAATGCCATCAAATTAGAACTCAGGATTAAGAAATTCACGCAAAACTGCACAACTACATGGAAACTGAACAACTTGCTCCTGAATGACTACTGGGTTAATAACTAAATGAAGGCAGAAATAAAGATGTTCTTTGAAACCAGTGAGAACAAAGACACAACGTACCAGAATCTCTGACACATTTAAAGCAGTGTGTAGAGGGAAATTTATAGCATTAAATGCCCACAAGAGAAAGCAGGAAAGATCTAAAATCGACACCCTAACATCACAATTAAAAGAACTAGAGAAGCAAGAGCAAACAAATTCAAAAGCTAGCAGAAGGCAAGAAATAACTAAGATCAGAGCAGAACTGAAAGAGATAGAGACACAAAAAACCCTACAAAAAAATCAATGAATCCAGGAGCTGGTTTTTTTTTTTTTAAAGATCAACAAAATTGATAGACCGCTAGCAAGATGAATAAAGAAGAAAAGAGAGAAGAATCAAATAGATGCAATAAAAAATGTTAAAGGGGATATCATCACCGATCCCACAGAAATACAAACTACCATCAGAGAATACTATAAACACATTTACGCAAATAAACTAGAAAATCTAGAAGAAATGGATAAATTCCTGGACATATACACTCTCCCAAGACTAAACCAGGAAGAAGTTGAATGTCTGAATAGACAGGCTCTGAAATTAAGGAAATAATTAATAGCCTACCAACCAAAAGAAGTCCAGGACCAGATGGATTCTACCAGAGGTACAAAGAGGAGCTGGTACCATTCCTTCTGAAACTATTCCAATCAATAGAAAAAGAGGGAATCCTCCCTAACTCATTTTATGAGGCCAGCATCATCCTGATACCAAAGCCTGGCAGAGACACAACAAAAAAAGAGAATTTTAGACCAATATCCCTGATGAACTTCAATGCAAAAATCCTCAATAAAATACTGGCAAACCAAATCCAGCAGCACATCAAAAACCTTATCCACCACGATCAAGTTAGTTTCATCCCTGGGATGCAAGGCTGGCTCAACATACGCAAATCAATAAATGTAATCCATCATATAAACAGAACCAAAGACAAAAACCACTTGATTATCTCAATAGATGCAGAAAAGGCCTTGACAAAATTCAACAGCCCTTCATGCTAAAAACTCTCAATAAACTAGGTATTGATGGAACGTATCTCAAAATAATAAGAGCTACTTATGACAAACCCACAGCCAATATCACACTGAATGGGCAAAAGCTGGAAGCATTCCCTTTGAAAACCGGCACAAGACAAGGATGCCCTCTCTCACCACTCCTATTCAACATACTGTTGGAAGTTCTGGCCAGGGCAATCAGGCAAGAGAAAGAAATAAAGGGTATTCAATTAGGATATAAGGAAGTCAAATTGTCCCTGTTTGCAGATGACATGATTGTATATTTAGAAAACCCATTGTCGCAGCCCAAAATCTCTTTAAGCTGATCAGCAACTGCAGCAAAGTCTCAGGATACAAAATCAATGTGCAAAAATCACAAGCATTCTTATACACCAATAACAGACAAACAGAGAGCCAAATCATGAGTGAACTCCCATTCACAATTGCTACAAAGAGAATAAAATACCTAGGAATCCAACTTACAAGGGATGTGAAGGACCTCTTCAAGGAGAACTACAAACCACTGCTCAACGAAATAAAAGAGGACACAAACAAATGGAAGAATATTCCATGCTCATGGATAGAAAATGGTGATACTGCCCAAAGTAATTTGTAGATTCACTGCCATCCCCATCAAGCTACCAATGACTTTCTTCACAGAATTAGAAAAAATTACTTTAAAGTTCATATGGAACCAAAAAAGAGCCCGCATTGCCAAAACAATCCTAAGCAAAAAGGACAAAGCTGGAGGCTTCATGCTACCTGACTTCAAACTATACTACAAGGCTACAATAACCAAAACAGCCTGGTACTGGTACCAAAACAGATATATTGACCAATGGAACAGAACAGAGGCCTCAGAAATAATGCCACACATCTACAACCATCTGATCTTTGACAAACCTGACAAAATCAAGAAATGGGGAAAGGATTCCCTATTTAATAAATGGTGCTGGGAAAACTGGCTAGCCATATGTAGAAAGCTGAAATTGGATCCCTTCCTTACATCTTATACAAAAATTAATTCAAGATGGATTAAAGACTTAAATGTTCGACCTAAAACCATAAAAACCTTAGAAGAAAACCTAGGCAATACTATTCAGGACATAGGCATGGGCAAGGACTTCATGACTAAAACACCAAAAGCAATGGCAACAAAAGCCAAAATAGACAAATGGGATCGAATTAAACTAAAGAGCTGATGCATGGCAAAAGAAACTACCATCAGAGTGAACAGGCAACCTAAAGAATGGGAGAAAATTTTTGCAATCTACCCATCTGACAAAGGGCTAATATCCAGAATCTACAAAGAACTCAAACAAATTTACAAGAAAAAAAACAACCCCATCAAAAAGTGGGCAAAGGATATGAACAGACACTTCTCAAAAGAAGACATCTATGCAGCCAACAGACATGTGAAAAAATGCTCATCATCACTGGTCATCAGAGAAATGCAAATCAAAACCATAATGAAATACCATCTCACGCCAGTTAGAATGACAGTCATTAAAAAGTCAGGAAACAATAGATGCTGGAGAGGAGGTGGAGGAATAGGAACACTTTTACACTGTTGGTGGGACTGTAAACTAATTCAACCATTGTGGAAGTCAGTGTGGTGATTCCTCAGGGATCTAGAACTAGAAATACCATTTGACCCAGCCATCCCAGCCATCCCATTACTAGGTATATACTCAAAGGATTATAAATCATGCTGCTATAAAGACACATGCATACGTATGTTTATTGTGGCACTATTCACAATAGCAAAGACTTGGAACCAACCCAAATGTCCAACAATGATAGACTGGATTAAGAAAATGTGGCACATATACACCATGGAATACTATGCAGCCATAAAAAAGGATGAGTTCATGTCCTTTGCAGGGACATAGATGAAGCTAGAAACCATCATTCTCAGAAAACTGTCACAAGGACAGAAAACCAAACACCACATGTTCTCACTCATAGGTGGGAATTGAACAATGAGATCACTTGGACACAGGGCGGGGAACATCACACACCGGGTCCTGTCGTGGGGTTGGGGGAGTGGGGAGAGATAGTATTAGGAGATTTGCCTAATGTAAATGATGAGTTGACGGGTGCAGCAAACCAACATGGCACATGTACACCTATGTACCAAACCTGCAGATTGTGCACATGTACCCTAGAACTTAAAATATAATAAAAATAAATAAATAAACAAAATGGGGATAACAGAAGAACCTACAGCATGGGTTTTTAGGGGACAAAGTTCACTGACTTAATAGATATTATGTAGCATCTATTATGTGTCACATGTTACTTTTTAGGTGCTTAGGATACATTAGAGAAGAAATAGACAAGCTCTTTGCCTTCATGGAGCTTATCTTGCAGTGGGGAAGACAGATAATGAATGATAAAGAAAATAAACAAATAGGCTGGGCGCAGCAGCTCACGCCTGTAGTCCTGACAGTTTGGGAGGCCAAGGCAGGCGGATCACTTGAGGTCAAGAATTTGAGACCAGCCTGGCCAACATGGTGAAAACCCGTCTCTACAAAAAATACAAAAATTAGCCGGGCATGGTGGTGCATGCCTGTAATCCCAGCTACTCAGGAGGCTGAGGCAGGAGAATCGCTTGAACCCAGGAGGCAGAGGCTGCAGTGAGCTGAGATTGTGCCACTGGACTCCAGCCTGGGTGACAGATCAAGACTCAGTCTCAAAAAACAAACAAACAAACAAACAAATAAGCTATATAGAAAGTTAACTGAGGCAAATTAAGAGATTCAGTGATAAATATAATGGAAAAAAAGAGAATACAGCAAGTCAGAGATAGGGAATATGAGGTGGTACTGGTGGTTCAATTCTCTCTAGAGTGGTCTAGGTAGGTTTAATGGAGAAGGTAACACTCAAGTGAAGATTTGAAGGGGTTAAGGAGTAACTGATACAGACATCTGAGGGAAGAGCATTCCAGGCAGAGGGAATAGCCATTACAGTCTTAAGGAGGGAGTGTGCCTATTGGGTAAGAGGAACAGCATGGAAACCAACATGGCAGGAGCCAAAAGAATAAGAGGGAAAGGAAGAAGAGATGAGGTTAGAGAAATAATGGGCCAGTTCATGTATATGGCCTTTTAGCTCTATAAGCAAAGATTAAATGAAATATTCACATTAAGTGCTTAGAACAGTAAAATCGTACATAGAAAACATTTAATAAATGGTATCTACATCTGTATTTACATGAAGATCTTCTGTTCCCTAAGCAGAGCTAGTCTGGAGGAGGTCAGGCTACAGGAACTGTAGCACCATTTATGTACTTTGGTGGGGTTAGAGAGTCCTTCAACATTTTTAGAAGTACAGAAATCAAACAGATCAAAGGCCTAGGTGATCCGCAGCAGCAAGCAGAGATGGTTAATTCTCTGCAGGTGCTCAGAAAACTGAACTAACTGAGGCATGCAAAGTCAACATAGCATCAATAAAAGACAGGGAAGGAGTGGGGTGTGGAGTGGGGTGGGCTTGGCTAAGGGCTGAAGCCAACAGGAGAGTCGTTAGCAACATAAGAGAGAAAGCAATGGAGCATGGAAGCATCACGTACAGCAGTCGAAACTCATTCTGATATCAATGCAACCGCAAAGTCATGATGAAAATGACTACAAACCACCGGGGAGTAAGCCAGGGAGCCCAGCAACATGAATGCACTCGTAGCGGGGAAAAACAAATTAAGAGATTCAGGCAAAACCATTCCCTTTCCTGGTGGAGGCTCTTTAATCTTTAACATCTCTCTCTTGACACTAGGCACAGATCTTGCCCCAACAAGACAAAGGATAACTTCTGAGAAGCTAATAATTCTCGTTTGGGTGAAGGACTCTTGAGGAGATGAGTGCCATGTATCTGCTGGACTAAAGATGTGTTCTCAGGCCGAGGCGGACAGATCACGAGGTCAGGAGATCGAGACCATCCTGGCTAACACAGTAAAACCCCGTCTCTACTAAAAAAATACAAAAAAATTAGCCAGGAGTGGTGACGGGCGCCTGTAGTCCCAGCTACTCGGGAGGCTGAGGCAGGAGAATGGCGTGAACCCGGGAGGCGGAGCTTGCAGTGAGCCGTGATTGCGCCACTGCACTCCAGCCTGGGCGGCAGAGCTAGACTCTGTCTCAAAAAAAAAAAAAAAAAGATGTGTTCTCTTGGTCATACTGTCTCACGCTGGGTGGATCAGGGCTAACCCACCTCCATGGCTTTCATGACTGAAGGGGCTTCAGGGCCCTGGAGTTGCAGACAGGAATGCAGTCTTTTTGGGAACTGGAGGCAGGCAAGAATATAATAAAGGCTAGATGAAGATACCCAGGCTGGGCTTTAAACTGCTTTAAATTGTGCCAGTTTCTTCTGGCAACTGCCCTAAGGAAAGCAAAGCCAGGCACCACCCAGTGGAAATCTGGAAGTGGGCATACTTTGTGGCATCAATTATGCCAGTTTGGCCAGGAAGTTTGTAGTACTTGGTCTCTATGACCCTGACCTAACCTACTCAATAAGGGGCAGTTTAGTCTGAGTCAGAAGAAATGAAGAGCGACTCGATATTGTGATCTTTGACTTAACGTATTCAATTTGTAATTAAGACCATTATTAAAATCAGTATAAGAAATCATGTCTTCTCATTCCATTCCTCAAACTCTCTGTCTGTCTGCCTTTACTATTTCCTGATAGTAACCATGGATATTTGCTTTAGAAGTTCTTAATTGCTACATTCTTAGCTACTTATTTAGTCAATATACTAAGTGTCAAAGGTATGCCAGGGACTGTGCTAGATTCTGGGGAAACAGCAAGGGATAAGACAGATAAAAATCCCTATTTTCATGGTACTTACATTCTAGTGTGTATGTGTGGAGGCAGTGGTTGGGGAGACAGAGAATAAAAAGTAACAAAGAAAGAAATACTTTTAGGAAGTGAGGAGAGCAATGACATAAATCAGGCAGGGTGGTGTGATACACAGTGACTGAGGGTGGGACCACATGAGATGGCTGTGCCAGGCTCATCTTTGAGAACGTACCATTTGAGCTGAGAACTCACCAGATGAGAATCAGCCAGCCATGCAATCTAGGGAAAGAAGGAAGGGCAAAGACCGGGAGATGGGAATCAGCAACAAGAGTGTTTTGCTTCCCGCCTCTCCATTCTGCACACAAATGCTATTTCTCTGTCTCTGGCATGTTGCAATCTAGCATGTTAAAGAAATTGCTCTATGATGCCTAGGAAGGGAATAATATTAAATGAAACAGAATTCCAAGCCTTACCAATTACTGGAGCTACATACTGCCATGGGGGAGGGTGGGGACACTGAGGAAAGATAAGGCAAGGGCTGTGGAAGCTGCCCCAGGCTGCCCCATTTCACTACTGTGGTTAACTGGCAAAGGAGTCCATGCAAATGAGTGCAGGATGTCCAAATCGCAGCACTGTTTCACACATCATCATTTCAAGTCACCGACTGACAGGATTTAGCACTCTGTGTCTGGCAGCAACCAGCAGTGAAGCAGAGAGAATTCCACTGGATTATCCAAAGCATCTGACCCGCAAATGAGGAGTGAGCAGAACATTTTTAAAAAACAACTCTTGAGTGGTTCAGTGAGCCAATTTGACATCGAAGAGAGACACACAAACATCCAGCCACCTCTGAGGCAAAAGGTCAATTTCTTCTGCTTGTCCTCGGTCCTCAGAATCCAAGTTACTGATGTGAGCTCTGTCCCTCATTTTCCTAGCCAAAGGGGTAGATGTGAAGCACAGACAGGCCAGATACAGTGTTCTGGGACAACACACCATTGTCTGAATCCAGAGAGCATCATGGCTACAGTGGACGAGAGTAGGCTCAGTGGGAGAGGCTCAGGGAACATCAGAAGTGCAGGGCCTGTCTTTTGAAGATAAAGTCTGGCTAGATCAGCTTTTCAGTGAAAGAAGCCAAAGTCTGCAGCCAGATCTTCATTTTTGGTGAGCCCATCACAGATTCCAGGTTTAGGATGAGGGGCTAGAATGAAGGGAAAAGGCCAATTATCACCCTATAAGAAGTAGATAGGCTAGGGGCGGTGGCTCACGCCTGTAATCCCAGCACTTTGGGAGGGTGAGGTGGGCGAATCACTTGAGGTCAGGAGTTCAAGACAAGCCTGACCAACATGGTGAAACCCTGTCTCTACTAAAAATACAAAAATTAGTCAGGCATGGTGGCCGGCGCCTGTAATCCCAGTTACTCAGGAGGCTGAGGTAAGAGAATCGCTTGAACCCAAGAGGCCGAGGTTGCAGTGAGCTGAGATTGTGCCACTGTACTCCAGCCTGGGCGACGCAGTGAGACTCCATCTCAAAAAAAAAAAAAAAAAAAAGTAGATAGTACTGAACTGTCCCACCCTTGTGGGTTTCTGAACTTTCTAATTCTCCAATCAAGTCCTGAGACCCTCCTGCTCCCCATCCTTCTCTCCTCCAAGCTCTTCTCACACAGCTGTGAGGTAAGATTTACTAGATGGAATGTGTTTGCAAAATCTGTTTTGTTCACTGTAACATGTTTATCAAAAAAGAAAAAAAAAAGCCTGTCCCTTCTCACTATTTAGTTTTTGGTGACTGCCTTTTGGGATCTGGAACTGGATAAACAGATGGACTTCACAGAAGAAATCAGGCGAAGCGCCAGGGTGTGTATATATATCTTAGTCTCACTGTATATACGGCAGATAGCCCTCGTGCAAACAGCTGTGCTGGTTTTGGAGGAAAGTGAGGGGACAGTGTCTCCTGGATGACAGTGCTCCCATTGCTCCAAGGTGTACCTCCCTGTGGTGCTTTGGGCTATAGGATGCCAGACAGATTCTAGAGTTCTAACCTCAGATATATGACCCTGATTTCATTTTCTGGCCTCTAGTTGTGGTAATTAAGGGTTGTGCCAGATCCCAAACTATTGCTAATTATTCATACTGGGTTTGCTATAAACGAGTGCTGAGTATTTGCACTGTGTATAGTGATGAGTACCTTTGCAATATACTGGATGCCTCTATTAAGGGGATGCCCAGGAGGGGTATGGTTTTGAGCGTCTGTGTGTGTGTGCGCACATGCGCACATGCAGAAGTTGTGGAAGGCCTGGACTACTGTATTTGCCTGGCCACAGAGAAGTATCACTGCCAGGGGAACAAGGTACAGTGATTCCTCATGTGCAGCACGCTGCTGCCCCAAGGGAACTGGGGGGGAATTGTACCGAGCAGTTTCCCCCTAATTTTTTTTTGCCACCTTGTCCAGTATAAATCTCTATTGCAGGGGTGGAGGTGGAGGAAGTAATTCTTTCTTAATTCAATGTGCTTCAATTCCCAGATATGAACAAACTTCAGAACATTTTAGGAGAATCTTCTAATAGAAAAAACATATTCATTTGCTTCACAGAGTAGGTTTCAGGTGGATGTCTCCTTCTCTCCTGGACAAACTCCTTGAAAAAAAACCATGAAAATAAAAGGCAATACTGTCCAAACAGGAAACTGGTGCCAAATAGAGGCAAAAAACCAAAGCAAAACAACTCCCTGAGATAGAGTGGACTGCATTCATTAGGTTCAGGTAGCTCAAAAGACAAGAACATTAAATAATTAGACTCCAACAGATCAAGGTGCTGTAGGTAATGGGACCTCATAAGGACAGAACAAAAGATCCTGTTTCTAACAAAGGTTCTACAGACCTTTATACTACAGTGAGCAATGAGTGAGAGGGATGCTGCCCAGGAAATGAAAGGACTCAATCGTTCCTCTTCAGTGAGCGGAGCCCAGGAGGAGTGTTCCAGGGCGCTCTCACAAACACTCTTTAATAATACCATCCAGAGCCTTTGATTCAAGGAACATGCTGAAGAATAAACAGCCTATTAATCTGAGTTTTCTGGTGTGCCTGAGTATACAAAGCAGCAATGAACTAACCCCTTGGCTCTTGCAAACATCCCGACTGCACACCATCCGCTGCTCCACTACACAGCTCAGCCCCTCCTTCCCCTGCATGCAATTTGCCCCTGGAAAAGCTTCAAGGTTTGGGGGTCCTGATGGTTTCATCTAAGGATGCTCAGGCCAAACCCAGGGTGCAAAGAACGGGAAACAGCGTATCCTTGTTTGGCCATAAGAAGGCACAGCCATGTGACCAGGCTCAAATGAGAACTGTGTGGTAGTGTGAGTGGGTAAGGAGACAAAGTCATCAGTCTGCCTCTTTCTGAGCCAAGTTGACAGCCACAGGCCTGGGAAAGGAAGGCCCAGTTTCAATTGCTTCCTAGTCTTGGTTACCTTGGTGGCAGGAAGGGCTCCTGCATGGGTGGGCTTTGGGTACCATTCTGTGGAAACATTCCTGGGCATTTTGCCTAGGTAAAAATTACCAAGTAAGGTCCCTGAGTTTTCTTTCTTTCTTTCATGTTCTTTTCTTTTCTTTTTTTTTTTTGAGATAGGGTCTTGCTCTATCACCCAGGCTGGAGTGCAGTGGTGTGATCTTGGCTCACTGCAACCTCTCCCTCCTGGGTTCAAGCAATTTTTGTGTCTCAGCTTCCCGTGTACCTGGGACTACAGGTGCGTGTCACCACGCCTGGCTAATTTTTGTATTTTTAGTAGAGACGGGGTTTTGCCATGTTAGCCAGGCAGGTCTTGAACTCCTGGCCTCAAGTGATCCGCCTGTCTTGGCCTAGGTCCCTGAATTTTCAAGGAGAAAAATAGAAGAAAGAGAAATAGCTGTTTCACTTTCATCCTTTCACTAGAAGTCCTTCTTTACAAACAATCAGGTGTAGCTTTTGTGATAACAACAATTTGATCGGTTCTCCTTCCCACCCCTAAGACAAAGTACAATGATAGTACTTTAAGTAATAAACCAGGCGTTCAGTTGTTGAAACAATGTAATTGAGGCTAAGATCATAGGCTCAAATCAGCCATGGGAGCGGTTTCCCTGTGTTCCATGGTCACTGACCTCATGCAAGGTGTGTGCTTAATCATAAAAGGAACTAGTGTGACAAGGTGGATAAATCAGTATCATGGCTATCAACACAGACTGGGTCATGCATACACACACATATTCTCAAAGCCTAATCCCTCTGACCCCAAATTTATATATCAAGGAAAACATATTTAATGAAAGTTTCCTTTCTAAAAATAATTTCAAAGAGGCACTTTGACTTAAAAAAATTAATTCTAAAGCCTTCTGATTCTACTTCCAGGGAACTACTTTGTGTTTAGTCCCTTGAAACTGGAGGACACACATCTTTGACGAAAAGGAGCAGCACAAAAGCTTGCATTTTATGTGCTTGGCTCTGAGATGATACCACAGAGGGTAGGAAGTAAGAGCATGGGCTCTGCAGTTAGACAGATCGAAATCTGAGCTCCTCTTCTGCCACTTGCTGATGTGTGATCTTAGACCCATGACATCAAATCAGTGAGTTTCAACTTCCTCATCTGTAAAATGGGAATACCTTCATGGGATTATTGTGAGGATTATATAACAAAAATGTTTAGTACCATGCCTAGGACACAGTAAGTGTTCAATAAATGATAGCTGTACTTACTGTTTCTTTTAATTAAAAAAAAATTTTTTTTTCAGAGACAGAGTCTCTGTCTGTTGCCCATGCTGGAGTACAGTTGTATGATCATGGCTCACCGTGGCCTCAAACTCCTAGGCTCACGTGATCCTCCCACCTCAGCCTCCTGAGTAGCTGGGAATACAGGCTACCACGCCCAACTACTTTTAAAATTTTTATTTATTTATTGTTTTTGAGAGAGGTCTCCCTATATTGCCCAGGCTAGTCTGGAACCCCTCACTTTAAGTGATCCCCTCACATCTGCTTCCCAAAGTGTAGGGATTACAGGCATGAGCCACCATGCCTGGCCCTTGTTACTCTTTGAATCCTCTAAATAATAGGCACAGGGACTTAACTGGTGGCTGGCAGGCACATGAGCTACATGAAATGGGAGTTTCTTCATTCCTTACCAAGCTGGGCTTAGATCCTCAAACCATCCTTCACTACACTGGAAACAAGTGTTTGGGTTATCTGGGGTAACTGATGGAAGGGCAATGAGAGATCAAACCCTGGTACTCTGGAACTTCATTTTGATTTGGGAACTGCAGGTTGACCTGGAGAATTCCCACCCCAGATTCTGGCTTAGCAGATATAGCCTTTTCCTAGGCTTCCACCTGTTGAGACAAACAGATGTAAACTGAACACAAGAGGGGTTTGCAAGCACAGATCTGGTATCAGACTGCCTTACCCTGCAGCATTCCTGGGGTCATAAAATGACAAACATTTCAACACGCTGGATCTAACCCTTCCTGCCCTGTAACTGGGGCCTTATGAAACTGCTTCTTGTGATTAGAGCCATTGGTACCTCATACCAAGGCTGTGAGGTGGACTTCATTAATATTGATGAGCTGCAGCTCGTTAACCTCATTTGATGTTTATTTACAACCATTCTTCTCATATGCTAATGAATGACACTGGGCTCTTCAGATAGAAAGGAAAGAACTGGACCCTCTCTGCCAGCATCTCCTTGGCAAACTGCTGTCCCTTGAAACAGAAGTTTGCACAGAGGGAATGAAGCCAAATGTAGGGAATGCAGCAGAGAGGACAAAATGATGTGAAAAGAATGTCTGCAATGTAATGGGGGAGAGAGAAGCCCAGCTGCTGGGGCCACAGTGTGACTGAGGTTTGGTTACACCCACCCAGTGGCTAACAAAGAGAAGCTGAAGGGCGGGGAACTGAGGAACTAAGAAAAGGACAATGTGTTAGATTTTGAAATTGGAGTATTGGGGGTGGAGATGAGTGGGCCCCATGGGTGTCAGGGAGCTTGAAGGCCTCTCTAGGATTCATTCCACTTTCTTCTGTGATCTTAAGAAATCAATCGGCAGGGAATTGGGGTGGATTTCTTTAAGGCAGTAAAATACCCATAGCAATGAATG
Organism: Homo sapiens; assembly: GCF_000001405.40. Taxonomy (NCBI): domain Eukaryota; kingdom Metazoa; phylum Chordata; class Mammalia; order Primates; family Hominidae; genus Homo; species Homo sapiens. Next base: position 47,104,146 of record NC_000011.10, on the reverse strand, counting down.
CTTATCAAATGCTTGGCTTGGAGAAGAGTGCTCATTGTCGCACCATGAAATGGGTAAGTAGGGAGAAATAATCTCTGATTCTCTTTCCTCAAAGTTATAGGTTTGTATATTAAAGAATAGGATGATTAAGCAAGGAAGAGTCAGAGACTGAGGAAAAAATATATCTTTAAATATGGCCATTATCAGGCACAGTCGCTCATGCCTGTAATCCCAGCACTTTGGGAGGCCAAGGAGGGAGGATCACTTGAGCTCAGCAGTTTGAGATCCTGGGCAACATAGTGAGACCCCATTAATTAAAAAAAAAATTAGCAGGGCGTGGTAACACATACCTGTGGTCCCAGCTACTCAGGAGGCTGAAGCACAAGAATCGCATGAACTCAGGAGGCAGAGGTTACAGTGAGCTGAGATAGCACCACTTTACTCCAGCCTAGGCAAGAGTGAGACCCTGTCTCAAAAAAAAAAAAAAAAAAAAAAAAGGCCATTCTATTGTTTCAGGGCTGCTAAGCAAAACACAGGTCCCTTCCAAATTCCCCAGTATGTAGCAAGTCAATTTTGGATCATTCCATCCATTCTGAGTGTTTGAAAGAACTAATAAGACATATGAGAAAGGTGGAAGGAAGAATATGTTGGATATATGAAAGTTTATTAATACCAGCAGCAAGAGCAAACTTAAAATTTCTTAAGTACTTCAGTGTCAATTCCCATCAATTTTCTTGACTTTGATTCTGTACATTTTTTTTTTTTTTTGAGACAGGGTCTTGCTTTGTTGCCCAGGCCAGAGTGCAGTGGCATGATCTCAGCTCACTGCAACCCCCACCTCCCAGGCTCAAGCAATCCTCCCACCTCAGCCTCCAGAGTAGCTGGAACTACAGGTATGTGCCACCACACCAGGATAATTTTTTTGTATTTTTTGTAGAGATGAGGTCTCACTATGTTGCCCAGGCTGGTCTTGAACTCCAGGGCTCAAGCGATCCTCCCACCTTGGCCTCCCAAAGTGCTGGGATTATAGGCATAAGCCACCACACCCTGCCGATGCTGTACACTTTACATTACTATTTAGTCAATTATTCCCTTCCTGCCTTTGGGGCCACACTCTCTCCAAAGTATGCCTTTGGGGCCACACTTTCTCCCAATCTGGCTTTTTTTTTTTTTTTTTTCTGTGAGGCACTTTGAAGATCATTCCTACCCTTGATGTGCCTTTCTGTAAGGCTAAAGAGGCAAGAGAAAAAAGAAACCTCTTACCTTAAAGGCTTAACCACATTTTAAAGTGCAAAGTATTGGTTCTAACAAGTAGATGTTTGTTACGTTTGTTTGTCTGAAATCATTACCCCTTAGGGTATACATTTCATTTCGTTCAAGTTTTCTATGAACTCAGTTCCTCTCAGACTGAAGGAATAATCAATAGCAAGCTGTTTCGACCTGACAATGTGCAGCTTGCCCATGCTTAGGGACAAACACAGCTGAAAGAGTAATTGACAGTTATATGCACATTCTAGACTTGAGAAAAGTTTCTCAGTCTTTTTTTCATTATCACCCCCTAGCTTTTTAGACCTTTTTTCTATTTGTCCACTCCCCATGAAATTTTGATATCATGAACATATTATCTATCTATATATTTTTTAAGGGTCACAAACCATTATAATATCTAATTTTTTTTTTTGCCTCCCAAAGAACCAATTTTTGCCCCCTTGGAGGCAATATTGCCTCAATTGAGAAGGCATATTCTAGAGGCTTTTTAAAAGAAGTATATCATCTGATTTACTGTGTTCAGGATTGAACCTAACATTCTCCCAAAGTGAACCATCAAACACAATTACACTTCTGTTCTAATTTTTTTTTTAAAGAAAGAAAGAAAAAAAAGACATCTTTGTGCCTATCTAGTTAGTAATAGTTATTCCAAAAAAGAGATCAAAATCCTTTTTTTCACACTGGACCTGATCTATCCACAGAATAAATGGCTTACTTTTTGGCAGTAGATTAGCTTTTTACAATAATCCTATTTGAGTGCCAGAGAGGTAATAGATTGTTAAGCCCCTTAGGGACCCCCAAATCATTCTCCTAAAAGTCAACAATATATTCCCTTGCAAGAGGAGAATTACGTTCATTATTTCATTAAGTATCTCTCAAACTCCAGAGGACGGTAGTGATTGGTGTCACTATTCCCCTTTTACAAGCAGAGAAATGATCATATTGAGAGGTTAGATAGCTAAATTTAGGTCATTGGCACTGATGTTTCTTCATATAAATATCTTCTCTGTCAAAAAAGGTCACTCTGAGGATTTCTAGACCTGATGTCTTCTGATTCCTACTTTAATCTAGGATCACGGACCTCTAAGAAAAATTTATAAAGGCTGTTTTGCTTCTGCCAACCCCGTCTCTCCATCTGACAGGACAAAAGCAAAGGAAGGTGCTAATAGAGTCTCTAAGAATTGACTGATAGGAAGAGAACTCGGGCTATTGTTCTAAAGGTTACTGTTTCATGAGCAAATGGCTTTAGGTGGCAGCAAAGAATGCTGTATAGGAGGTATGCAAGTTTTTTTTTTTTCTAAGATGAATATCACTATCTTTGCAGGGTTCCGATGACAGGCTATTAAATTATGATATGCTCCTGAGAAGATGCAAAGACCTAAATGAAGACCTCCCACAAACAGTCTTCAAGTAACATGGGAAATTCATATTTTATTTTGTAGTCATGGGAACTAACCACATCTTAAAACTATCCATACTTGAAACTCACCATAAGTCAGTGAGAATTAGAGGTTGGCAAGTCAAATAAAAAATACTACCTAAAAGGGCTCTTCTCTGTAAACTACCCTCAGGCTCTTTTGATTCTCTCAATTAAATCAATGTTAAAATTCCCTTGGAATAGAGGCTGAGGTGGGCGGATCACCTGAGTTCAGGAGTTCAAGACCAGCCTGACCAACATGGTGAAACCCCATCTCTACTAAAAATAAAATAAAAAAAAAAAAAAAAAAAAAAAAATTAGCCGGTGTGGTGGCAGGCACCTGTAATCCCAGCTATTCAGAAGGCTGAGGTAGAAGAATTGCTTGAACCCAGAAGGTGGAAGTTGCAGCGAGCCAAGATTATACCACTGCACTCCTACCTGGGTGACAGAGCAAGACTCTGTCTAAAAAAAAAAAAAAATTCCCTCAGAATAAAATACGACTTATTTATTCTAAAGAGTGACTTCAAGAAATAACTTGTTATCTCATGCTGTCAAGAAGGTCTGCACCTAATCCATTCCTTATGAAAATCTATTCTATTAAAAACAAAAGCAAAGAATTTCAGAGAAGGTTATACTGTAATACTGCTTAGGAACCCAGTACTGAATAACACTATCTCTTTTGTTTGTTTTTTGAGACAGGGTCTCCCTCTGTCGCCCATGCTGGAGTACAGTGGCACAATGTCGGCTCACTGCAACATCTGCCTCTGGGTTTAAGCGATTCTTGTGCCTCAGCCTCCCAAGGAGCTGGGACTACAGGCATATGCCACCATGCCAGGCTAATTTTTGTATTTTTAGTAGAAATAGGGTTTTGCCACGTTGGTCAGGCTGGTCTTGAACTCCTGGTCTCAAGCAATCCACTGCCTCGGCCTCCCAAAGTGCTAGGATTACAGGCATGCGCCACCACACCTGGCTTGAATAACATTATTGCTAACAAATTTGCCCTTATGTGTGACATAAATTTTTCCTACAGCAATGGAAGTTCATTTCCTTTTTGTCTGAAGAGACAGATGTAGGCTGATGATGGGTTAAAGGGCTTAACTTTGTTTCATAATGTCCAGATCCAAAAGATGTACCCCAGATCAATCTAAACATATTAAGGGGAATATAAAAGTATATACATTTAGCTCAACTAGCTTCTGATAGAGAAATGTTAGAAAAGCAGCCAGTGGCTTCCTTTGCTGTAAACAGGGAATAAATTTGAGGGAGGGCAAAAAAAAATCTTCATATCTTGCCTCAAAGAAGATGAAACTATAATTTTTCTGTACTAAAATAGAAACTAGAAGATACAAGGTATAGAAATCTAAAAGGTGACTCATGTTATAGAAGAGGCATTTAAATGAAAAAATGTTTCTTATTGGATCCTATAAAATAGGAAAGCATGGTGTGGTGGGCAGTGGCAAATCCTTTAAAGTCTTGAACATCAGAGCAAGGGAACTAAAGTGAAAATACAAATTGGAATAGGTAAGGAGAGAAAGAGAGTCCTATAAAAAACCCATTCATACTGCTTGCGGCAACTGTCAATGAATTGGAAAGGGCAGTGAGGAGAAATGAGTATCACTGTGTTCCAATACTGATTTGCTAATTTCAGCAGCATTTGTCTATCTTGTTCTACCAACATAACTAGTCAAAGAAACAATCCTAAATACAGGAAAAGGCTAATCTTTTTCATTGGCAGGTGACCAAAGAAAACACTTTCTCCAATGAGCAGTGTAATAAGGCAATACAAACAGGACTGCACTTATCAAACATTTTTATCTGAAGTGCTCAAAACATTTGTCAATATTATACCCAGTTCAACTTCCCCTTCACTAGCTTCTTCACAGCTTTGAGAGGAAAAGCAAGCTTTTTATAAGAAAGACGTCTCCTCTGCATATTGGTATAAATCTGAATACAACTTTAGGAAAAGAACTTCCCAAAGAGGTTGTGGGTGGGGGTCCCTAGGAGTCTCCAGGGTGACAGATCCTCCAACCACTCTGGTAAAGGCTTTGTTTCACCACATCAAAGGCAGTGGGGCAAAGTTTCTCTTAGCAGCCATGGATGCTGCCAAGAAGAGCGAGTCTTCATTTGTGCCAGGGACTAAATGGGAAAATTCAGAAGGAAGAGTAAGAAGGCATTTTCCCTTCCAGATTTAAGTAGGGAAACAGACCCACTGAGTCATGAATCCTTTTTTCCAGAGGTAGTATCATTATTTAGGTTTTATGCTCAATGAATAGTTGTATGGAAAGTTAAGTGTTTAAGATAAATAATTCGCTCAAAGTTACAAAGCAGATTTGTGACAGAGAGGGTTATAGAATCCAGGGGTCAACTTTAAACAGTTAGATCTAAGTTTTCAGAAGCGCTTTTAGAGGTTTGAGAGTTAGAAGAAATCTGATTACTTTTTTTTTTAATGGAGAACAGGAATGGGTAGCAAGACCCGTCAGTCCCATGGTTTATCACAATACTGTGGTCCAACCTCAGGGCACAGAAATAAAACACAATTTTACAATTAGGGAGTTAAGTAACAGGTGGTACTTTTTGTTCCATAGCTTTTCACAAAACACATAATTAGGTGCTGCCATACTATATTACTGATGGATCAGATTTACACAGACCGTGAAAGTGGTAAGCATGTCATGGAGAATGGCTTTATAAATTTATGGAAAATTGTTTAAAATGAACAAAACAAGCTGAGGCGGGCAGAGCACCTGAGGTCAGGAGTTAGAGACCAGCCTGGCCAATATGGTGAAACCTCATCTCTACTAAAAATACAAAAATTAGCTGTGGTAGCAGACACCTGTAATCCCAGCTACGCAGGAGGCTGAGGCAGGAGAATCACTTGAACCCAAGAGGCAGAGGCTGCAGTGTGCCGAGATCCCGCCACTGCACTCCACCCTGGGCAACAGAGCGAAACTCCATCTCCAAAAAAAAAAAAAAAGAAAAAAGAAAACAATCATTTCTTTTGTTCTACATTCCAAGTGGTAGGTCTTTCCTAAGCCTCTGGCACAGATATCTGAAGCCCTGCTCTAGACAAGATGAAGAGGCCTTCTCCCCAGAGTAGTATGCTGGACACTGAAGGAGCTCCCTGCTTTATTTTTTTTTATTTTTTATTTATTTATTTTTTTTTTAAATTTATTTTTTTATTGATAATTCTTGGGTGTTTCTCACAGAGGGGGATTTGGCAGGGTCATGGGACAATAGTGGAGGGAAGGTCAGCAGATAAACAAGTGAACAAAGGTCTCTGGTTTTCCTAGGCAGAGGACCCTGCGGCCTTCCGCAGTGTTTGTGTCCCTGATTACTTGAGATTAGGGATTGGTGATGACTCTTAACGAGCATGCTGCCTTCAAGCATCTGTTTAACAAAGCACATCTTGCACCGCCCTTAATCCATTTAACCCTGAGTGGACACAGCACATGTTTCAGAGAGCACAGGGTTGGGGGTAAGGTCACAGATCAACAGGATCCCAAGGCAGAGGAATTTTTCTTAGTGCAGAACAAAATGAAAAGTCTCCCATGTCTACTTCTTTCTACACAGACACGGCAACCATCCGATTTCTCAATCTTTTCCCCACCTTTCCCGCCTTTCTATTCCACAAAGCCGCCATTGTCATCCTGGCCCGTTCTCAATGAGCTGTTGGGTACACCTCCCAGACGGGGTGGTGGCCGGGCAGAGGGGCTCCTCACTTCCCAGTAGGGGCGGCCGGGCAGAGGCGCCCCTCACCTCCCGGACGGGGCGGCTGGCCAGGCAGGGGGGCCGACCCCCCCCCACCTCCCTCCCGGACGGGGCGGCTGGCCGGGCGGGGGGCCGACCCCCCCACCTCCCTCCCGGACGGGGCGGCTGGCCGGGCGGAGGGCTGACCCCCCCACCTCCCTCCCGGACGGGGCGGCTGGCCGGGCAGAGGGGCTCCTCACTTCCCAGTAGGGGCGGCCGGGCAGAGGCGCCCCTCACCTCCCGGACGGGGCGGCTGGCCGGGCAGGGGGGCCGACCCCCCCCCACCTCCCTCCCGGACGGGGCGGCTGGCCGGGCAGAGGGGCTCCTCACTTCCCAGTAGGGGCGGCCGGGCAGAGGCGCCCCTCACCTCCCAGACGGGGCGGCTGGCCGGGCGGAGGGCTGACCCCCCCACCTCCCTCCCGGACGGGGCGGCTGGCTGGGCGGGGGGCTGACCCCCCCACCTCCCTCCCGGACGGGGCGGCTGGCCGGGCAGAGGGGCTCCTCACTTCCCAGTAGGGGCGGCTGGGCAGAGGCGCCCCTCACCTCCCAGACGGGGCGGCTGGCCGGGCGGAGGGCTGACACCCCCACCTCCCTCCCGGACGGGGCGGCTGGCCAGGCGGGGGGCTGACCCCCCTACCTCCCTCCCGGACGGGGCGGCTGGCCGGGTGGGGGGGCTGACCCCCCATCTCCCTCCCGGACGGGGTGGCTGGCCGGGCTGAGAGGAGCTCCCTGCTTTATTAGGAGATCTGGAAGGAGCCAAAAGGGCTATCGTTAAGTACTCAATCTTGTGGACAGAGGATCTGAAACTTCAAATTTGCTATGGCTTGAAGTAGATGCATTTTATAAAAAGAAACTAAAAAGTGCTAATTCTTCTGCTTTTGAACTTTGGAAACATTTTGATAGTAACTTTTTTTTTTTTTTTTCTGCTGGGCCTTAACATTGCAGAAATTGTTTAGAATGACATAATTGAGAGGAGATTTTCAGAAACATACTTATTAATTTTCATGAGAAAATCAGATTGAATATCACCAACTAGTCAGTAACAATTTCAAATGAATAATTTCATAGGTGAACACACAGGTCATGATAAAAACAATTAGAATAAAAGGAGTCTGTATGATTCCATGGAACCAAAGTTTAAAAACACAGTTTTCTATTGCTTGAGATAAATCCAGTAAATCCGAATGTGACCTTGACTTGTCAGGTCAAGACACCAATTAATGTTTGCTCCCCTTCACTCCGACCCATGCCTCCAGGCAAGAAAGCAATTAAGCTTTTGTTAAAAATCAATTATCTCTTCACTTATATGAGGGACCTAGAACAGGCAAATTCAGAGGGACAGAAAGTGTTATAGAGGTTACCAGGGCCTGGGAGGGAAAGGAGCAGGGAATGAGGAGTTATTGTTTAATGGGTACGGTTTCAGTTTAGGATGATGAAAAAGTTCTGGAAATGCGTGGTGATGGTTGTACTTAATACCATTGAATTGTATATTTAAAAATGGTGAAAATGGTAAGTTCTATATTACATATATTTTACTACAATAAAAAAATTGGTGTCTTATTTTTAAAAATTCAGAAAAAGGTTCTTCAATCATTCCTTTACAAAATAATGTGGACCTAAGCAGTTCCCCAAATTAGTCTGTTCACCAGAATCCCTTGGTGTGCTTATTAGAGTTACAGATTCTCTGGCCATACCCCAGACTGGCTATTTGGTTTCTTGTTAGTCTGGCCCTTTTATGTATCTATCTCTGTAACAGGAGATAGGGTACCCTTAGTTGTTATGTAGTTTTTTAGCTTAACCAAGGGTCAAATTGAAAACAGCTTGGCCTCTGTCCATCTACAATTACTCGAAACTGAAGCCATGAAAATGCAAAAAAAATCAGGTTTTGCAATGGTACTCTCAATGTCCATAACACTACTGCTCTTCTACAGTGTTATTTCTGTTTCTCCAGGACATTACTCCTTGGGAACTGTTCTGCAATAAATAAAATAGGCAAATAATAACATAGTTGAAAAGCGCTAGGAATTTGTACTTGTTAGAGGTGATACCAGGCTTCATTTTTGGCTCAAATAAGATATGGGAATTTTGTATATGGCAGGTGATGAAAAAGTGCTGGAACACCCAAGACATCAAAAATAGAAAATAAAAAATTCTGTATGACTCAAAGGTTAGTTTGGTAGAGATTTTCCTTCAATTGGAAGCTAAAACATATATTACAACACCCTGGCAGGACTGCTTTTAATGATCTGTAAGCTTCAATGAAGCAACTATCATTTAAGGCTTTGAAGGGAAAGAAAAAAAGGGTGTTTCAAGTCCCTCAAACAATTTATTGCTCCAGTATTTCTAATAATCATGTGAGTATTTTTCCTTTTGACTGGAGAGCAAAGGAAAAAGGAAACCTGTAGGAACTGGAGTTGGACAAGAGAACAAAGTTCATAAATGAAATCCTGTCTAATACTAGCAACTGAAACAAGACTCACCCCTCATGTCCTTTGAAAACTGGCCCAGCTCAGTCCCATTTTTCCCCTTCATTGATTTTTAAGCGTCACAAATGGCTCTTCAGGCTGAACTAAAAAATCATGGAAAGTTCTTTCAGGAAAAAGATGCAATGATTACTGTACTTCTCCTGGGCCATGCCATTGCTAGGCCATTTCCCCTCAGAAATTTATTTCTCTAACTAGAGTGATGAGCTGAAAAGAAGCAATTTTTAAGTCAAATCAGTAAAATAAAAATATCTCCAAATAACACAACAGTTTTATTTCTGTGAGAATAACTCTTCCTTTATTCCAAAATGAAATGGTTAAAAGATGACCTTTCATAATCTATAAAACTGAGGCTTAGAATGGACTTTACAAGTTACCTAATTAATTCAGCTCTTCTTTCTCATCTTGTGCCTCCATTTCTTCTTAAACATCTTTGTTCATTGTCCAGAACAGCACTATACAACAGAACTTTCTGTGATGATGGCAATGTTTGTTATTCTGCACTAATATGGCAGCAGCCACTAGCCATATGTGGCTTGTGAGCACTTTGAAACGTGACTAATGTGACTAAATAACTGAATTGTATTTGTATTTAATTTCTTAAAAATTAGCTTTATTGAGGTTTAACTGACATACAAAAAACTATACATATTTAATATGTACAATTTGATGAGCTTGGATATATGCATAAAATGGTGAAATCACCGCTACCATCAAGATAACAGGCATATCCACATCCTCAAAAGTTTCTCTCTCTCTCTCTCTCTCTCTGTGTGTGGTAAGAATGATTGACATGAGATCTACCCTCTTAATAAATTGTTAGGTTCCTAATTTTGTTAGTTATAAGCATTATGCTATAGAGCAGGTCTTTAGAATTGATTCATCTTGCATAACTGTAACTTTACACCAATTGAACAACAATACCCAGTTTCTCCCTTCCCCAATCCCTGGAAACCACCATCCTATCCTCTGCCTTTATAACTGTATTTAATTTTAATTACTTTAAATTTAAATAGCCATAGGAGGCTAGTGGCTACATATTGGAGAGCACATGTCTAGTACCTGCTTTATTATCTCTAATGACAGAAAATCCATTTCCTCCCAAGCAGCTCTTTCTATTTATAGATAATTCTAATTGTTAAGAACATTTCTTCTTACATTGTGAAAATTGTCTTCCTGGTAACTTCCACCGGCTGGACCTAATTCTGTTTTCTGGGACCACACAGAATAAGTAAGCTCAGGTCACATGCTACATCATCAAGTATTTGAAACCAGTAAGCATGTATTCCATTTACTTTTCTATGAGTTTAACATCCCTGGTTCCTTCAACTGTTCTTCATCATTTGGTTTCAAATCCCTTTTCTAGTAAGACATGTTTTAGTTAGTCAATGTTAATAATGATGAAAACAACAACTAACATTTATCAAGAAGCTATTAAGTGCCAGGCACCATGTGAGACAATTCTCATGCATTATCTCGCTTAAGTCCCTTCCCAACCTATGAGGCTGTACTGTTATTTGCCATGACCTTACTACTGGGGAAACTCAGGCTCTGAGAGCTTAAGGAACTTACCCAAGACCAAGCAGCAAAAAAGTATACAAACTGGGACTCAAACCTATGTCTGGTGGCTCAAAAACCACTGCTCTTGACCATTACGCTATGTTGCCTCTCTTGTGAAAGCACAGAGCCCCTACCCTCAAAAAACTTACTTAAGTATTGTTTGTTCATCATGGAATGTAAGCTCCATGTGGCCGAAGACTTTGTGGTGCTCAATTCTAAATATCCAGCACCAAAACAGTGCCTGGCACACAAGGTACTCAATAAATATTTGTTGAATGAAAGAATGAATAAATAGAGCAAGACAATCACCTTCTTCATTATAGCCTCTGTTCTTATTGTATTAAGTCTAAAGCTAATTTAGCATCTTGCCAGTCACATCACAGTTGCCCAAACTCAGCTTAAGTCTCTTGCAGTTTTGCTGTTAAAGTGCCTGCTATCATGCCTTTTAATCTTGACCAACTTAGGTATTTTTTAAAACTCAATTCTTATTTATATTTATTACACTTATATCTCCCCACTGATTTGTAAAATGAGCCCTTTGCTCAAGCCTGAAACACGTATATGTGTAACACAATACGTGTAATGCAGAGGTAAGAGTTACACACAAACAACAACAGATTAGATTCTCAGGACCCTTGGCATCCTCTAAATCACCTTTCATGACACTCATTGTACTTGTATTACTTATTCATTCATCTAGTTATTAAACAAATATTTACAAAGTGCTAGGCAGCATTCTCAATGCTAAGGACATGGCAATTAACAGAGACGAAAATCCCTGCCCCTGTAAAATGTACATTCTAGTGTGGGAGGGTCAGGAAAACACAAAGAAGTCAGTATCATGAAAACAAAATTGTAAGGGGTCTGTTCCAGATTAAAAGAAACTAAAGAGACATTACCAAGTGCAATGTGTAAACCCTGACTGGATGCTGGGTCAGAAAACAAACAGCTATTAATAATGTTTAGGAACAATTGGGGAAATTGTAATTTGCACTGGACTGGATGTTAGGTGATGTTATAAAATTAGTGTTATTTTCTCAAATGACATTGGAGTTATGCAGGAGAAGAGGAGAAAGTCCTTACTCTTAGGAGATGAGGGATGTGAGGGGTAAGATGTCATGATTCCCATAACTTAGTTTCAAGTTATCTATCTGTTGTTCACAAATATGGTGACATATTAGTTAGCATTTGGTGAAGGGCAGACAAGTGCCTTCATACTATTCTCATAATTCTCTTATAGGTTTCAACAAATCTCCAAATAAAGAGTGGTGGGAATGGGGGAAACCTACTGCATTCCTAGTCAGAGATGTGGGTTATGATTAACTGGTGTGACTCTCGTTATGGTGGACATTTTTCTACAAGTTTATTGATCATTCATATTGAAAAGATTTCCTTTCATTATATACTTGACAACATTCGTCCCATAATTTTCCCTTTTACAGCCATTGGAAAGGCTGGGATATGGGATAGCCATAGGATTGGATATTATTTTAAAATAAAATACCTCTTTTTTAGACTTTATCTGAAACAATGCTTTTACGAATATGTTATTTACACACTCTACAGTTGCATTCTGGAAGTAATAAACAGTTACAAAATGTAGGAAAAATACAAGGAGAAAGTATAATGCAAATAAGTCCTGAAGCCAGTAATATGGGATATGTATTCAATTCCTATGGTTGCTATAAAATATTACTACAATTTGGTAGCTTAAAACAACAGAAATTTATTCTCTTAGAGTTCTGGATGCCAGAAGTCCAAAATGAGTCTTATGGGACTAAAATCAAGGTGTCAGCAGGCTGGTTCCTCCTGGAGGTTCTAGGGGAGAATCAGTTTCCTATCTTTTTCCAGTTTCTAGAGGTTATCCTCATTCCTTGGCTTGTGGCCCCATGTCATGTCACTTCCCTGCTCCAAACACACCCACTTCTTGTGTCACATTGTCTTCTTCCTCTCCCGTCATCAAATCTCTATCTGACTCCCTCTTAAAAGGACACTTGTGATTACATTTAGGGTTCACCTGGATAATCCTGGATTAGGGCCTGAATATCTTTAGGGCCATTATTCAGCCTCCCACAGGGTGAGGGAAAAGAAAGGGTCACATGAATAAATAATAAAGGAGGAGATCCTCACTCATTCTTAATGAAAATATATAAGGAGGTATAATAACATCATTCCTTCTCAGAAAGGGCATGCCTCATTTCCATAAAACACGTAGACTGAGATAGTAAACCTGGATGGAGGTACTCAGACTTCACTTTGATTCTGGGCTCTGCCACTTAACCACATGAACAATGTTAGGTAAAATTTTTTTTTTTTTTGAGATGGAGTCTCGCTCTGTCACCCAGGCTGGAGTGCAGTGGTGTGACCTCGGCTCACTGCAACCTCTGCCTCCTGGGTTCAGGTGATTCTCCTGCCTCAGCCTCCCGAGTAGCTGGATGTGCCCAGCTAATTTTTTTGTATTTTTAGTAGAGATGGGGTTTCACCGTGTTAGCTAGGATGGTCTCGATCTCCTGACCTCCTGATCCGCCTGCCTTGGCCTCCCAAAGTGCTGGGATTACAGGTGTGAGCCACCGCCCCCAGCCAATGTTAGGTAAATTTTTAACCACTATGTCTCAATTTCCTTATCTTTTTTTTTTTTTTTTTTTGAGATGGAGTCTCGCTGTCTCGCTCTGTTGCCCGGGCTGGAGTGCAGTTGTGTGATCTCGGCTCACTGCAAACTCTGCCTCCCAGGTTCATGCCATTCTCCTGCCTCAGCCTCCCGAGTAGCTGGGACCACAGGCGCCCGCCACCGCGCCTGGCTAATTTTTTGTATTTTTAGTAGAGATGGGGTTTCACCGTGTTAGCCAGGATGGTCTCGATCTCCTGACCTTGTGCTCCGCCCACCTCGGCCTCCCAAAGTGCTGGGATTACAGGCGTGAGCCTCCGTGCCCGGCCCTCAATTTCCTTATCTTTAAAATAGATATAATAATACCTACTCAAGGCATGGATAAAAGGGCTCAATACTATAATTCATGTAAAGATTTAACCTAATTCCTGGCACATGGTAAATGCTCATTAAATGATAGCTATTATTATAGTTATTACTCACAGTGCAGGCTGTGCAGCCCCCATGATGCTGAATCAGTACACGGCATTTCCAGGGACCTCTCTGACCCTTTCTTCTATGTGCATTCTATATATGTTAATATGTAAAACCTACTTGAGTGTCAAAACTGTTTTTTTTTCCATCTTAAGACATTTTAATATTTGATAGAAGTATCTGTAAACTATATCACAAACTTACTTGACTTCCTAAAAAAGATGATAGTGAACATCAGTCACCTTTTGTTTATCAACTCTGTTTCAACATTGTGCATACTGCTCATTTTCTTGGACCATAGTAGATACCCTTAAAGAACAAAAAGACATGCCAGGTGCAGTGGCTCACGCCTGTAATCCTAGCACTTTGGGAGGCCAAGGCGGGCGGATCACCTGAGGTCGGGAGTTCGAGACCAGCCTGAGCAACGTGGAGAAACCCCGTCTCTACTAAAAACACACAAAAAATTAGCTGGGCATGGTGGCACATGCCTGTAATCCCAGCTACTCCGGAGGCTGAGGCAGGAGAATCGCTTGAACCTGGGAGGCAGAGGTTGTGGTGAGCTGAGATCCCACCATTGCACTCCAGCTTAGGCAACAAAAGCGAAACTCCGTTCAAACAAAAAAAGAACAAAAAGACGTATAAAGCCATTTATTTGTCCTCTACACAGTAAATTACTACCTATCTTACTTAAAATGTTGGTTTTTAAATATATATTTTCTCTTCACTGTTTGGATCTATAATAACTCCCTTTTCTGTTACCATTTATCACAACTGTCAGTGTGTGGCTAAGGCTAGCAACAGTTAAAACCCACGTCACTACTTTTTATCTGTCACTGCTGACCTGATCAATACTGTGATTTATGCATTTATAAGTCAGGAGGCTCCCTGTGAAATCTTAGGAGACTTCCTGCCTCACCTACAATGATGCATATAACCTCTGTAAATCCTGGCTCCTCAGCAACCATTTCTACTTACTTTCAAATTAGTAACTATGTTTTGAACATCTTAGAAGTTTGACTGCTATTTTGGTGAGATACTAAGGAGAGTTCTACCATGTCAGCCGCTAGCCTGAGGATCTGTCTAATGTTTAATGCAAATCAAAACACCAATAAATTAACAAGTTTAAGGTGTGACATTACCTTCAATCTAATGTTCTTATCTTACCAAAGTGGCTCAGTAAATTACTCTGTCCACCCGGGTGGGAGAGTTCTTATGTTTTTGTTTCCAATGAACATTAGACAATCTTTGAGGCTAATGATGGGCATTATGGACCCATATATAAATATATATATACACATATAAATGTATACATAAAGAGGAAATTATCTAGTGATTCAGCCACATTAATTATTGCTTCTAAATTTTTACTGTCAACATCAACTCTTTTACTTAATCGACCCCTTTGCCGATATAATACTTTTATGTTTGTTAGTTTACATCCCCCCAGAATTACTCCTTGCCCTCAGGGGAGGCGTGTGAACTACCAAGTCTTCCCCATCTTTGCTGCAGACTGGGGCCTGTCAGTCTTAGCTGTGGCACATTTTTAAATGGAAATGAGAAAAGGACACTCAGAAAGACAAGTTGATACATTATTCAGTTAAGCTTTGATGAGTTCTCAGATGATCAATACTTATATTTAAATGTACATATAAAACTCTTTAACAAAACCATATAATATCACTTTTAGGTTGTCATTCGAATTTTTCATATCACTCATATTTACAGACTATACATTTTATGTATGCCTATTAAATATTACTAAAATTTGGCCGGGCACAGTGGCTCACATCTGTAATCTCAGCACTTTGGGAGGCCGAGGCAGGTGGATCACTTGAGGTCAGGAGTTCGAGACCAGCCTGGACAATATGGTGAAACCCCATCTCTATTAAAAATACAAAAATTAGCCAGTGTTGTGGTGCATGCGTGTAGTCCCAGCTACTTGGGAGGCTGAGGCAGGAGAATCGCTTGAACCCAGGAGGTGGAGGTTGCAGTGAGCTGAGATCGTGCCATTGCACTCCAGCCTGGGCAAGAGAGAGACGCTGTCTCAAAATAAATAAATAAATAAATATTACTAAAATTTATTTTTACTAGTCCTGTTCTTAGTGCATTACATGCAGTGCAAAAATAATCCATTCATTTTGGTGTACAAAACAGATGTAATTAATGTAGTCATATGTGGTACTTCTTTTTCTGTGTTTTCCAGGAATCTAAGAAATCATGAGTTTATCTTGTCCTACCCACACCGGTTTCATAGTAGGGACCATGTATATTAATTGTATATGTATATTAAGTGTAGACTATTAATAGTAGAATAACAACTGCCATTTATGGAGCACTTATGTGCTAGGCACTGTACTGAGTACTTTTTAGATTGTTGCAGTTTTAAGATATGCCCACAAAATTCTATGATACTCCCCCACTTCAAGAGGTGGATCCTAATTCTTTTCCCCTTGAATATGAGCTAAACTTAGCAACACGCTTCTAATGGAGAAAATAAAACAAAAGCGACAGAATGTGATGTCAGAGGCCAAGTGATAAAGGCACTGTGGCTTCCTGCTTGCTCTCTTCTTCTAAGACCACTTGCTCTGGGGAAGCCAGTTCCTCATATCACGAGGATCATGTGCTAAAGATCTGAGGCCTCCCACATGACTGAGCTTAGAAGCAGGCCCTCCAGATCCATTCAAGCCTTTAGATGACTGCAGTCCCAATCAAAATCTTGATTTCAACCTTAGAAGAGACTCTGAGCCAGAACCACCCCAGTAAGCTGCTCTTGGATTCCCAGCCTTTAGAACCTGTGTGAAATAATAAATGTGTATTGTTTTAGGCCCCCAGGTTTTTTGGGGGAGATTTATAACACAGAAATAGATAACTAATTCACACACACACACACACACATACATTTGACATACACATATATATTTGAGTCTCGCCATGTTGCCAGGCTGGAGTGCAGTGGTGCGATCTCGGCTCACTGCAACCTCCGACTCCCTGGTTCAAGTGATTCTCCTGCCTCAGCCTCCTGAGTAGCTGGGATTACAGGCCCGCACCACCATGCCCAGCTAATTTTTGTATTTTTAGTAGAGATGGGGTTTCACCATATTGGTCAGGATGGCCTCGATCTCCTGACCTTGTGATCTGCCCACCCTGGGCCTCCCAAAGTGCTGGGATTACAGGTGTGATAATACACATATATTATCTTTTATGTTCTCACAACCACATGGAATATGTAGTATTATCTCCATGCAAATGAGGAACAAAAGGCTCAGGTGGTTAAGCAATTTACTCAAAGCCACACAGCTAGTAGTGATAGATCCATGACATTAAGGCCATATTCTTTGCTCTGTATTATACCATTTCTTTTTAGGTTCTGTTTTTTTCAGTCAGCTTATTAGCTATTGTTCCCAAATTTAATTAGCCTGCTATCAATGCTCTTATGCAAATAATGATTTTTTAAAAAAGCTTGGCTAAGTACATAGTCCAGATTTACACTCCTGGAGAATTTCAGCATGACAGGAACCCATTAATCAGCACACTTTAAGTATGACTATTCAACCAGCCTATATCATCCAGCCTATATTCCTTCTCCTTGTTCGCAAGGATGTCATGGAGATGTTGTCAAAGTCTTGTAGAAATCCAATTTAGCTAAACAAATATACTAAATATAGCTATACTAAATATAGCTATACTGTACAGATTTCTGTCAACTTACCAATGTAATAATCTCTTCAAAAAGGGAGTAAGTTTACATTGTCTACTCCCGTTCCTTCTCCGTCAGTATTATTGTCATTACCATCATTCACCCCCTTCACAGTTATCACTGCTTTTGATAAATAAGCACTTTATACACATTATTTAATTTAATCATCAGGACTACTCTATGAAGTAGTTTCTCTTATTTCAATTTTACCAATAAGGAAATCTAGCTTATAGCAATTAATAACTTGCCTAACATCATTTTACTAAGAAGTAAAAGAGCCAGGGTTGAAATCAAGTCTTCTTTACCCACTAAGCCTGGAATCTTTTCCTATTCCTTTTCCTTCGCCTCCTGTCCCTTCCCTTCCCCTTTATTATCTTCTCTTCCCTTCTTCCTTTCCCCCTTTACCCCCTACTTCCTCCCCTTTTCTGTCTCCATCTTCAATAAATTCTGGTAAGCTTATGGTGATCCCAACTTCCTTTTCTTAATTTATTCTTTTTAAAAAATTTTTTTTCCACAGAGTCTCACTCCATCACACAGGCTGGAGTGCAGTGGCGCAATCTTGGCTCTCTGTAACCGCTGCCTCCCGGGTTCAAGGGATTCTCCTGCCTCAGCCTCTCAAGTAGCTGGGATTACAGGTATGTACTACCACAGCCAGCTATTTTTTTTTTTTTTTTTTTTTTTGGATTTTTAGTAGAGATGGGGTTTCATCATGTTGGCCAGGCTGGTCTCAAACTCCTGACCTCAAGTGATCCGCCCGACTCCACCTCCCAAAGTGCTGGGATTTCAGGCGTGAGCCACTGTGCCAGGCCTCTTAACTTATTCTTGTTCATAAGTAGTTTAAGAATATTACCTAAGATGGATGTCAAGTCTGCTGAAGTGACCTCCTGAATATTAGTTCCTTGACTCTAATCTTCTGAAATTTCTATCCATCCCCGACCCCCATCCCCTAATTCCCCCTCCCCATGCACACTTTCTCAGAGACTGCCAGCAATGCTTCAGCCAGCTCATCCACTAGTCCTCAGTATCTTTTTTTTTTTTGAGACAGAGTTTCACTCGTCACCCAGACTAGAGTGCAATGGTGCGACCTTGGCTCTGCTTCCTGGGTTCAAGTGATTTTCCAGCCTTAGCCTCCCTAGTACCTGGGATTACAGGTGCCTGCCACCACACCCAGCTAATTTTTGTATTTTTAGTAGAGACGGGGTTTCGTCATGTTAGCCAGGCTGGTCTCGAACTCCTGACCTCAGGTGATCCACCCACCTCAGCCTCCCAAAGTGCTGAGATTTCATGCATGAGCCACTGCGCCCAGCCTAGTCCTCAGTATCTTGAAATATAAGATTAAGGAACTTGAAATCATTTAAAGCAGTTGCATGACCTATTTCAATCTCAACTACGTTTGACTGCATTCCCTGGAACCAGTGTTTATTTTATCTTTTCCAGTCCAAAGAGTATCCTCTTTGACAGAGAAGACTAAACCAAAATAGAGGTGAATGCTCTATTTTCTTTCTTTCATTCATTAATATGATACCACCCACCTAGGCCTCCTTGTTCTTTTTGCTCCCAATGTAACTTTTTAAAAAAGCCTTTTAATATTGTCTTTAGTATTGTGTCACAATTCCTAGTTTTGTCATTGTTTCTAGAGTAGGTATATCTATACAAAAGTGAGCTTGGGGTTCAAAAATAATATTTCGGGTCTTACTGTTTGTTTGTTTGTTTGAGATGGAGTCTCGCTCTGTTGCCAGGCTGGAGTGCAGTGGCGTGATCTTGGCTCACTGCAACCTCTGCCTCTCGGGTTCAAGCAATTCTTCTGCCTCAGCCTCCCGACTAGCTGGGATTACAGGTGTCCACCACCACGCCCAGCTAATTTTTTTTTGTATTTTTAGTAGAGATGGGGTTTCTCCATGTTGGTCAGGGGCATGTTGGTCAGGCTGGTCTCAAACTCCTGACCTCAGGTGATCTGCCCACCTTGGCCTCCCAAAGTGCTGGGATTACAGGCGTAATCCATCGCACCCGGCGATTCTTAATAATTTCAATCCAATTCTCATCAGGCTTTTTTTGTAGAAATGAACCAGTTTATTCTAAATTTTATATGGAAATGCAAAGGGCCTTGAATGAATAAAACAATCTTGAAAAAGAAAAAGTTGAAGGGCATACACTACCTTAGATCAATGGAACAGAATAGAGAATCCAGAGATAGATATGCACATATTAATACATGGTCAATTTATTTATTTATTTTTAACAAAGGAACCACAACAAGTAGGAGAAGGAAAGTCTTTTCAATAAATCATACTGTCTCAACTGGCTATCCATGAGGGGAGCGGGGAAAAACCTTGACCCTCAATCTTAAACTACCAACAAAAAATAATTCAGGATGAATTATAGGCCTAAACATAAAAGTTAAACCTCTATTGCTTTTAGAAGGAAATATAGGGTAACACTGTCACAGCCTTAGGGTAGGCAAAGATTTTTTAGACTGGACCCAGAAGGCATTAACCATAAAAGAAAAAAAATGCTAAAAAATTAAAACTTCTGCTCAATAAAAGACATCACTAAGGAAATAAATAAAGAGGCCACAGAGGGAGAAAATATTTGTAATGAACATATCTAACTTGTAACCAGAATGTGTAAAGAACTCCTACCACTGGATAATAAAAAGACAAACAACCCACTAAAAATTGGGCAAAATATTTGAAGAGACACTTCACAAAGGAAGATATACAAATGACCAACAAGCAGTAAAAAGTATTCAACATCATTAGTCATCAGGGAAATGCAAACTAAAACCACAATGAGATTTCATTTCACAACCACTAGAATGGCTAAAATGCAAAAGACTGACAATACCAAATGTTAACAAGCAATTGTAAAAACTGGAATTCTCATACATTGCTGGTGGGAATGTAAGATGGTACAACTGTTTTAGAAAGCAGTCAGTAATTCAACCCTTAGGTATTTACCCAAGATAAATGAAAACATACATCCATAAAAAGACCTGGAGACAAATGTTCCTAGAAGATTTATTCATAATGGGCAAAAACTGTACATAACCCAAGTGTACATTAACAAGCAAACAAAAAGCAAAGTGTGCTATATTCATACAACGGAATACTACATAGCAGTAAAAAGGAATGAAGTGCTGATACATTCCACAATGTGGATGAACATTTCTCCAGAAAAGATACACAAATGGCTAATATGCATGTAAAAAGATGTTCGACATCATTAGTCATCAGGAAAATACAAATCAAAAGGATAGTGAGATACCATTTCACACCTCTAGGCTGGCGATAATAAAAAAGACACGTAACATCAAATGCTGGCAAGAATGTGGAGAAATTGTAACCCTCATAAACTGTTACTGGGAATGTAACAGAGTGCAGGCATTTTGGAAAACAGTTTGGCTGTTCTTTCAAACACAGAATTACCATATGACCCAATATTCCACTCCTAGGTATATATCCAAGAGAACTGAAAACATGTTCACAAAAAAGTGTGTATACAAACATCCACAGCAGCATTATTCATGATAGCCAAAAAGTGGAAACAATCCAATGTCTATCAATGGATGAATGGATAGACAAAATGTGGTATAATCATACAATGGAATATTATTTGGCCACAAAAAGGAATAAAGTACTGATACATGTTACAACATGGATAAATCTTGAAAACTGTAAGTGATGCAGCCATAAAAAGGAATGAGATCATGTCCTTTGCAGGGACAAGGATGGAGCTGGAAGCCATTATCCTCAGCAAACTAACGCAGGAACAGAAAAACAAACACCGCATGTTCTCATTTATAAGTGGGAGCTGAACAATGAGAACACATGGACACAGGGAGGGGAACAACACATACTGGGGCCTGTTGGGGGGTGAGGTCGGGGGAGGGAGAACATTAGAAAAAATAGCTAATGCATACTGGGCTTAATACCTAAGTGATGGGTTGATCTGTGCAGCAAACCACTATGGCACACATTTACCTATGTAACAAACCTGCACATCCTGCACATGTACCCCAAGAACTTAAATAAAAACAAAGAAAAGAAAACATTGAGTGAAAGAAACCAAATACAGAAGCCCATATATTGTATGATTCTATCTATATATAATCTATATGAAATGTCCAGAATAGGCATATCCACAGAGACAGAAAGTAGGTTAGTGGTTGCCTAGGACTGGGAGTTTGTGGGTGGGGAAAAAGGGGAGTTACTGCTAATGTGTACGGGGTATTTTTCTTGGCAGAGGGGGCTTGATGAAAATATTCTAAAACTGATTTTGGTGATGGTTTTACAACTGAATATTCTAAAAACGACTGAATTGTACACTTTAAATAGGTGAATTGTATGGTATATAAATTATATCTCAATCTAGTTATTAAAAATAATTTTTAAAGAACCACTTATACAATCCTTTACTATAAACTCTGTTCATTTTCATCCTTCAATCTTCTACTGAGTTTTTGGTATTTTTATTATTGATTTTTAGGAACTCTGTATATAAGGAAATTAGCCCTTCATCTGTGATATAAGTTGCAAATACTTTCTGTTTGTTGTTAATCTTTTGTTATTGTTTACAGTATTTGTTGGCAAGCAAATATTTTTCCTCTTTCTGCAACAAAATATATCAATCTTTTCTTTTATGGCTTCCAGGTTTTTTTTTATCAGCTCTCTTAGAAACATCTTCCCTTCTGTGAGATTGTAAGAACATCTTTCTGTGGTTTCTTCATGTTTGTGTTTTTGTTTTTTGTATTTTTTTTTTTTTTTTTTGAGACAGGGTCTCACTCCGTCTCCCAGGCGGGAGTGCAGTGGTGTGATCATGGCTCACTGAAGCCTCCAACTCCTGGGCTCAAGTGATCCCCTCACCTCAGCCTTTCGAGTAGCTGAGACTATTGCTACGAATGGCAAAAGCCGCAATTACCTTTGCACCAACCTAATATAAGCGTGCGCCACCACACCCTGCTGTAAAAAAAAAAAAAAAAAAGGTTTTTTTGTAGAGACAGATTTCTTTACATTGCCCAGGCTAGTCTTGAACTCCTGGGTTCAAGCAATCCTCCCACCTCGGCCTCCCAAAGTGCTGGGATTACAGGTATGAGCCACTGTAGCTGGCCTATATTGAAATTTTTGATCCATCTAGAATTTGTTTGCATATAAGATGTGAGGAAAGAATCCAATATCATATTCTTAACATGGCTACCAGTTGTGCTCATTAATTTAAATGCTCTCCCCAATGTAGATTAATTTTATTTCTATATTTGAGTCAATTTCTAAGCTTCTGATTCTGGTCCATTGATTGCCTGTCTATTAATATGTCAATAACAAATGTGCTGGTGATGAAGAGTGTGGTGATGGAGAGAGTACATGTTCTGGAGCTAGCACCTGAGTTCAAATCTGAGCTCTGCCACTTATTGGCAGTGTGAGTTTGAGTAGGTTAATCTCAACGGGCTTTTATGAGAATTAAATGAATTGTTATATTTAAAGAGCTTAGAACAGTGCCTGGCACACAGTGTTTATTGTTAGCAATTATAGTGGAATTATTATAGCTTTATAACAGATTTTAATATCTATTATAGATATTAACGAGGCTGGTATCTCATTATTTCTTTTCTTTCTCGGGATATTTCTGGTTATTTTAGTCTACATATTTTTTCTGTATGAGCTTTACAATCATTTCTCTCAAAAAAATAAGCAAATAAGCAAAAAGTCCTATTGGTTTTTTTTAGGGAGATCATGTTAACTTATAGATTAAATTAAGGAGCACTGACAGGTTTATGATTTTAAATCTTCCTAAGAACATACCATGCCTTTCCATATGTCCAAGTCTTTTTTTTGTTTCCAGTAGTGTTTTAAAGCTCTCTTCATATTCTTGTTACATTTCTTCCTAGGTATGTAATCTTTTTTTTTTTTTTTTGAGATGGGGTCTTGCTCTATTGCCCAGGCTGGAGTGCAGTGGTCTGATCTTGGCTCACTGCATCCTTAAACTCCCAGGCTCAAGTGATCCTCCCATCTCAGCCTTCCCAGTAGCTAGCACTACAGGCACACACCACTATGCCTGGCCAATTTTTGTATTTTTTGTAGAGACAGAGTTTCACCATGTTTCCCAGGCTGGTCTCGAACTCCTAGGCTCAAGCAATCTGCCTGCCTCGGCCTCCCAACGTGCTAGGATTGCAGGTGTGAGCCACTGCACCTGGCCCTTATTATTTTTTAAAATAAATTATTGATTTTAGTATATTTTGTCCATCTACCTTGCTGAAGCATAATGTTTATAATAGATTTCAATTTGATTACCTTGGGCTTTCCAGCTAAGTAATCATATCACCTGCAATCATGTAATTTTTCCTTCTCTTTTAAAATTTTTATGCCTCTTATTTCTTTTTCCTGCCTAATACAGTAGCATTGACTGGTTATTTTCAGAAAAATGGAAATAATGTTAGCAAAGAGTAAATAGTGAAATTATTATTTTTTGAGACGGAGTTTCACTCTGTCACCCAGGCTGGAGTGCAGTGGCACGATCTTGGCTCACTGCAACCTCCATCTCCCGGGTTCAAGCAATTCTCCTACCTCAGCCTCCTGAGCAGCTGGGACTATAGGCGCGTGCCACCACCCCTGGCTAATTTTTTGTATTTTTAGTAGAGACAGGGTTTCACCATGTTAGCCAGGATGGTCTCGATCTCCTGACCTCATGATCCGCCTGCCTCGGCCTCCCCAAGTGTTGGGATTACAGGCGTGAGCCACCGCGCCCGGCCCTGAAATTATTTTTATAATTATATATATCTTGGACTCCTATCTCATATTTCTTCCTTTTTTTTGTTTGTTTGTTTTTGAGATGGAGTTTTACTCATGTTTCCCAGGCTGCAGTACAATGGCATGACCTTGGCTCACTGCAACCTTTGCCTCCGGGTTCACGTGATTCTCCTGCCTCACCCTCCCAAGTAGCTGGGATTACAGGTGTGTGCAACCATGCCCGGCTAAATTTTTTTGTATTTTTAATAGAGACGGGGTATCACCGTGTTGGTCAGGCTGGTCTCGAACTCCTGACCTCAAGTGATCCACTCGCCTCCGCCTCCCAAAGTGCTGGGATTACAGGCGTGAGCCACCGCGCCCGGCCGTATTTCTTCCTTCTGAAAGATGAACATATAAAAAGAATTTCAGATATATATGAAAATATATGAGATATATAAGAAATATATATGAGAAAAGTCTTTTATGTTAAAAAACAGTTTAGACAAATGTATATTCAGCATAATCTCTACTATGCAAAGACAACAATGCATAAAAATACTAGAAATAATTAGCAAGTATTTTAATGGTGAGTGGATTTATGAGTGATTATTTTTCTACTTCATTACACTTTCCTGTACTACTACATTTCTACAATGAGCAAGTTTTTCTTTGATCAGAAAAACATAAACAAACAGGAAAAAAAGAATTAATCAAGTATGCAGCTTTTGGCTGAACTTGACTTTGAGCTTATGTGCTGATGCTTGAAATCCCTATCACCAAGCTCTCTTGACTCAGGCCAGTTTTGCGATCTGCATCAGAAATGCTTTATCTATTTCTTCCATCTGGCTAGGTAGTCTATATTCTAATCCCACAATGATGTCACTTCTCTTCTGCTCTTCTTTTATCTGAATCCAGGTGTTCTCCAACACGCTCTCACCCTCAGATTTGTGTCCAGATGTCCATGCAGCTACAGATCTTTTTGATATCAAACTGTTTTGTGTCATTTAAGTCTCTCAAGTATATTTCTTTTTCGTTGCTCATGATCCCCCACAAGACCTCCGAATGACCTAGATTGAAGTGTCCCACAAGAAAACCTTCTCTCTGGTATTCTTGAGCACTGACTCTCCTTGAGCAAGCATTTTCTAAAGTTTTTGAACCCTGGAATGTCTCTT
This sequence comes from Homo sapiens, assembly GCF_000001405.40. Classification (NCBI taxonomy): domain Eukaryota; kingdom Metazoa; phylum Chordata; class Mammalia; order Primates; family Hominidae; genus Homo; species Homo sapiens. Next base: position 47,079,024 of record NC_000011.10, on the reverse strand, counting down.
AAGACACTCCAAGGAAACGCCATCCTAGCCAAGATGATGATTAATACAACTTTTGGAGATAGAACGTTCTTGAGGGAAGTCCAGAAACCATATTGATTGGCTTTATTACAAATTTCTGCTATCTAACCTCAACTGGACACTCGTGGCTACTGGATAATCATTTTAGTCATCTCCTTTTAACTTGGCATCACATGCCTTCAGATATTTTCCATTCTCAAATTTCCAAGCTAATCCTATGCCCCAAATCCAAACTCTCAGCAGAGAACCTCTTATTTTCTTGAGAAGACTGAAGCCACCTTTTTAAGTCCCTCAATTTCCTTCCTTTATACCTTAATATTTCTCTGCATTTTCACTTATCTGCACCTCTTCCTTCCTTCTTTCAGAGAAAGAAATCTTTCCCTTCTCTTCCTACAATTAATCTTTCCATCTATGCTCTTGAGTCCATGTTATCTCAGTTTCTGGGACCTTGCTCCACCAACTATCCCCTTTACGCTTGCATCGTTGACCTTACCTTCTCCATTAACTCCTTGCTGTCTATGCACACATGTCTAAGTGGTGTCTTAATCTAAAAAATCTTTCATAGACTCAACTCACTAACACCGCTTTCTCCTCCCTTTGTTTTCAAAGCCAGATTTCTCAGAGGAGTATGCTATGCTCATTACCTCCTCTTTCTTACTACCCATTCATTCACTCAGTAACTCCTTCAACGTTGCTTCCGTCACTCAACTAAAATGGTTCTCTTGGAAGTTATAACTCATTTCACCCCAACCAAACTACTGTAGTAATTCTTCTAACCTGTCATACTTAACAAAACTCACTGAGTCCTCTGTTTTTTGCTTTGCTTCTTTAAATAATATGTTTATACTGCTATTTCTTGATTTTTAAATGTTAGACATCTTTTAACTTTCAGTTGAAGATGACAAATTATCTTTTTCACCACACACATATACTTCCCATCTGTCCATCTTTTCATGATACTAATTTTGGCTTACCAATATTCAGTATTTACTCATTTATGACTATGTAAATATTATGCACAGCAAAAACACAAGGTATATTATTATATTTTCTTTCTTATACAACCTTTTGTTTTTCTTAGAATGATTATTTCTTTCTCGGTTTGTGGGGGTTTTTAAGTATTAATCAGTGCTTCTTCAACTGAAGTATTAAACCCTAATTCTCCAACTGAAGGTTGGACAATTTTTTTACACAACAGATAATCAATTCTATTATTTAATTTTCCTGCAGAAATTCCTCCTAGAGCCTTCTGTCCTGCTACTTCAATCTGAATTGCTTTCTAGCTGTCTTGCACAAACTGTTGTCCTGCAACTACCTTCCATTATCATTCTAAGAATTCTCTTTCTTTCTCTCCTGTGTTGCACCCCTTGATGCTAGATCTCATAATTTCATCTTCCTAAACTTATTCTCACTTTTTGATAAAACATACTCTTCAGTAGTTTCATGAGAAAGGCTGCATAAAAGTTAAAGTTTATGAAACCCTGCCCATCTAAAAATCTTTATCCTCGGCTGGGTGTAGTGGCTCACACCTGTAATCCTAGCACTTTGGGAGGCCGAGGTGGGCAGATCACCTGAGGTCAGGAGTTCGAGACCAGCCCGACCAACAAGGTGAAACCCGTCTCTACTAAAAATACAAAAAATTAGCTGGGTGTGGTGGCGGGTGCCTCTAATCTCAGCTGCTTGGGAGGCTGAGGCAGGAGAATCGCTTGAACCCAGGAGGCGGAGGTTGCAGTGAGCCGAGTTTGGGCCACTGAACTCCAGCCTGGGCGACAAGAGCAAGACTCTGTCTAAAAAGAAAAAAAAAAAAAAACAACTTTATCCTCACAGTTGATTGATAGTTCGGTTTGGTACAGAATTCTAGGTTGAAAATAATTTTCTCTTAGAATTCTAAAAGCATTGCACTTTTTTTTTTTTTAAGCTTCTCATGTTGCTGTTGAGAAGCCTGATGGCATTCTAGTTCTTCCAATTTCTCTTTCTAGAACTTCAAATTTTTAGGTCTTATACTCCTGGACTGGGCCTTCAGTTTTCTTTTTTTTTTTTTTTCCTCCTGTTTTCTACTTCTTTGCCTTTGCTGGGTAATTTCTTGATCTTTCAACCCATCTACTGAATTTTTCTTTCAGCTATTACAATGTTTACTTTCTAAGAACTCTTTCTTGTTCCTTTTTTTTTTTTGGAGACAGAGTCTTGCTCCATCACCCAGGCTGCAGTGCAGTGGCACCATCTTGGCTCACTGCAACATCTGCCTACTGGGTTCAAGCAATTCTTGTGCCTCAGTCTCCCGAGTAGCTGGGATTACAGGCACCATGGCCAGCTGATTTTTATATTTTTAGTAGAGACGGGGTTTTGCCATGTTAGCCAGGCTGGTCTTGAACTCCTGACCTCAGGTGATCTGCCCTCCTCGGCCTCCCAAAGTGCTGGGATTATAGGTGTGAGCCACCATGCCTGGCCTCTATTTTGTTTTGTTTTGGCTTCTGGCTATCATATTAGAGACTTCCCCCAAATTTCTGGTGATCCTTGAATACCTGAATATGTTCATTCCTATTTGGTGCGAGGTACTAAAAAACTGGTTATCTGAATGAATTGGAGCTTGTTTATATTGAGCTTCACTGTAGAATGAATGGGCGGAAACCTGGTCATTTCATTGTGCAACTCCTAAATGTCAGATTTGTAGGGACTTCCTCTGAGGCTATTTCAGTTTCTCCAGAAAATATTCCAGAATCCCACCTGGGGTATATTCATTTGGAAGCCAGCATTCTGACAGCTAAGCAAGGGAAGGGAGCTGGAAAATAAATGTCAACATTTAGCAGATAGACATTGACAATCTTTTTTCACTAGGGCATCTCACCTACGCTCTGTGTCTGGTGCTCCTGAGTCAAGAGCTCCTCTAGTTTAATATCTCCAGTCTTCTATGGAATGAAGGGTAGTGACCTTGATGCTTGAAGTTGGGGGAGGGATCTGGGGATCTAATTGCTCCTCATAATGATTTTCAATATATCCTCTTATTTTCAGCTCCCCTCTCACTCCCAGTTTCAGAGTACTTGACACCTCCAATTCTTTTTTTTTTTTTTTTTTTTTTTTTTGAGAATGAATCTCGCTCTGTCACCCAGGCCTGGAGTACAGTGGCGCAATATCAGCTCACAGCAACCCAGCAACCTCCACCTCTCAGGTTCAAGAGATTCACCTGCCTCAGCCTCCTGAGTAGCTGGGATTACAGGCACCTGCCATCATGCTGAGCTAATTTTTGTATTTTTGTAGAGACGGGGCTTAACCACCCTGGCCAGGCTGGTCGCAAGCTCCTGACCTCAGGTGATCTGTCTGCCTCTGCCTCCCAAAGTGCTGGAATTACAGGCGTGAGGCCACCACGCCTGGCCGACACCTCCAATTCTTGAACCCACCTCCAATTCTTGAACCCTTTTAGGCCTCTATGGCACAAACATACCTTTTTCCTTTTGCAAGTAGTTATACATCAGTTTTCTTTACCAAATCAGTTTTTACTTATGCTTCTGCTGTCCACCGTCTAAAATTTGGTGGATATCTATTATTTCCTGTCATGTCTTCCTTTGTTTTGTTCTTGTGCCTTTACATCTTTTCTCCCTCTTTATTATACTTTTATTTTATTTTATTTATTTATTTTTTGAGGCAAGGTCTTGCACTGTTGCCCAAGCTGAAGTGCAGTGCTGCGATCTCGGCTCACTGCAGCCTCTGTCTCCTGGGTTCAACCGATTCTCCTGCCTCAAGTCCCAAGTAGCTGGGACTACAGACATCTGCCATCACACCTGGCTAATTTTTGTAGTTTTAGTAGATATGGGGTTTCACCATGTTGGCCAAGCTGGTCTCGAACTCCTGACCTCAAGTGATCTTCCTGCCTTGGCCTCCCCAAAGTCCTGGGATTACAGGCATAAGCCACCACACCTGACGTATTACAATTTTAGTGTGCTCTACAGAGACAGCAAATAAACACATGTATTTGGCCTGACACTTTCTAGAGGGTCTATAACTATTTACATGTCCATTTTCTTTCAGACGAGACTGTGAACTCTTTAAAAATAGAACTATATTCTCCTTATTCTTTTAGTACCAGCACCTAGAATAATACCTGGCACAGAGGACACACTAAAAAAATACTGTTGAATAAACGAATCGATGAATGAGGGAGCTCCCTGTATATCTTTCATCTGGCATAGAGCTTTGAACATTGAAAGCACTTAATAATACACAAATTCAATAAGGAAAACTTTATGGCTGACATTTTGTACTTAAAATTTCAAATATATGGTTCTCAGGAAGACTTGTATACATTGTAATTATCACTTACATGGCTACAGCATTTAGGGTATACACTACAAACAGAATATAGTCCTGTTAACTAAGTAACTGCTAAAAGTGAATTCTGATTCCATTGTTTGAAAAGTCTCCATCTTAATGTCTTTTTTAAAAGAAAATTTCCCCCCTTCCCCAACCTTAGTTTTGATTTTTTTTTTTCTGTTTTTTTTTTTTTTTTTTTTCTGAGACAGGATCTTGCTCTGTTGCCCAGGCTGAAATGCAGTGGCATGATCACAGCTCACTGCAGCCTCAACCTCCTGAGCTCAAGGAATCTTCCCACCTCAGCCTCCCAAGTAGCTGGGCCAGAGGCGTGAGCCACTATGCCTGGTGAGTTTTTCTTATTTTTGTAGAGATGTTGGTCTCATTGTGTTGCCCAGGCTGGTCTCAAATTCTTGGGCTCAAGCAATCCTCCCATGTTTGCCTCCCAAAGTGCTAGGACTATAGGCATGAGCCATGGCAACTGGTGCTTTTTGATTTGTTGTTGTTGTTGTTGAGACTGTTGCCCAGGCTGGAGTGCAGTGGCGCAATCTCAGCTCACTGCAACCACTGCCTCCCGAGTTCAAGAGATTCTCCCGCCTGAGCCTCCCAAGTAGCTGGGATTACAGGTGTGCACCACCACGTTCGGCTAATTTGATTTTTTTAATAGAAGAAGAAAGGTGTAGGAACATATTAACCACAAATTAAAAGACTATATGAAAAGCCACTGTTTGACTTGAGAACAAGCTTGTGCACAGAGATGACAGTGTTACACAGCATATGTACTGAAATCTTCTACCCTCAATACACTAAAATAATGAATTTTTCATAGTAGTCATAGTTTTTACATCACTTTAGAGTCAATATTCAGAATAATTACAAAATATTTTTCTAGGACCTGCTCAAGTATACAAAAATATAGTTTGTAATATATCAAAGATATCTTATGAAATAAACTTAGCAATAAAGCAAACTTCTCCATCACAAATCATATTTACTTTTTATTCTAGACAAGCTGGTTTCCTCCTTTCTTTTCAAAAAGCATTATTATTATCACTTTAGCGCTCATGCTGCCTAAAATGCCTTCTTCTCTCCCTCCTATTCAATTTTTGTCCATCTTTCAAGGTCCAATCTAAGCTTCCTTTTCTTTCTTTCTAAGTTTTAAAATATTTCTCAAAAAAATACAGGGTCTCACTATGTTGCTCAAGTTGGTTTTGAACTCCTGGGCTCAAGCAACCCTCCTACCCTGGCCCCCCAAAGTGCTCGGATTACAGGCATGAGTCACTGCACCCAGCCTAATCTTCATTTTCGATGAAAGCTTCCTTCCATTGAGAGCTTCCTCTCCTCTTCCTGATGCTCCGTAGCACCTTTTTGAACCATACATCCCGACACCGGATTACATTCTATAGGATCCCACTCCCTAGTTGTCTTCCCAGCTAGATTGTAAGCATCTTGGTAGCCAGGCCACAGCCTTCTTTCCTATATCTCATAATTTCTAGTACCACTTTGGACACATAGCAGATGCTCAAGCAAAATTTTCCTATATGAAAGCTATAAAAATAGCTTTATTTTTACTATGATTATAAAAATGTTATATGCTCATTATAAAAACTCAGACAATATAAAAATGTGTGAAGAAAAAAGTAGTCTCAACACTAAGAGAAAATCATTCACAACATTTCAGTAAACCTCCTTCCAAATATTTTTGTATGCATGTAAACATATAAAGACATAAAGATACATAATTTTATATAAATAGTACTCTACCATCATGCTGTTCTCACAATAAATATAAATGTTCAGTGTCTGCCTAGAATATTATCACATATTTGCTCATCATTGCTTTCTGAATTTAATTTTACTTTAAAAGTAGAAACATACTTTCAAGAAATTATTGGACAATTAGCATAATACATAAGGCTCTGATCACTGAAATTATATATTTTTCAGACTATGAATTATTTTGTCATCACATCTATTGTAATTATAAGTTCATTTTTTATCCATATATGTGTGTGTGTATATATATATATTTTCTAATTAAAAGAGCTGGAATACATCTATATATTTTAAAAGATATTGGTCATCTGGTAAACACTTTTGTGGACTACTCATTAATCCTTATATGTTTTGTTATACATCTTTCCTGAGGTTTCAATTAGCTAATATATCCTCACATTCCTTCTTCAAGTGACAAAGCTGATGATAATTACTTTCCTATATCGGTTTCATCTCAATTGGATGGCCTCTTGTTTAAACGATAGTGGTGATGGTAAAGCCTACGTTATATAATTTGTCCATGTAAAATCCATCAAATTGAGTTTTTGAGAAATGGTAATTTACAGCTTTAAAGGTTCTGTTTGGTCCTGTGCATCTAGAAAAACAGCTTGCAACCTACTAAGTTCCTTCTGGTCATGCCAGATGAGAATTTCCAGACCGTTTTTCAAATCAGGGCAAGGGGAAAAGAACAGAACAGGGAATCCTTGGCTGCCACAGCCAGCTTCAAATAATTCAGTGTGCTGGGAACAGCAGCCAACTGGGTGCGACTGACTGCACCCTTGCACCAAAGCCAGAGAACAAAGATGAAGGGTGAGGAAATTAAGGAGATTCTTGAAGTGACTTCCCAGGAGGAATCTCAGACCAGCCACACCCAGTCCCTTCATCTTAGTAAATAACTCAGCAAAACTGCAAATGGGCTTAGTGGAGTCCGTGAAGGAACCTCTCCCACAGAGTGGGGGATTTCTTCCTCACTGCTGCTACATGCAACTTCCCAAACCCAAGCTTGCCTGCAGGGGAAGTGTGTGCTCTCCCCAAGTCACAGCATGTTTATTATATGATGCACAAACAAACAGCAAATAGTCCTTGGAGGGTTTTCTCTATTTCCTGGCAGCAGAAAGAGAGCAGCTGTCTTACAGTTTAACTGGGGTTTTGGCCTTTTTAATACAGTTTTTAAAGTTTGTAGTGGAAATCCTATTTTCTATCTTTATCTGATGGTTAAATTGAAATTTGAAGTGCTCCTTCCAAGACAGGCTGAACTGATTGGTAGTGGACTATATAAGTAAGCACGACCCAGCAGGCATTCATTATTTTATTCACCCAGTATTTATCAAGCACCTACAATAAGCAAGGTTCAGAATGGGGATCCAAAGATAAAATATGCAGTCTTTGCCCTCAAGGGAGCTAACAATGATCATTATCACAATGATAAAAGCAACAGACTTTGACAGAGCAGTTATTACATACCGGGATTACTGAAGGCTCCAGTCGGTTATCAAATCTAGTTTTCACAACACTGAAGTAGTATATTCTCCATTTTATAGATGAGAAAACTAAGGCTTGGAAAAATTAACCTGACCATGGTCACACAGCCATATCCAATAAAAAAGGCACCTGAACCTAGGGCCATTTGACTCTAAAGTCTTTCTCTTTAGTGCCTCACACAGAAGTAAACAGATAGTTGATATTACAAATTTACAATCTAGATGGGGAAAAAGGAAAGATAAAAATCCACTTATTCTTAATTCCACATGGCATTTTATGAAAGAGACTATGTATCTGCCAATAACTAAATATAAGGTATGATAGGACAAATGCCCTAAGAGGTCGCTTTTGAATGGAGGCAGGGGAGGGCAAGGACAGGAGGAAATGGGAATCTACTTGAGCTGGGTCTATTTGAGGATGGGCAGGACTGTGACAGACAGACATGGGGGAAAGTTCTACATGGTGGGAAAGCAAAAACAGAGGTGTGAAAGGGGGAAAGCACAAGGAGTGTTTGGGGAAAGTGTTTCTGTGTGGCCAGAGTATAGTCTATAAGTAGGAGAGTAGTGGTTGGAAAGCTGGTGTTGGGTCATGAGTAGCCTTATGATAGTCATAAATTCATATTTCATTAGTAGGCAATACAGAACCATTGAGGTTCTCAGCAGCAGTGACAAGACCAGGGCTGTGCTTCAGAGAATTACATTTCCAACTGTCTTGCAGGAGTTCTCAAGCTTCAGTGTGTATGAGAACCACCTGCAGAGCATTTAAAATGCCTGGGTCCCAACCAAAAAGATTCTGATTAAAGTGGTCTGGGGAGGGACCTAGGCAACAGTATTTTTTAAAAGCACCCTAGCTGATCCTAATATGCAAGCAGGGTTGAAACCGCTTAATGTTTCCCAAACTTGAGTGATCCTAAGAATCACCTGAAATGCTTGTTAAAATTAATTCCCAGGCCCCTTGCCTGCTGGCTGTGGTCGAGTACGTTTGAGGTGGGATCAAGGAATCTGTCTTTTTGACAACCTCCCCAAGGTGTCTAATTAGGTTTCTAAATTAGGGTCAGGCGGTATCAGTGGGAATCAAGAGCAGGTTATGCCAAGCAAAATAAAACTGGAAAATATTAAATTTTCAACATTATTTATATTTGCTTTTACATACTTCCAGCTCTCTCTCTCTCTCTCTCTCCCCCTCTCTCCATCCATCCACCCACCCTGTTTGAGATGGTGTCTCACTCTGTTGCCCAGGCTGCAGATCAGTGGGTATTTACAGGCACATTCATAGTGCACTTATGTTCTCCAACTCCTGGGCTCCTGGGCTCAAGTGAGATTACCGGCATGTGCACTGTGCCTGGCTTGGTAGATCTACTTTAGAGAATGCGTTTAATAACGTTGTGTGTTACAGTCTCACTTCAGCCTAACTTTAAAATTAAAAAGCAACAACGGCCGGGTGCGGTGGCTCATGCCTGTAATCCCAGCACTTTGGGAGGCCAAGGCGGGTGGATCATGAGGTCAGGAGTTCAAGACCAGCCTGGCCAACATGGTGAAACCCCCGTCTCTACTAAAAACACAAAAATTAGCTGGGCATGGTGGCACATGCCGGTAATCCCAGCTATTTGGGAGGCTGAGGCAGGAGAATTGCTGGAACCAGGACCCAGGAGGAGGAGGTAGCAGTGAGTGAGATCGTGCCACTGCACTCCAACCTGGGCTACAGAGTGAGACTCTGTCTCAAAAAAAAAATAATAATAATAAAATAAACAGCAACAACAACAACAATAAAACTCTTGTATTTTCAAAGAACTTCCAAAATCTGCTTATTATGTCCTTCAAAGCATGAAATATCCAATAAACAAGTATTATACGTCCCTCTCTAATAAGAATTATTATTTTTAAATTTTAAACCAGGTGGAGTAACTATTTTTTCTCTTGAAGATAGGTAAAATGGAACTTAAAATTAAAGAACTTGTAGCTACTTTACCTTCATCTGTAAAACAATGAAAGAAGAAATAAAATCACATGGGCAATGCATTCTTATGCCTTAACTACTACAATTACGTTTTGGGCTACAAAATCATACATTCATCTCAGAGACTAAATGACACAAAATGTATATGTTCATTTAGCAGCAGAGCATGATAATGGCTAGAACATTTGACTGACAACCAGAAGACCTGAATTTAGTCTTGGTTTTACAGGTCCTACCAAGTGACTAGGAGACCTTGGCTTTGATTTTTATATTTACACAATGGGGAAGGGTTGAAGTAGATCAGTAGTTTTCAAACCATGTTCCACAGAAGCTTAGAAATTTGCAGAGGCACTTAGAAGTTTCTATAAAAGTTTAATTTCAATTCTTATTAAAAACATACTTTTATTTAAAGTCTATAAGAAAAACAAAATGTACACTAAATATGTTACACAGTAAATTTTAATATACACACACTATCAACCTGTGCTCATAGGTTAACTCATTTGTGGAATTTCTCCTACTCCACAAATATATATATATATTTGCAACTGTAAATGTGCCACTGATTAGGAAATTATTATCTGCTCTGGTCTTTTTATTTTCTTTTTAATCCAGGACTATATTGGCATGAAAGCTGAGATTACATAAAATCTTTATACTGGATGAGAAGACAGATGTTGTCAAGCTCTCCTTTTACTTATATGATCTGGTATAGAAGCAAATGCAAAGTAAATTTATTATTTTATAAAATGCTTGATAATTATAAAATGGAAGTCTTTAAGTGTTAAGATACTAACAAAGTAGTATAAGGTAGTCATATTTGTACGGTGACTGGAAAGGCAATGGCAGAAAAAAATTCAAGGAGTAGAGGATCACATAAAAGAGAAGGCAGCCAAAAATATTGTGTAGATAAGCACTAGCAGTTAAAATTATACAAGAAGTTTTCTTTTCTTTTTTTTGAGATGGAGTCTTGCTCTGTCACCCATATTGGAGTGCAGTGGCATGATCTTGGCTCACTGCAACCTCTGCCTCCTAGGTTCAAACAATTCTCCCACCTCAGCCTCCTGAGTAGCTGCAATTACAGGCGCGCGCCACCGTGCTTCACTAATTTTTGTGTTTTTAATAGAGACAGGGTTTCACCATGTTGGCCAGGTTGGTCTTGAACTCCTGGCCTCAAATGATCTGCCCACCTCAGCCTCTCAAAGTACTGGGATTACAGGCATAAGCCACTGTGCCTGGCCAAAATTACACATGCAGTTTTCAAAATTAACATTTACATTTTAAAAAATATTACATTGGATAACATACAGATTGATACAGGCTGTCAGTTTTATTAGGACAAAGTCTTTAAGCTGCAGATCTTTCTGAGTTATTTGCAGGGATATAAGCAGTTGTATCAAAATTTATTCTTTTATACTAAAGTTTCCTGATTGACATAAGGCAGGTATGAGGACTACAGTTAAAAAAAAAAAGTAATTACCATTATTTCTACCTTAAACTAAAATCCATTGAATATAAGTTTATCAATGTGGAAATAAATTAGATGGCTCAATTTGATAACGCAGGGTCACAACACGGCCATACTCACAACTTCAGATAAAATGTTAATGATAAATCAAAACAGGTTTTGGAGTCAACATGCAAAATAAAATGAATCTTTCTGTGCTGAAACTGTGAGTTAAAAAGAAGACCTCTGTGTTAGTCTGTCCGGGCTGCCGTAACAAATACCATAGACTGAGTGACTTAAACAGCAGAAATTAATTTTCTCACAGTTCTGGGGACTGGAAGTCTGAGATCAAGGTGCCAGCAGAGTTGGTGTCTGGTAAAGGCTCTCTCCTTGGTTTGCAGACAGCTGCCTTCTCACTGTGTCCTCACGTGGAGGGGCATGGGCAGCTCTCTGGTATCTCCTCTTACAGGGACACCAGTTCCGGTGTCTCTTCTTGCAAGGATACTAATCCTTCCTATCTGATGAAGCCCTACCCTTATCACCTCTCTTAACCTTAATTTCCTCCTTACAGGAGGAATTTCTTCAAATATAGTCACATTGGAGGTATGGCTTCAACATGGGAATTTGGGGGGGGCAGACACAGTTCAGTCATACTAGCCTTTGAGTCATCTGATCTTTTCAAAAAATAATACCATTGAACAACTTATATATGATGTTATAATATACATTTATTTTTCTCCAAACAATAAAATTTTTAAACTAGCTGAGAAAATTTGTTGATTTCTCCAGAGTGATTACTCATTAATTAGGAATGTGAGCAACTCAGCTTTGAAACACAAATTTACTATTACTCCCTTTCTGAACATTAGTAAAGCTAAAAAAAGATCAGTCAAAATGTTAAAAACAAATCTATTAGTATTTGAAGCTACTTATCTGTATGAATCTCAATTTTTTGGCACACTTTTACCTTAAAACCAAATAAAAGTCCTCAACCTCATCAATAGGTTCTTGGAAACTGACTTTAAGTGAAACAAGGTATAATAAAACCAATTTCATCATAGGCTAATCGACATAAACAAGAGTTAAGTTCCTATGGCATGTTTCTGGTCACAAATAATCACCCAACTTCTAAATAAAGACCCTACACACCTCTAATATTAAACATTGAAATAAATGTGGGCTATACATACATTTAAGAAAGGTTAATAACAACAAGTAAGATTACCCAATTTTTGGTGAATCGCTGAATGACGACAGTTGTAGTGGTGGTGGATTAAATAAGGGAATAGATATTTGCAAATAGAAAAATTTAAGGAGCACCTCCTCCGACCATGAATTAAAAAACAATCACAAATATGGTGGGCTAGCTGAACGCTTTCATACCTCATCGCTTATTGTTGTGCAGTTGTATGATTATCATCTACTTTATAAATTTGTATTTGATAATAATTTGTATTCAATAATAATTTGTATTCATTCATTTTCCAACCTGCTTATTCTAGCTTAGGGTTGCAGGTGGCCAGAGCCTATCCTGGAAGCCTGGGACACAAGGTGGATAGCCCTGTACAGGACATCTCATTCCATCTCGGGGAGCACACACACACACCAACATTCACTCACACTGGGACCATTTAGTCACACCAATGAACCCAACACATACATCTGTGGTAGAAAACTGGAGTACCCAGAGAAAATCCATGCAGACATGGGGAGAATGTGCAAATTTCACACAGTGGCCCCAGCTGGGAATCAATTTTTTTTTTCCTCATCAATGTTATAATGCAATTATGTTATTTGAGGACCTGCTGTACTGAAAAACTTTTCCCCTAAGATCAGGAAAAAGACAAAGATGCCTGCTTTCACTACTTCTATTCATCATAGTACAGGAAGTTCTAGCCAGAGCAATTAAGGAAAAAACAAACAAACAAAAAAAAAAAAAAAAAAAAAAAACCCACAAGGCATCCAAATTAGAAAGAAAGAAATAAAATAACCTCTGTTCACAGATGATATGATCTTATATGCAGAAAGCCCTAAAGATTTTACACACACACACACACACACACACAACTGTTAGACCTAATAAATGAATTCAGCAAAGATGCAGCATACAAAATCAAGATACAAAAATCAATTACATGCTGGGGTGGTGGCATGTCCCTGTAATCTCAGCTATTTGGGAGGCTGAAGCAGGTGAATTGCTCGAACCCGGGTGGCGGAGGTTGCAGTGAACCGAGATCACGCCACTACACTCTAGCCTGGGCGACAGAGTGAGACTTTGTCTCAAAAAAATAATAATAATAATAATCAATTATATTTTTATAAATTAACAATGAAAAATATGAAAAGGAAACTAAGAAAAACAATTCCATTTACAATAGCATGAAAAGAATAAAATACTTAGGAATAAATTTAACCAAGGAGGTGACAGACTTGTATACTTGAAAACTACAAAACATCGCTGAAAGAGGCTGGGCGTGGTAGCTCATGCCTGCAACCCCTCTGCTTTGGAAGGCAGAGGCAGGAAGATTGCTTGAGGCCAGGAGTTTGAGACCAGTCTGGGCAACAGAGTGAGACCTCATCTCTAAAAGAAATAAAAAATTAGCTGGGCTTGATGGCAGAGGTGGGAGGATTGCTTGAGCCCAGGAGTTCAAGGCTACAATTAGCTATGATTGTGCCACTGCACTCCAGCCAGGGCAACAGAGCAAGACACTTTCTCTTAAAAAAAAAATTGCTGAAAGAAACTGAAGATGACCTAAATAAATGGAAACACATCCTATGTTCATAGATTAAATGACTTAATATTGTCAAGGTGATACTACCACCGAAAGTGATCTATAGATTCACTGCAATCCTATCAAAATTCCAATGGTATTCCAATGGTATTTTTTAATAGAAAAAACCATTCATAAAATATCTTTAAAAGGACCAAGAATACCCAAAACAACCTTGAAGAAGAACAAAGTTGGATGACTCACATTTCTTGATTTTAAAACTTATTACAAGGCTGGGTGTGGTGGCTGAAGCCTATCATCCCAGCACTTTGGGAGGCCGAAGCAGGTGGATCACAAGGTCAGGAGTTCAAGACTAGCCTGACCAAAATGATGAAACCCCGTCTCTACTAAAAATACAAAAATTAGCGGGTGTGGTAGCATGTGCCTGTAATCCCAGCTACACAGGAGGCTGAAGCAGGAGAATCGCTTGAACCCAGGAGGTGGAGGTTGCGGTGAGCTGAGATCGTGCCACTGCACTCCAGCCTGGGCAACAGAGTGAGACTCTATCTCAAAACAAACAAACCAAACAAACAAACAAACAAAACAAAAAAACCCCAACTTATTACAAAGCCACAGTAATCATAAGGACAGGCAAACCAACAAAAGAGAATGTAAATCCCAGAAACAAAAATCCTCATATATATGGTCATTTGACTTTTGACAAGGGTGCAAAGGGTACCATTCAAGGGGAGAAAGGACAGTCTTTTCAATAAATGGTGTTGGGAAAACTGAATATGCACGTGCAAAAGAATGAAGTTGGACCCTTACCTAATACCTTACATAAAAATTAACTCAAAATTGATCAAATACCTAAATTTATGAGCTAAAACTAGAAATTTCTTAGAAGAAAACATAGGGGAAATCTCCATGACACTGGATTTGTAAATGATTTCCTAGATATAACACCAAAAACACAGAGGACAAAAGAAAAACAGATAAATTGGACTTCATTGAAATTAAGAACTTTTGTACATCAGAGGATATGATAAAAAAAAAGTGAAAAGATGACCTACAGAACAGAAAAAAAATTTGCAAATCATATACCTGATAAGGAATGAATATCCAGAATACATGAAGAACTCCTACAACTCAACGACAAAACAGCCTGATTCAAAAAGGGCAAAGGGCTTGAATAGATACTCCTCTAGAGAAGATATAAAATGGCTAATAAGCATATTAAAAGACACTCAACATCATTTGTCATTAAGGAAATGCAAATCAAAACCATGAGATACCACTTCACATTCTTTAGGATGGCTATTATCAGAAAAATAGAAAATAGCAACAAGCATTATTGGGGATGTGGAGAAACTGGAACCCTTATGCATTGCTGGTGAGAATGTAAAATGATACACCTGCTGTAGAAAACTTTACAGCAGTTCCTCAAAAAATTAAACATAAAATTACTGTATGGTACAGTAATCCCACTTCTAGTTATGTGCCCAAAGTAATGGAAAGCAGGGACTAGAAAGATATTTGTACACTTACATTCATAGCAGCATTACTTACAACAGCGAAAATGTAGAAACAACCCAAGTGGCCATCAACAGGTGAATGAATAAACAAAATGTGGTATATACACACAATGGAATATTATTCAGCCATAAAAAGGAATGAAATTCAGATACATATTACAACATGGATGCACTTTGAAAACATCATGCTAAGTTACATAAGTGAGACACAAAAGGACAGATATTGTACACACTTATCTGATGTATCTAGAATAGTCAAATACATAGATACAGAAAGTAGAATGGTGGTTTCTAGGGACTGGAGGAGGAGAGAAATGGGAGTCATTGTTTAATGGCTACTGAGTTTCGGTTTTGCAAGATAAAGAGTTTTGGAGATGGAGGGTAATAATGGTTGCACAACACTGTGAATGTACTTAATGCCACGGAACTGTACACTTAAAAATGGTTAAAGTGGTAAGTTTTGTTATATAGGTTTTATTGCCATAAAAAAGATTTCTCAAATTAAAAAGTGGTAAATGGTAAATTTTGTTATATATTTTACCACAATAATAAGAAAAACCATATATATATATTTAAGACCTAGTTTCAAGATGAAATAATTTCTAAGGTCCCTTCTAATTCTAAAATTTTATGTGATATCATGGAGATATCAAGGAGAAAAGAGAAAGAGAATCTATTAATAGTTGAGGAAAAAGCTCCTGACTGAATTAAGAGTGAAACTTTACCTTTTAGTGATTATAAATGGACCAAGAAGCTCTAGCAATGGTAGCAAACTCCAATGCCTACAGACGCGCAGGGAATGTCAGCAGGTGAAGCAGGGCAGCTTGGGTTGGTGGTAAATCTGAGACCACATGCCCTGTCTAAAGGGAGCAGCTGCATCTCTGCCCTGGTGAACTGTCTCCCTGCAGGAATGTGGGCATGGTGCTGGGAGGATTTTCCATTCTTCAAGTGAAACTGAAATTGAGACTTTTATGTGAAACATTGGCATCTAATTGAATCTAAGTATTTTTAACACTGAAAGTCAAAGAAGACACATCTGTAGGCCAAGGCATGTGTAGTTAGCCGACTACTAGTTTGTGATACCTTTCATGGAGTGAAGGCAAAAACCCAGAATACAAAAGAAGGAACGGATGTACTATTCACCAGTGTTTAAAGTTTGATTACAGATCATGATCTAAATCTTTCAAATCCTTATTTTGGAATACTGAATATTATTTTAATTAGGTGTTATTTAGTATAGTATAGCTTTGATTAGGCTGGTTTTTAGTGGAACACTTTAAACATGAACTTTAGTACCTGGCATATAGCATTTGCTCAATAAGGGGTAGCTATTATTAATTTAAATCAGAAGTTCCTATACAATATAGAAAAGTTAGTGTAAAGCAGATTTTAAAAACTAACCTATCCTCTGATAAAATGAATGATAATATAATCCATTCAATAATCTATCTTCTGTATCATTACTGGGAAAAGGTAAGCCTTCATATTATATAACAAAAAAATCATTCACCTGTATTAGGTGCTAGGGATATAATTACTGGCAAAACAAACAAGGTTCCTGTACTCATAAAGTTTATAATTTTAATAAGGGAGATGGACATTAAAAGTCATTCAAGTAAATACTGAGTCAGAAACTGTAATAAATGATATGATAAAAATCAGAGGATAATCTGAAAAATTATAATGGAAGGACCCAATTCAGATAAGGAAGGGAGTCACAGAGAAGGCTTCTTTAAGGACCTGACCTTTAAAACTAAAACCTACAGGTATTATGTATGGAGGGTTGAGGAGCTTCAGGTGGGAGAGAAGATAGTGACAAAAGCATTCCAGGAATGCTTGCGTAAGAGCCCCAAATAACCAACATTGAAAAAAAAGAGAACATTAAATAGGGGGAAAGATTAAAGTTATTGGAGGTACAGAGGTGAATGATTTGAGGGGCCATCAATTGTCAATTTTCTCCCTGGAGAAAAGATTTTGAAGAAGGAAATAAACATGAAAAACAAAGGGAAAATTAGGAACTCAGGAGAAATAAACAAAACGGGAGCTAGGAAACAGGCACTGAAATTCTTGTTGATTGTCTACATCTGGTTTCTGGGAGAAAATGAGAAGAGGAGATGCACTGGCTGGAGCAGGTGAAGATAATTGGCTGGTGGGGCCCACATCACTGAAGAGACCACATGGAACAGTTCTTGTTTGTTTAAAACATTACAGAAGCAACAATTGCTCTTTAATAATTCAAAGACAGCCACCCACTCCTGTAGTAAAGCGCTATTAATCCTCACTGAATGATTTTTACTGGTGAAGATAAGGATTAGTGACAAGCAAAATCAAGTGAAGTTCAAGGCAATTACAAAAAGAAGTCAGACCAACATCTTCATTTCAGCCTAAAGTGTCTGCATTTTCCCTTGACATCACTTTGTCCACCATAAACAATAGATATTTTAGAAAAACTAACAGATTTTTATCACATACTCAGATAGACCCACTGCAATTCCCTGATTCCTAGAATGTAAGCTCTATAAAAGCAGGGATTTTTGTCAATTTTCTGATCATACAGCAAAGTTGACAAGAATAAAAATTTCTGTCTGTCCCAGTCACTGCTTTATCACCAAGAACTGATACATAAATGTTTGTCGAATGAATAAATATGAACACAAAACCACTGTGAATTCAGAGTGAAACATAAAAGATGAAAGAAAAAAAAGGAAAGGAAAAAAGCAAGAGAGGGATAAAACTGGCCATACTTTACATTCTGGCATTCATTCTTGACTCTTTCTCTGCCACATCCCTCACACAATGAATCAGCAAATCCTGTCAAACCAACTTCTTAAATAGCTCTTCATTTTCATGGTCATTTCTGTTATATTGTAGTAGTCTCCTAACGGGTCTATGCTTTCACTTTTACCTGCCTTACATTTTCCATGCTTTTGTCTGTGTTACATGTGAAAATACCACACAAATGGAGAAGATTCTACTAACTTCAGGAGAAATTTTTTATTTTCATAGGGTTTTGGGGGAACCAGTGGTATCTGGTTTACATGAGTAGGTTCTTTAGTGGCGATTTGTGAGATTTTGTTGCACCCATTACCCAAGCAGTAACAATGAACCCAATTTGTAGTCCTTTATCCCTCACCCCCAACCCATCCTTTCCCCGGGTCCCCAAAGTCCATTGTATCATTCTTATGCTTTTTAGTGCACACAAAGCCCTTCATAACCTGGGGTAGCAGGCACAGCAGAGTTGTTAAGAATGTGGACTTTGTGGGCTTGAGAGTGGTGGCTCACACCTGTAATCAGCACTTTGGGAGGCTGAGGCGGGTGGACTGCTTGAGCCCAGGAGTTTGAGACCAGCCTAGGCAACATGGTGAAACCCCATCTCTACAAAAAATACAAAAATTAGCTGGGTGTGGTGGTATGTGCTTGTATTCCCAGCTACTAGGGAGGCTGAGGTGGGAGGATTGCTTGGGCCCGGGAGGCAGAGGTTGCAGTGAGTGGGCAACAGAGTGAGACTCAGTCTCAAACAAAAAAAAAAAAAAAAAAAAGAAAAGAAAAGAGAAAGAATGTGAAAATGTGAACTTTGTGAAGACGTAGGTTGGAATATGAGCTGTGCTACTTATAAGCGCTGTGGCCTTGTGTGAGTTACTTAATCCTCTGACTCTCAGTTTCGATTCTTTTTCTTTTCTTTTTTTTTTTTTTCGAGACAGAGTCTCGCTCTGTTGCCTAGGCTGGAGTGCAGTGGCATGATCTTGGCTCACTGCAACCTCCACCTCCCAGACTCAAGCAATTCTCCTGCTTTAGCCTCCTGAGTAGCTGGGACTACAGGCATGCACCACCACACCCAGCTAATTTTTGTATTTTTAGTAAAGAAGGGATTTCACCATGTTGGCCAGGCTGGTCGCAAACTTCTGACCTCAAGGATCCACCTGCCTCGGGCTCTCAAAGTGCTGGGATTACAGGCATGAGTCACCGCGCCCAGCGGACTCTGTGTCTTAACATATAAAACAGGATAGTAATCATATCAACTCATATGTTTATTGTGTGGATTAAATGAATGAATACATGTAAACATTTTGCTCAGTGTATGGCACATAAAAGCATTCCGCATTATCTCCTATTGACTGTGGTAGTGTTTCCTTATTATGTGTTAAATACTGGCCACAATGACTTCTTACCACTTTCCAAAGGAACCATGTTGTTTCATGTTATCATACTTTCAGAAATCGTGTTCCCTGTTTTTAGAACGTATTCCTTATTTGCTTAACAGCTTTCTACTGCTCCAAGATCCATCCCAACTGTCTTTGCACCTTTATAGCCTTCACCCGCTTCTATAGAATTGACTATTTTCTCCCTTGTGCTATTATGGAATCTTATGTGTGGCTCTAAAAATCACCTGTACTCTATGGAGACTATTTCTACACCACTCAGGTTTTTTTTGGCAGAGAGGGGGTGGGGTTGAATTAAGAATCTAGTTTATTTTATTTCTTCTAAAAAAAACGGGATAGATGTACAGAATGTGCAGGCTTGTTACATAGGTATACGTGTACCATGGTGGTTTGCTGCAACTATTGACCTGCCCTCTAACTTCCCTTCCTTCACCCCCCAGCCCCCCAACAGGACCTGGTGTGTGATGTTCTCCTCCCTGTGTCCATCGTGTTCTCATTGTTCAACTCCCACTTATGAGTGAGAACATGCAGTGTTTGGTTTTCTGTTCCTGTGTTAGTTTGCTGAGGATGATGGCTTCCAGCTTCATCCATGTCCCTGCAAAGGACACGATCTCGTTCCTTTTTATGGCTGCATAGTATTCTGTGGTGTATATGTTCCATATTTTCTTTATCCAGTCTATCATTGATGGGCATTTGGGTTGGTTCCTATGCTACTGTTTCTTCTCCTAGAATAAGAGCTCCTTGAGGGCAAGTATTGTCACTTACTCATTTGTATTTCCAGCCTGTCATGCAGTGTTGATGCATAACACGCTGAAGCAATAATACAGCCTGGAGTCAGACTTCATGGCTTCTCCTGGCATTGGCTTTTTCATTGACTGGGTGTGTGACCTACAGCAAGTTATTTAACATTCTAAATCTGTTTCATTTTCTATGCAAAGGAAATAATAGCATCTACCTAACACATAGGGTTGTTGTGAAGAAAAATGAGATAATCTACATAGAAGCACTTAATAAATGTTAATTGCTATTATTATCATTTTCACTATATTGTATTTTTCATGTCTAGAAATTCCATTTGGATCTTTTTAATATCTTCCACTAATCTCCTAATCATATTCATGTTTTCTTTACATACTTAAGCATATTTATATGATTTAAAATAACTATTTTAAGGTCCTTGTTAGTTAATTCCATCATCTCTGTCATTTCTGGATCTGTGTTTCTATTGATTAATTTTTCTCCTGGTTATGGGCTGTATTTTCCTGCTTCTTTTAATGTCTGGTAATTTTATTTTGTTTTGTTTTGTTTTTGAGACAGGGTCTTACTCTATTGCCCAGGCTTGAGTGCAGTGGTGCGATCACAGCTCACTGCAGCCTCAACTTTCCAGGCTCAAGCAATCCTCCCGCCTCAGCCATTAGAGTAGCTGGGACCACAGGTGTCACACCTGGCTAATTTTTTAAATTTTTTGTAGAGACAGGGTTTTGCTCTGTTGCCCAAGCTGGTCATGAACTCCTGGGCTCAAGTGATCCACTTGCCTTGGCCTCCCAAAGTCCTGGGATTGTAGGCATGAGCCACCATGCCTGGCCTGTCTGGTAATTTTGAATTGGATGTCAGACTTTGTGAATTTTGCATTGCTGAATGCTGGATTTTGTTAAATTCCTTTAAAGATTATTGAATTTTGTTCTTATATAGCATTAAATTACTTGCGGATCGATTTAATCCTTTTTGCTTTTAAACTGTTGAGAACTCTACCCAGTGCCCGGTGTGTTTTGAGGTCTCTTCCCTATGGCTGGTAGAAGTTTGAATTATCCTTAGCCCCTTGTATACTCCAGAAATTGTTTGGCCCACTGTTTTCTGGTGGTTCTTTTTCCAGCCCACACATATGCAGAATTTGTAGCCAAAGATTCTGGAGCTCACTGAACAACTTCTTCCTCTCTTGGATTCTGACCTGTAAATACTGGCTGCTCCAGCCTCCCTAAACCCCAGTCTCTGCCTCCTCAACTCAATAACACTGCTAAGCTCTTTGACAATCTCTCTCCCTATACTGTTGCTTGGAAACTGGCTCTCAGAATCCACAGCCCCCACTGCCTATTGCCCAATGTCTGAAAACTGTTGTTTCAGATATGCTGATTTTCTCATTGTTAGTGGCAAGAGGGCAATTCCCTTAGTAGATACTTCTTCACAGATAGAAGAGGAAGTACCTATCATTATTTTATCAAATGAAATATATATATGTATGTATGTGTATATATGTATATATTGAAAATTAAATTCTAATTGAAAATAAACTTGGAGAAGGCACTTTTGAGCCGATATCCCTAAACAGAAGTAAAGATTTACATTAAGAGAATATCAATCTTTGCCAGACTTAGAAAATTCAGATTAATATTCCTATACAGAAAAAATTAGCAAAGTGAGAAGTGTAATTTTAAAGGCTTTTAAAATTCTAATATAACTTTTGCTTCCAAGAGTCTAAAGTTGCTTAGATACCAAGAGGTTTGTTACAGTCTTCATGAGATTATCTAAAATTTGGACAAGATAATTAGCATCAGTACTCAGTCATGCAGAAAAGATATCATATCCTGTACTTGCTAAAAACTGGAATAAAATATTTTTTGTCAAAAGGGACCAGGTCCTTAGAGTTCTACAGGTGGCTTCATTTTTAGATATGTTATGCTCTTGTTTTGCTACCTCCCAGAAGAGTTACTTTCCACTTGATAATGCTAAAGTATGCACATGACATTCTAAGGAAGTTATCTGCAGAAGAATAATGCAGTAGGAGTTCCACTGAGTAGGTAGGTACCTGGCATTATAATTGATAAAATGGGGCTTAATAAATCCTTTCCTTTAGAACCTTGCCGCCAAGAGTTTTCACTAATTCCGGATTAAAATTGGAGATTGACACATTCTGGTTTAGAAAGATGTTCTGGAGTTTCCTAGAAAAAGCTGAGAATACATTAAAGCTACTTAACCAATTATTTTAGGAACACCTAGACACAGATGTTGCATTTAGTCTAAGAAATCTGAGGCTGTCTGATTAAGAAGGATAACAATAAACAGCCAGCATAAAATCTAGGTCTTGTTTATGGCACAAGGAGAAACTGGGGGAATTTGGAGCTGCTTATTCTTAGCAGCTGGATGAGTCACTGGCAGCTGCTATTAGAAAGATAAAGAAACCCACATCTGCTAAGAGTCCAAATGCTATATGAATCCCTCGTGATAGTAAATACATTCTTGAAGAGGCCCCACTTCTATATCAGGAAAAAAGTTAAGGCTATCTGAAGACTGTTTTCCATAGTTATCTCCATATGTTCTATCACAGAAACTAGCTCTAGCCATATTCTTCAACATGCAGCTGACCCTTGAACAACACAGGTTTCAGCTGTGCAGGTCCACACTTTTAGGTGGATTTTTTTCAACCAAATATGGATCGAAAATACACTATTCTAGGGATATGAAGCCCTGTATACGGAAGATTGACTTTTCACATATGAGAGTTCCACAGGACTAATGTAGGCCTTGATTATGCGTGGATTTTGGTATAAACAGGGGTCCTGGAACCAATCCCTGCATAGACTGAGAGACGACTGTACTAGGTGGTCTAAAACAAATATTTGCTGACTGAGTGAGGGACTGGGAAAGATAACCTCTGATAACATAGCACGAGCTTTACCTATATACTCACAGTTCCCAGTTTTGTTTACATAGAGACCAATGGAATAGTTTTTCTGAATTACTTAACTTAAAATTGAGTCCACATTGGTTTTTGCCTATTAGTGCATTTATTCTGTAAGGGAAATGATACGATCCTCAGTACACTAAGTACTTCTTTCATAATACTGTAATGGAGATGCATGATCTCCAGAGTTATATGTCAAAGAGGCAATGATTGAAGTAAAAATAGTAGAAATAGCACATCAGCATATTAGTAAATCTGGGTTCAATTTCTAGCTTTGCTACTAATTCACCATGAAATCTTTCTGCAAGTTACACAATTTCATTATTTACAAAATGGGCACAATAATACCCACTTTACCTATTTCTTAGGGCAGTGGAACTAATAAGATATTGGGTGGAAAAGTTTTAGAAAAGATTTAGTAACTACATATAAAAGTTTAATAGCTATATATTTAGTAGCTATTTAGAAAAGTTACAGTTTCGTAGCAGTAGCATTGATTAGAGCATGGTGGGGAATCTCATAAATTCAAAAGCAGGGAGACTACCTATTCACTGACTATAACCTCAGTGGGGAGGGGAGGGGAAGGAAGGAAGGGAGGGGAGGGAGGGAGGGGAAGGAAGGAAGGAACGAAGGAAGGAAGGCAAGAAAGAAGAAAGAAAAAGAAAAGCAAGCAAGCAAGAAATTGTCTTAAAGGTATTTATGAAAACACATAATATGAAAGTAGGAGACCAGGCATGGTAGCCCACGCCTATAACCCCAGCACTTTGGGAGGCTGAGGTGGACGAGTGGCTTGAGCCCAGGAGTTTGAGACCAGCCTGGATAACATAGCGAAACCCCAACTCTATAAAAAATAGAAAAATTAGCCACACATGGTAGTGCACAAATATATTCCCAGCTACTTGAGGTGGGAGGATCACCTGAGCTTGGAAGGTCGAGGCTGCAGTGAGCTGAGATTGTGTCATTGTATTCCTGCCTGGGTGACAGAGTAAAACCCTGTCTCCAAAAAAAAAAAAAAAAAAAAAAAAAAAAATTGAAATTTATTCTGTGGCTATTACTTGAAGGCTTTTAAAAAATATTCTTACCCAGTGGCCCAAGCCAAAAACTTGGAAATTACCACGGTCTTCTCTCTCATCTTAATGCCAAATCCAATCACCAAATCCTATGGATTCTATCTCTGAAAGTGCCCCTTCTGTCTCCATACTGCCTTAGTGTTGGGTCTAATCTCTCACTCAACTACTACCAGACTTCTATGTTCCTTGTCTCTAGTCTAGGCCATCTTCTACACTGCCTTTTGAATGATCTTTCTAGAGCTCAGATATCACCACACCACTCTCCTATCTAAAAGCCTTCAAATAAGATGGGGCATGGTGGCTCACATCTGTAATCCCAGTGCTTTGGGAGGCTGAGGCCTTGAGCCCAGGAGTTTGAGACCAGCCTGGGCCACACAGCAAAACCCCGTCTCTACAAAAAAATTTAAAATTAGCTAGGTATGGTAGGCATGTACCTGTAGTCCTAGCTAGTTGGGAGGCTGAGTTAGGAAGATCACTTGAGCCTGGAAGCTCAAGGTTATAGTGAACTATGATCATATGATCATGCCACTGCACTCCAGCCTGGGCAACAGGGTCTTTTTTTTTTTTTTTTTTTTTTTGAGACGGAGTATTGCTCTGTCACCCAGGCTGGAGTGCAGTAGCGCGATCTTGGATCACTGCAAGCTCCACCTCCTGGGTTCACACCATTCTCCTGCCTCAGCCTCCCGGGTAGCTGGGACTACAGGCACCCGCCACCACACCCGGCTAATTTTTTTGTATTTTTTAGTAGAGATGGGGTTTCACCATGTTAGCCAGGATGGTCTCGATCTCCTGACCTTGTGATCTGCCCGCCTCGGCCTCCCAAAGTGCTGAGATTACAGGCATGAGTCACCGTGCCCGGCTGCAACAGGGTCTTTAAAAAAAAAAAAGCCTTCAAATAATACCCAGAGAATAAAATTTAACTTTTTTGTTTGTTTGTTTGTTTTTTTGAAGCAGGATCTCGCTGTCACCTAGGCTAGAGTCAGTGGCATAATCATGACTCACTGTAGCCTCAACCTCCCTCAGCTCAAGTGATCCTCCCACCTCAGCCTCCCAAGTAGCTGTGAGTACAGGTATGTGCCACCACACCTGGCTAATTTTGTTTATTTTTTTGTAGAGACGAAGTCTCAGTATGTTGTCCAGGTTGGTCTCAAACTCCTGGGCTCAAGTGATCCTCCCACCTTGGGCTCCCAAAATGCTGGGATTACAGGTGTGAGCCACCACATCCAGCCCCAATTTCTTTTCTTTTCTTTTTTCTTTTTTTTTTTTTTTGAGGCAGAGTCTTGCTCTGTCGTCCAGGCTGGAGAGCAGTGGCACGATCTCGGCTCACGGCAACCTCTGTCCCCCAGGGTTCAAACGATTTTCGTTCCTCAGCCTCCTGAATAGCTGGGATTATAGGAGTGCGCCACCACACCTGGCTAATTTTTGTATTTTTAGTAGAGACGGGGTTTCACCATGTTGGACAGGCTGGTTTCAAACCCCTGACCTCAAGTGATCCACCTGCCTTGGCATCCCAAAGTGCTGGGATTACAGGCTGAGCCACTGTGCCTGGCCCAATTTCTTTTTTATGGCTAAAAAATGATCTTTCAGCAGCTCCATTATTCCTTTACAGTCTCATCTCCCCTAACCTCCTTCATAAACTCCACACAAACTCTAGACATCCTGATCTGTTATGTAAGTATTCTAGGTTCTTTTGTGCTTCAGCATATGTTCTACCTAGGATGCCCTTCTCTCCTTTATCCATGTGAATGATTCCTACTCTTCCTTCCCAGCTTAGATCAAACAGTCAGTTCTAAGGAGAACCTTCTCTACTCCACTTTTCTCTCCCTTCTCTAACAACAGTATCCCCATCCCACCCCCATTCAGGAGTTTCTTTCTTCATATTCACATTATTCCTTGTATTTACTGCATGGCATTTTAATATCTGCCAAGAGCAAGGGCTGTGAAGTCAGACTGCCTGGGTATAAATCTGGGCCCAGAATTTACTATGTAACCTTGCCAAGTTACTTAACCTCTCTGATCCTCAGTTTCATTAGTTACAAAATGGGGATTATGGTATCTACCACAGAGAGCCCTTGTAAAGATAAATGAGTTACTACATGTAAAGAGCTACACTTGGCTCTTAATAGGTACCATTAGTGATGGTAGTGGTAATAGTAATATCTTTGACATAAACCAGACAACTCCTCAAAAGTGAGGTATTCTAAATGCCTTGAATAGCATGCATTCAAACAATATTTATAGGAACAAAAGAAAAAGTTTGAAAGAGAAAGAGAGGAAAAGAGAGAGAGAAAGAAAGAGAGAGAGAGGAAGGAAGGAAGGAAGAAAGGAAGGAAGGAAGGAAGGAAGGAAAAAGAATTTGGGAAGACTTACCGCCATTTTTGCCCACAGTTCGGAAGCATCTCCAGAAGGCCCGTAAAAATGATACCCTATTGTGGGGGGTGGCTTGGACGAAGCTGAATTCTCGAAAGAGAATGTGTGTTCCCTGGCATACACTGTTAAAACTGCAAAGAGAAAAGTCAAGAAGTCATTGTTAGATGGAATCCAGAAGGCTGGAATCAGAATGAAAAATTGAGACCAGAGAGAACCACTGCCAAAAACGGGGAATTTTTCTCCCCAACAAAACTCTGAACTCTAGATTAGACCTAGTCCTTCTATGGGGAAGTCTCTTCATATAACCATACCTTTCCGAAAACTCTTGGAGGCCAGTTCCTCTGAGTGCTTCCCACCTTCCACAGGTACACACAGAGGACATCTGAATCAGTCATTCGAGCAACGCATATGGAGGAAAGCCTTTTAGCCTCTAACTGGATGACACTGGCACTCATATCTTTCTTTTTGGAGAATACTTTTCCCTCTACTGCATTTGGAATTAGGTTTCCTTAAAGATATTATTTCTGGGCTGGGCGCAGTGGGTCACGCCTGTAATCCCAGCACTTTGGGAGGCCAAGGCGGGTGGATCACTTGAGGTCAGGAGTTGGAGACCAGCCTGGCCAACATGGTGAAACCCTGTCTCTACTAAAAATACAAAAATTAGCTGGGCATGGTGGCGTGCACCAGTCATTCCAGCTACTCGGGAGGCTGAGGCAGGAGAATCACTTGAACCTGGGAGGTGGAGGTTGCAGTGAGCCGAGATCATGCCACTGCACTCCAGCCTGATCAACAGAGTGAGACTCAGTCTCAAAAAAAAAAAAAAAAAAGAAAAAAGATATTATTTCTGTACTCTCCCTGGCCTATACCAGCTGCCATAAGGATGACATGGCTATGGGGACATAACTGGAGTGGCTGTTCCAGTTTGGGGTGGTTTTATATATCTCTCTGACAATAACCCCAGAGACAAATCCCATGTGCCAAAGGATATAAAGGGTCCAAACAGAACAAGAAAGGAAAATAGAAACAAGGGTATAAAGTGGCCCCTAAATGAGAGTATGAAGCAAAGCCCCAGGGCCCAAGTGAGTCATTGTTTAAGCTGGGCCAGGGAAGGGAAAAAAATATACTCCATTGCCTTTGGGTTTTCCTGCCAAAGAAATAAAGGCTGTAGAGCCTGGTGTAATCTAAAAGTGGAAATTCCACCGAAGAATAGGCAATTATCCAGTAATCATCCCTACCAGAGTGAACTTTAGGTTCCAGAAAACTTCTAAATTCCCTGACAAGTAAATCAGGAGTGGAAACATGTTAATCTTTGTGGAGAGGCAGACATTAAATTTGAAGATGGCAAGCAATGGGGGGAACGATGGTAATTCCAAATGCCAGTTTTCATTTGTTGACCATATAAAGGGGGGGAAAAATCTGACTCTGAATGGAACAGGAAAAAATTTCAGGAGGCATCTATTCCGTTTCCCTTCTCCTAGACCAACTTCATGGGAAAGTATCTAACTTGTCTTTAATATAGAGTGTGTTTTCATTTAGAATAAAGTTAGTTCCTTCCTAATAGTAACAGCACTGTATGAAAAAGCAAATTATATACTCTTCTCCTTTCATGGAGAGCTAGCATAGAAATCTACTTCTAAGACACCCTGAGGAAGTATGCGGACATCACCTGGCAAAAGATTAGGTTAGAAGAGGGGCTTTCAAAAGCAATGAAAGTGTTAACCTAACCACGCAGTGCTATTGTCTTAAGGAAAGGAAAATAAAAAATACAGCAAATGAGCTGTTATAGGTAAATGCAGTAGGCTACATTTCCAGCAAATGAAGTCTGAAATGATAATACTGTAGCCTAAATTTATGAAACTGTCCAGCAAAGAAGTAGTCCCAAATTGTGCTTCATATTCTAAGGGGGAAAAAGCTGATGTCTAGGTCATGGTCTAGTGAAATTATAGCTTTGGTATAGCTTTTAAAGACCATCTCAAATGCCAATTTTGTGTAAAGTCTTTTCCTGATTTTATCTCCCATGCCCAATTTCCATCGTATCTCACTTAAAACTCTCTAACAGTGCTCACAATTTGCTACTTTGTTTTAAAGTTACTGGACTTTCTCCTATTAGACTGTCAGTTCTATGGAGTAAGCACTTAGGCTGTACTCATCTTTGCCTCTACTATATTACCTGACTCATTACCTAACTGATAGTTACTCATAAATATTTGTGGAAATTGATTTAGAAAGATAAGAAAGACAGGTAAGTGATGCCAGGTAGAATGTATCTTTGAAGCTAGCCACACAGGAAATATTGAAAGTCTATATCTTACTAATTTTTCTAAATTCCAGGCTTTGAGTCTGATATTTTTATTATAATATTGCAATACCAGCTTTATTTTGATTGGTATTTTCCTGGTGTATCTGTTTCTGTGCCTTTAATAACCCTTCTAGGTCATTTTGTTTATGTATATCTCTTGTAAATAGCATATGGCTAGATTCTGCTTCTCTACCCAACCTTACAGTCACTATATGTTAACGAGTAGCTTTTCAGTGTATCTGATTAATTTCTGACCTGATATCTTATTTTGTCTTTCCCATTATCCATTCTTCTTTCCCTTTCCCCACCTTCTTTTCCCACCTTCTATTGTGTTAGTAAAGTTTTGTTTTAATTCTTTTCTACCCTCCCTGTTAGTTTGGAAGCTATAGACAAAATCTATAATCTTTCAGTATTAAAATTTAACATAATCAGCCAGGCATGGTGGTGCATGCCTGTAGTTCTACTCAGAGGCTGAGGATGGAGGATCGCTTGAGCCCAGCAGTTTGAGTCCAGCCTGGGCAATATGGTGAGACCCCATCTTAAAACATTAACATAATATTTATCTACATTGTTTTTCCCCAGACATTGTCTCCCACTGTCACCCAGTCTGGAGTGCAGTGGCCCCATCTTGGCTCACTGCAACCTCTGCCCTCCAGGCTCAAGCACTGATCCTCCCACCTCAGCCTCCCAATTAGCTGGGACCAAAGGCAGGCATCATCACACTCAGCTATTTTTTTGGATTTTTAGTAGAGATGGGGTCTTACCATGTTGCCCTGACTGGTCTCAAACTCCTGAGTTCAAGTGATCCACCCATCTCAGCCTCCCAAAGTGTTGGGATTACTGGCATGAGCCACCGCGCCTGGCCTATCTACATATTTTTGAAAATGTCTGAAAATACTCATTATCTTTATAACTCTCCAAAACAAGACAATGGGCCAGGCATGGTGGCTTATGCCTATAATCCCAGCACTTTGGAAGGCTGAGGTGGGTGGGCTGCTTGAGCTCAGCAGTTTGAGACCAGCCTGGGCAACATAGTGAAACCTTGATTTTATGAAACATTACAAAAATTAGCTGGGCATGGTGGTGCATGCCTTTGGTCCCAGCTACTTGAGAGGCTGAGGTGGGAGGACTGCTGGAGCCTAGGAGGTCAAGGCTGCAGTGAGCTGTGATCGCACCACTGCACTCCAGCCTGGGTGACAGAGCAAGACCCTGTCTCAAAATAAATAAACAAACAAAACAAAAATAAAAATAAAACAAGACAAAGCCCAAAGCACACTTTCTATAACTTATGTGCAGTCTTCTCATCTTCTGATATTATTTTTTAGAATGTGACTAGAATCTATCTCTTTTTAAATTGGAAAACTTTTTTAATGTGGTAAACTATACATAATATTTATCATTTAACCATTTGCAACTGTACAATTCAGTGTCATTAAATATATTCACAATGCTGTGCAACCATGAACACTATCAATACCCAAAACTTTTTCATCATCCCCAACAAAAACTCTACATCAATTAAACAACAACACCCCCTTCTGCCCACCCCCCAGACCCTCATAACCTCTATTCTACTTTCTATCTCTATATATTTGCCTATTCTAAGTACCTCATATAAGTGGAATCATGTAATATCTGTCGTTCTGGCCTATTTCACTAAGAATAATGTCTTCAAGGGCCGTACATGTAGCATGTATCAAAATTTCTTTCTTTCTTTCCCTCCTTCCTTCTTTCCTTCCTTCATAATTTTTAAATAATAGAGACAGGGTCTCCCTATGTTGCCCAGGCTGGTCTCAAGCCTTGAACTCCTGGCCTTAAATGATCCTTCAACCGTACCTTCCCAAAGTGTTGGGATTACAGGTGTAAGCCACTGCAGGGCCATAAATTTATTTTCTTTTTAAAGCAGAATAATATTCCTTTGTATGTATGTACCATCTATTGTTTATCCATTGATCTGTTGATGGACCCTTGGGTTACTTCCACCTTTTGGCTATTGTGAATAATGCTGCTATGATTTGTATACAAGTATCTGTTTCAGTTCCTTCTTTAATTCTTTTAGATGTATACCTACAAGTGCAATTGCTGGGTCATATGGTAGTTATAGGTTTAACCTTTTGAGAAACAACCGAACTGTTTTCCAGAGCAGCTGTACTATTTTACATTCTCACTAGCAATGCACAAGGGCTCCAATTTGTCCACCTCCTCAGCAACACATGCTATTTTCCTTTTTAAAAAACAGCCAACCTAGAAGATGTGAAGTGGCATCTTATTGTTGTTTTGATTTGCATTTTACCAATGACTAATGATGTTGAGCATCTTTTCATGTGTTGGCCATTTGGATATCTTCTTTGGAGAAATGTCTCTTCAAGTCCTTTGCCCATTTTTAAATTGGGTTGTTTTGTTGTTGTTGAGTTGCAGGAGTTCTTTACATATTCTGGATATTAATTCCTTATTGGATATATGATTTGCAAATATTTTCTTCTATTGTGTAGGTTGTCCTTTCACTTTCATGATAGTATCCTTTGATGCACAAAAGTTCTTAATTTTGATGAAGTCCAATTTATCTATATTTTTTGTTCCTTATGCTTTTGGTGTTATATCCATGAAATAATTGCTAAATTTAATGTTATGAAAACTGTCCCCTGTTTTCTTCTAAGAGTGTTGTAGTCCAATTTCATTCTTTCACACGTGGATATCCAGTTTTCCCAGCACCATTGGTTGAAAAGACTGTCCTTTCCCTATTGAATTGCACCTTTGCAGGAAATCAAATGACCATATATGTAAAGATTTATTTCTGGGCTTCCTAATCTATTCCAGTGGTCTATATGTTTGTCCTTATGCCAGGACCATAATACTTGAATTACTGTGGCTTCATAGCTAGTTTTATAGTTGGGAAGTTTGAACTTTCCAATTTTATATTCTTTTTTCAAGATTGTCCTGGCTATTCCATATGATTTTGAGGATTAGCTTCTTCTCTCAGTGAAAAAGCCTATTTATTTTGATAGAAATTTTGTTGAATCGCCAGGTGCGGTGGCTCACGTCTGTAATCCTAGCACTTTGGGAGGTTGACGCGGGCAGATCACCTGAGGTCAGGAGTTCAAGACCAGCCTGGCCAACATGGTGAAACCCTGTATCTACTAAAAATACAAAAATTAGCCAGGTGTGGTGGCGGGCACCTGTAATCCCAGCTTTTCTGGAGGCTGAGGCAGAAGAACCGCTTGAACCCGGGAGGTGGAGGTTGTAGTGAGCTGAGATTGAGCCACTGCACTCCAGCCTGGGAGACAGAGTGAGACTCCATCTCAAAAAAAAAAAAAAGAAAAGAAATTGTGTTCAATCAACCAGCCTGACCAACATGGTGAAACCCCATCTCTACTAAAAATACAAAAATTAGTCGGGCATGGTGGTGGATGCCTGTAATCCCAGCTACTCAGGATTCTGAGCAGGAGAATCACTTGAACCTGGGAGGTGGAGGTTGCAGTGAGCCGAGATCACGCCACTGCACTCCAGCCTGGGTGGCAGAGTGAGACTCTGTCTCAAAAAAAAAAAAAAAAAAAAAAAAGAAAAGAAGATAAAAGAAAAGAAAAGAAAATTGTGTTGAATCAGTAGATTGCTTTGGGTAGAACTGACATGTTAACAGTGTTACATCATCCTATCCATGTACTCAGGGTGTCTTTCTATTTATTTAGCTCTTCTTTAATTTCATTCAGCAATGTTTTATAGTTTTCAGTGTGCAAGTCTTTCACCTCCTCAGTTAGACTTATTCCTAATAGACTAAATCTTTTGGATGCTCTTTTAAACAGAATTGCTTTTCTTAATTTCCTTTTTAGATTGTTCATTGATGGTATATAGAAACAACTGATTTTTATGTGTTGCTCTTGTCCCCTGCAACTTTGCTGAATTCATTTATAAGCTCTAGAAGTTTTTTTTTTTTTTTTTTCTTTTGGTGGATTCTTTAGGATGCTTTTTATGCATAGGACCATGTAACCTGTGAATATAGTTTTACCTTTTACTTTCCAATTTGGATGTCATTTATTTCTTTTGATATCTACCTTTTCCTTTTTTTTCCTTTT
This sequence comes from Homo sapiens, assembly GCF_000001405.40. Classification (NCBI taxonomy): domain Eukaryota; kingdom Metazoa; phylum Chordata; class Mammalia; order Primates; family Hominidae; genus Homo; species Homo sapiens. The sequence continues at coordinate 47,046,149 of NC_000011.10, read as the reverse complement.
TTAAAAAATTCACCCCCATACCTACAGGACAATATACCTTTTTAAATGTAAAAATTACCACTTTAGGCTGGGAGTGGTGGCTCACGCCTGTAATCCCAGCACTTTGGGAGGCTGAGGCGGGTGCATCATGAAGTCAGGAGTACAAGACCAGCCTGGCCAACATGGTGAAACCCCGTCTCTACTAAAAATACAAAAATTACCCAGGTGTGGTGGCAGGTGCCTGTAATCCCAGCTACTCGGGAGGCTGAGGCAGGAGAATTGCTTAAACCCGGGGGACGGAGGTTGCAGTGAGCCTAGATGGCACCACTGCACTCCAGCCTGGGCATCAGAGTGAGACTCCATCTCAAAAAGAAAAAAAAGAGAAAAAAGAAAAAAATGACTACTTTAAAAAAATCAATAATTAATTAAGTTTACCTACATTTATCAAATCAATTTTCATGCTCACTACTGTTTCCCACATTCTGCTCCTTCACTCTTGGTTCAATTATTTCTTGCTAAAGAAATAAGATCCATAATCCTTTAATAAGATCCATAATCACTTATCTGAAATCCTGGGACCTTTCTGGTTTGGAAGTGACAAATTTTGAGATTTTATAAAGGTTGCACAAACCAGATGTGATATAACACCTTCAGCAGGGTTGGGATAGCACCCCATGGATTCAAACATATTAAAGTCTCCACAGTGAAACATATAAGTATTCACACTAAGTGGGATAAACAAAGACCAAAATTAGCCCATGAACTAGTTTAGGTCAAGTTTGCCCCACAAATGAGGTTGCTGAAAACTTACCAAAGGACAACTTCAGGTTTTCAAAGCTTTTTTTGAATTGTGAAATTTATTAATATACATAAACCTGTAGTTCTTTCAGCAAAAGCCTGTGAGTGGTAAATGCTCTCAGTTTTCATCTACCTCAAAATATCTTTATTTTACCTTCTGGAGTGAAATTTAATTCAGTGGAGAATTCTGGTTGTTACTTATCTTCTCTCAGCACTTTAAAGATACCACCCAGTTGTCACCTCGCACCTATCACTGATATCAAGCAAACTGCTGTCAAACTCCTGCCATTCCTTTGGAGTTAATCATTCTTATAATTCATATAAACAATTTTCTTTATCATTAATGCAGATTCTACAATGTATCTACCATGTAGGTTTATTTTTATTTATCTTGCTCAGTACTTTAAACTGACTTCTGTTTTTTGTCAGTTCAGGAAAATTCTCAGCCCACATATACATTTTTTGAGACAGGATCTCACTTTGTTGCCCAGGCTGGAGTGCAGTAGCATGACCATAGCTCACTAGAAGCTTGAACTCCTGGGTTCAAGTGATCCTCCCACCTCAGCTTCCTGAGTAGCTGGGACTACAGGTGCACACAACCATGCCTGGCTAAACTTAATTTTTTTGTAGAGATGGGAGCTCGCTATGTTGCTCAGGCTGGTCCTCAAGCAATCCTCCTGCCTCAGCCTCCCAAAGTACTAGAATTATAGATGTGAGTCACTGCACCCCCCAATTCTTTTTAAAATATTGCTTCTTTGCCATTCCCTATATCATTTTCTTCTGTTTCCTATTAGATATACATTGTAGCTTTTTAATGCCTCTTACCTGTCTTCATAGTTTTTTATCTCTTTATGTTATTATCTTTTAAATTATTCATTCTCTATTCTGTCTGTTCAGCCTAAGTAATGCAGATTCTACAATTCTGCAAGATTCACGTGACTGCGCTCCAGCCTGGGCAATAATGTGAGATCCTATCTCAAGAAATACACATGTATATATATTGGCTGAGAATTTTCCAGAACTAACAACAACAACAAAAAACAAAACAGAAGTCAAAGTGCTGAGTAAGATAAATAAAAATAAACTGTCCAGGAGCGGTGGCTCACACCTGTAATCCCAGCATTTTGGGAGGTCGAGGCGGGTGGGTCACAAGGTCAGGAATTTGTGACCAGCCTGGCCAATATGGTGAAACCCTGTCTCTACTAAAAACACAAAAAAATTAGCCAGGCGTGATGGTGCATGCCTGTAATCCCAGCTACTTGGGAGGCTGAGGCAGGAGAATTGGTTGAACCTGGGAGGCAGAGGTTGCAGTGAGCCGAGATCACGCCACTACACTCCAGCCTGGGTGACAGAGCGAGACTCCATCTCAAAAATAAATAAATAAATAAAAATAAACCTACATGGTAGATACATTGTAGAACCTGCATTATTCAGGCTGACCAGACAGAATAGAGAATGAATAATTTAAAGATAATAAGTGCCTCCCAAGTAGCTGAATCTACAGGCGCATGCCACCATGCCTTTTTATATCTAGAGACAGGATTGTAGAGACAGGGTTTCGCCATGTTGCCCAGGCTGGTCTCAAACTCCTGGGCTCAAGTGATCCACCCACTTTGGCCTCTGAAAATGCCAGGATTACAGGTGTGAGCCACCTCAACCTGGCCTCAAAGTCAGTTTTAAATGTTCAACTATTTTTGTTTTCTCTGGAGTAAATTTATGTTTATTGGGTTTATTGACTATCTTTCTCAACATCAGTGTTCCTCATGTATTTTAGAATTTCAGCGTATAAGTTCATGTGAAGTGGGAGGTTTCTACTCTCTCTTGTGGACAGACCCTAGTCCAGAACCAGGTCTTGTATTGGATGGCTTATGGCTCCATTCCTGATATTAGGGATATCATACAGATTGTCACTGTACCCCTAAGGAGGTTGGACCACTAAGACCTGGCTGTAAGGCTGTCTGCTTCCTCCCACACCTCAAGGTTTTTGTTTTTTTAATAGACGGGGTCTCACTATGTTGCCCAGGCTGGTCTCAAACTCCTGGCTCAAGGGATTCTCCTGCCTCAGCTTTCCAAACAGCTGGGGCTACAGGTGTGCACCACCGCACCTGGCTAAACCTCCAGGTTTTATGTAAGCCATTTCTCAGGTAGCAGTCATAACTTTTTTTGAGTCTTTCTTAAAGTGGTGGAGGCAAAAGGGGCTAGCTCCAGTCTCCTGCACTGTGTGTATAACATTTTGAGTCTCCACCATTCAAGAAATGAGCTTTCAGTTACCTACGCCTTCTGAATCCAGAGCACAGGAGGCATGTGGTTACAGTCCCACTTACTGCATTGTGGTTTAGTGAGTTCCTAGTCAGATGAATTTATATTAATTTTATACATGGCTATGTCCTTAAAAATCTTAGAAAATTTTATGTATCATTACCATGTGTATGAAATGAATAAGAGGCCCAAGTCATGAACACTGCAAGCCATCATGACCAGAAATCCAAAACAAACATTTGACCTACCAAGCTTAAAAATGCATATTTGCACTAATTTTTCATTGTATTTGACTAAACTACAAAGTTCTTTAATAGACATTAATCTTTCCTCTAAAGTAAAACAAAAAAGTTCCTAAAAATATCTTAAAGGCCATACAGAAGTACACCATATGTCTGCCATAAACAGATTTTGCCAAAACGAGTATTCAAATTTCATTGAGCAATTTTTTTTATTCTTTAAGTTGTTGAAGTTTTTCCTTGAAGATTTTAATTTTTAAAAATTTTGACATATTGTAATTTCAAATTTACCAAAAAGTTATAATAGCACAAAGAATTCCTGAATATCCTTTACCTGGATTACTCAAATGTGAATATTTTGCTACATTTACTCTCACTCACTCTCTTTTCTCTCTCTCTCTCTCACACACACACACAGACATATAAGTACATATGTATATACATATTATCATTTTTTGGAACTATTTAAGAGTAAGTTATAGACGTGACGCTTGTTTACTCCTACAGTATTTCAAAAAAAAAAAAAAAACAGAAGTCAAAGTGCTGAGCAAGATAAATAAAAATTAGGAAATAAGGAATTCCTAAAAATATTCCCTAAAAATAATGAAATCTTTCTTCCATCCATCCATCCTTCCTTCCTTCCTCTCTTTCTTTATTTTATTTTTTATTTTTTTGGACAGGGACTTGCTCTGTTGCCCAGGCTGGAATGCAGTGATGCAATCATAGCTCACTGTAGCCTTGAACTCCTGAGCTCAAGTGATCCTCCCACCTCAGCCTCCTGAGTAGCTGGGACTACAAGCACACACAATCATGCTTGTCTATTTAAAAAAATTTTTTTTTGTAGAGATGGGGTCTCACTTCCAGGCCGATCTCAAACTCCTGGCTTCAAGTGATCCTTCCACCTCAGTCTCCCAAAGTCAGCCTCCAAGAGCCACTGGAGCCTAGGTTTAGCAACATCATTGAGAAATGCAGCCTTAAGTTAAGTGGATCCTTGCTGGCGCAAAGGTGGCATGGGAAAGACCACTTGCAGTTGCAGCCTGGCCATCCAGCTATCAAAAGGGCATGAAAGTATTCTGATCATCTCCACAGACCTAGCCCACAACATCTCAGATGGTTTTGACCAGAAGTTCTCAAAGGTGCCTACCAAGGTCAAAGGCTCTGACAACCTCTTCACTGTGGAAATTGACCCCAGCCAGGGTGCAGCATAGCTGCCCAGTGAGTTCTTTGAGAAGGAAAACATGCTGAGCATGAGCAAGAAGTTGATGCAGGAAGCCATGAGCGCCTTTCCCGGCATCAATGAGGCCATGAGCTATGCTGAGGTCATGAGGCTGGTGAAGGGCATGAACTTCTCAGTGGTGGTGGTTGACATGACACTCAGCAGATCAAGAACCAGATCAGCCCCTTTATCTTACAGACATGCAACGTTCTAGGTCTTGGGGACATGAACACAGACGTGCTGTCCTCCATGCTGAAGTAGACACTGTCCATCATCTACTTTGTCAGCAAACAGTTCAAGGGCCCTGAGTAGATTACCTGTATCATCTGCGAATATATCCCTGAGTTCTATCCCTGTATGAGACAGAGTGACTGATCCAGGAGCTGGCCAAGTACAAGATTGACACATACAACATCATCATCACCCAGCTTCTCTTCCCCAACCCTGAAAATCCTGAAAGATATGTGAGGCCTGACACAAGATCCAGGCCAAGTATCTGAACCAGACGGAGAACACTTATAAAGACTTTTGCACTGTGAAACTGCCACTGTTTCCCCATGAGGTGCAGGGGGCAGACAAAGTCAACACCTTCTCAGCCCTCTTTATGGAACCCTACAAGCCCTGTAGCACCCAGCAGCACCACTGCCAGCCCCAGCTGCTGCCATTTTACATCCAACCTTCACCTTCCCCACCCTCCAGGGCAGAGTTTACACAAATCCCTCCCCACCACCGCTGCCATAGTACAAGGGAGCCACTTGGGGAGCAGGTGTATGGTAGATGCACCTGTCATAAATAATTGAAGCATACCCTGAGAATGACCCTGTGGTCTAAGATGAATGTGTGTTCAGAGTTCTGAGTGAAGGAATTTGGGAATGGCCAACCCAGAGATTCATTCTTTATCTATGAGGAACATCTGAACCATCTGATCCATCCCATGGATCACAGGCCATACAGGGGTTCGAGGCCCTTTGTTTTGGGTTGGATGAAGGTTGCCAGGTGGAGATTGCCGGGGTCGAGGGGCTAAGTGAAAATGCTGTATAAACTGCATGCTTTTTTATAAGTGGTAGCAGTTCTCCTGTTCAGCATGCTGCCCCTGGACTGCCCTGTATGTAAATCCCCTCAAAAAACCTTATGTTTCATTTGCTGGCTCCATGTCTCTTTTTCAGCCTCGCAAACATGGTGCCATCCCTACTGAAGTCAATAGGGGTCCAGCACAACAGGAAGCAGGGAGGGAGTCTATTCTCCTGGTGGGTGTAGAAGTGCTCTAGTTGTCCTCCCTGCCATCTCTCCCTGCCTCTTGCTCTTCATAAAATGATCTTAAACCACAAAATAGTTACAATGAAAATGATGTTAAATGAAACAAAGTTATTTGAAAACCTGTTGTACAGGTTACTTTGTAGAATGTTCTTGAATTTGGGTGTGTCTGATGCCCCCTCATAATTCAATTCAGGTTATGCCCCTTTGGCAGGATTATCACAAAGGTGATGCTGAGTTCCTCTCAGTGCATCACATCTGGGGGCACTTGCTGATTAGTCTAATTACTGGGGATGTTAACTTTGATTCTTTAGTTAGAGCAGCATCTGCCAGGTTTTGCCACTATAAAGTTAGCCTTTGTAATGGATAAGTATCCTGTGGGAAGACATTTTGAGTCTGTGGAAATATATAGTTACTCTTCAAACTTTCATTCACAAATTTTAGTATCTATTAATAATTGTTGGCGAGTTCCAGCAGACCTATGAAGGACTGCCTCCAGGGTCCCTGAGCACAAGGTTGCAAGGCCATGTTGTCACACTCTGGACCTCTTGTTTGTTTGTTTTTTTGAGACGGAGTCTCGCTCTTTCGCCCAGGACGGACTGCAGTGGCACGATCTCGGCTCACTGCAAGCTCCGCCTCCCGGGTTCATGCCATTCTCGTGCCTCAGCCTCCTGAGTAGCTGGGACTACAGGCGCCCGCCACCGCGCCCAGCTAAATTTTTTGTATTTTTAGTAGAGACGGGGTTTCATCATGTTAGCCAGGATGGTCTCGATCTCCTGACCTCGTGATCCGCTTGTCTAAGCCTCCCGAAGTGCTGGGATTACAGACGTGAGCCACTGCGCCCAGCCAACAGATAGGTACAGTCTTTATCTGTTCGTGTGGCTATAAGAAAGTACCAGAGCTCCCTCTCCCTCTCCCTCTCCCCACGGTCTCCCTCTCCCTCTCTCCACGGTCTCCCTCTGATGCGGAGCTGAAGCTGGACGGTACTGCTGCCTGATTCTCCTGCCTCAGCCTGCCAACTGCCTGGGCGCGCGCCGCCACGCCTGACTGGTTTTCGTATTTTTTTGGTGGAGACGGGGTTTCGCTGTGTTGGCTGGGCTGGTCTCCAGCTCCTAACCGCGAGTGATCCGCCAGCCTCGGCATCCTGAGGTGCCGGGATTGCAGACGGAGTCTCATTCACTCCGTGCTCAATGGTGCCCAGGCTGGAGTGCAGTGGCGTGACCTCGGCTCGCTACAACCTTCACCTCCCAGCAGCCTGCCTTGGCCTCCCAAAGTGCCGAGATTGCAGCCTCTGCCCGGCCGCCACCCCGTCTGGGAAGTGAGGAGCGTCTCTGCCTGGCTGCCCAGTCTGGAAAGTGAGGAGCGTCTCTGCCCGGCCGCCATCCCATCTAGGAAGTGAGGAGCGCCTCTTCCCGGCCGCCATCCCATCTGGGAAGTGAGGAGCGTCTCTGCCCGGCGGCCCATCCTCTGAGATGTGGGGAGCACCTCTGCCCTGCCGCCCCGTCCGGGATGTGAGGAGCGTCTCTGCCCAGCCGCCCCGTCTGAGAAGTGAGGAGACCCTCTGCCTGGCAACCGCCCCGTCTGAGAAGTGAGGAGCCCCTCCGCCCGGCAACCGCCCCATCTGAGAAGTGAGGAGCCCCTCCGCCCAGCAGCCACCCCGTCTGGGAAGTGAGGAGCGTCTCTGCCCGGGAGCCACCTCGTCCGGCAGGGAGGTGGGGGGGTCAGCCCCCCGCCCGGCCAGCCACCCCGTCCGGGAGAGAGGTGGGGGGGTCAGACCCCCGCCCGGCCAGCCTCCCAGTCCGGGAGGGAGGTGGGGGGATCAGCCCCCCGCCCGGCCAGCCGCCCCGTCCGGGAGGTGAGGGGCGCCTCTGCCCGGCCGCCCCTACTGGGAAGTGAGGAGCCCCTCTGCCTGGCCGGCCGCCCCGTCCGGGAGGGAGGTGGGGGGGTCAGCCCCCCGCCCGGCCAGCCGCCCCATCCGGGAGGTGAGGGGCGCCTCTGCCCGGCCGCCCCTACTGGGAAGTGAGGAGCCCCTCTGTCCGGCCAGCCACTCCGTCCAGGAGGGAGGTGGGGGGTCAGCCCCCCGCCCGGCCAGCCGCCCCGTCCGGGAGGGAGGTGGGGGGGTCAGCCCCCCGCCCGGCCAGCCGCCCCATCCGGGAAGTGAGGGGCGCCTCTGGCCGGCCGCCCCTACTGGGAAGTGAGGAGTCCCTCTGCCCGGCCAGCCGCCCCGTCTGGGAGGGAGGTGGGGGGGTCCGCCCCCCGCCCGGGCCAGCCGCCCCATCCGGGAGGGAGGTGGGGGGGTCAGCCCCCCGCCCGGCCAGCCGCCCCATCCGGGAGGTGAGGGGCGCCTCTGCCCGGCCGCCCCTACTGGGAAGTGAGGAGCCCCTCTGCCCGGCCAGCCGCCCCGTCCAGGAGGGAGGTGGGGGGGGTCAGCCCTCTGCCCGGCCGCCCCTACTGGGAAGTGAGGAGCCCCTCTGCCCGGCCACCACCCCATCTGGGAGGTGTACCCAACAGCTCATTGAGAAGGGGCCATGATGACAATGGCGGTTTTGTGGAATAGAAAGGGGGGAAGGGTGGGGAAAAGATTGAGAAATCGGATGGTTGCCGTGTCTGTGTAGAAAGAGGTAGACGTGGGAGACTTTTCATTTTGTTCTGCACTAAGAAAAATTCTTCTGCCTTGGGATCCTGTTGATCTGTGACCTTACCCCCAACCCTGTGCTCTCTGAAACATGTGCTGTATCCACTCAGGGTTGAATGGATTAAGGGCGGTGCAAGATGTGCTTTGTTAAACAGATGCTTGAAGGCAGCATGCTCCTTAAGAGTCATCACCACTCCCTAATCTCAAGTACCCAGGGACACAAACACTGCAGAAGGCCGCAGGGTCCTCTGCCTAGGAAAACCAGAGACCTTTGTTCACTTGTTTATCTGCTGACCTTCCCTCCACTATTGTCCTGTGACCCTGCCAAATCCCCCTCTGCGAGAAACACCCAAGAATGATCAATTAAAAAAAAAAAATAATAATAATAATAATTGTTGCCAGAACCAACAATGAATATGAAGGTTTTGCCAAATGGTGATCTTTTTCCAACTACGTCGTTTCATCTACGTTTTTAAGTCGACCTTCTACAATAAGGAAGAGCTTTCCCTTCTTATTTATTTATATCATTGTGGACTCATGGATTCTTTATTCAATAGGTTATAATCCTTTACTATCATTATATATTTTTATGTTCAAATGATCCCATATTTTGCCATGGAAGCCCTTCAAGCTGACTTCTATGTCCTTTTGACACATCTACATAATTCTCTGATCACTTCCTTCCTTTTTTGATAGAATAAGATGTTCCAGGATCATCTTGTTCTTTCCCTACTTCACCCTGGAGCCAGCCATTTATCCAAGAAGCCCAGTTGTTTTTAGTAAAGAATAGGCTGGGCGTGGTGGCTCACTCCTGTAATCCCAGCACTTTGGGAGGCCGAGGTGGGCGGATCACCAGAGGTCAGGAGTTCGAGACCAGCCTGGCCAACATGGCAAAACTCCACCCCTCTAAGAAAAATAAAAAAAATTAGCTGGGCGTGGTGGCACTCGCCTGTAATCCCAGCTACTCGGGAGGCTGAGGGAGGAGAATTGATTGAACCCGGGAGGCAGAGGTTGCAGTGAGCCAAGGTTGTGCCACTGCACTCCAGCCTGGGTGACAGAGAAGAGACTGCGTCTCAAACAAAACAAAACAAAACAAAACAAAACAAATCTATGAGCTCACACTGATTCAATTCCAGTTCAACACTACAGGTTACATTCTATCATCTTCCCTTTCCATATCTGAAATGTCCTTTTTCTAAAGTGAGAAAAAGGCTCCTATTATCTATAACATATTTACTTATTTGCTTAATCCTAAAATGTACTGAGCTAGCTAACCCATTCCTCTGTGAAAAAGAAGCCTACTAATTAGAGTTTAATACTTGTTTAGAGTTGTTTTAGCCTGAGGGTATATAGTCCAAATATTATGTTCCTTAGATTAGTTTCTCCAACCCCCTGCAGTACGGTATATTATTCATTTGAAATACAATTTGCTTCACTTGTTTGTTTTCAATTTTAGAGTCTCCCCCAATCTTGTTGAATATATAAATATAATATATAATATATATATTATATAATATATAATATATAAATATAATATATTATATATATTATATATTAATATAATATATAATATATAATATAAATATATATTTATATATTATAATATGCATTATATATAATATATTATATATTATATTGTATATTATAATATACATTATATATAATATATAATATATAATATAATATATATAATTTATATATTATATATATATAATATATATATATATATATATATCTTTTCACTCCATTTCACTAACATCTTAGAGATAATGAATCTCATTCATCTCTGGTTTATTCTTCCTGTGTGCATATTTTTTTCTCAGATGAGCAGATACATGTATATACAGTTGACCTTTGAACAGCATGGATTTGAACTGTGTGGGTCTACTTATACATGGATTTTTTTTCAATAAATATATTAGAAATTTTGGAGGGATTTCAGCAATTTAAAAAAAACTCACAGACCAACTGTGCATCCTACACATATTGGAAAAATTTTTAAAAGTATGTCCTGAATGCATAAAATATGTAGACACTAGTCCATTTTATCATTTACTACATTAAAATATACACAAATCTGTTATAAAAAGTTAACATTTAGCAAAACTGACACACACACAGACCATACATGGTGCCATTCATAGTGGAGAGAAATGTAAGCAAACATACAGTATTAAATCATAACTGTATAAAATTAACTGTAGCTCATACTGTACTACTATAATAATTTCATTCATAGCCAACTCCTGTTGCTATTGCAGTGAGCACAAGTGTTGCAAGTATCTGCTTAAAACACCATGTGATGCTAATCATCTCTGCATGGGCAGTTCATTTCTCCAGTAAATTGTGTATCACAGTAAAAAGTGATCTCTCATGGTTCTCATGTATTTTTCATCGTGTTCAGTACAAAACCATAAACCTCAAATAACACTATCGGACCCATACGAAGTGTCACTAGTGATGCCGGAAGTGCTCCCAAGAAACAGAGAAAATTCATGACGTTACAAGATAAAGTTGAATTGCTTGACATACATCATAGATTGAGATCTGCAGCTGTGGTTTGGCCTTCATTTCAAGATAAATGAATCTAAGGTAAGGACAATTATAAACAAAGGAAATTCATGAAGCAGTTGCTGCAGCTACATCAGCAGGCATAAAAACATTGCACTTTTGGTGAAATACTTTTTTAACTTGTCTTGAAAACACAGCTTTTATAGGAGTGCAGGATTTCTATAAGAAAGGCATATGACCCTAATATGATCTGAGAAAAAGTGAAGTCATTATATGACAACTTAAAGCAGAAGAAAGGTGAAGGGTCTAAAGCTGGAGAATTTAATGCCAGTAAAGGATGGTTTGATAATTTTAGAAAAAGTTTTGGCTTAAAAAATATCAGGATATCAGGGGAAGTAGCATCTGCCAACCAAGAGGCAGCAAACAAGTTTCCAGATGCCATTAAGAAAATTATTGAGGCAACCAGGTGCAGTGGCTCATGCCTGTAATCCCAGCACTTTGGAAGGCTGAGGTGGGAGGATTGCTTGAGCCCAGGAGTTTGAAACCAGCTTGGGCAACATGGAAAAACCCCATCTCTACCAAAAATAAAAATTAGCCGACTGTGGTGGCACAAGCCTGTAGTCCCAGCTACTAAAGAGGCTGAAGCATGAAACTCACTCGAGCACAGGAATTCGAGGTGGTGTGAATTATAATCATGCCACTGGACTCCAGCCTGGGCAACACAGTGAGACCCTGCTCTAAAAAAAAAAAAAAAGAAGCTTTTAAAAATCATTGAGGAAAAAGGATATCTTCCTGAGCAGTTTTTTAATGCAGATGCTAAGGGGAAAAATGCCACAAAGGACACTTATTAGTAAGGAAGAGATGCAAGCACCAGGATTTAGGGCAGGAAGGGATGGGCTAACTCTACTATTTTGTGCAAACACAGTCAGGTTTATGATTAGGACTGCCCTTATCTATAAAGCTGGTAACCCCTGAGCTTTGAAGGGAAAAGATAAATACCAGTTGCCAGTTTTGGGTGTTGTACAAGAAGCCCTGGATAATGAGAACCATTTTTTCTGGACTGGGTTTCATCAACATTCTTCCTGAAGTCAGGATGTACCTTGCTGGTAATGGACTGCCTTTTATTTTTATTTTTTTATTTTTATATATATATATTTTTATTATACTTTAAGTTCTAGGGTACATGCGCACAACGTGCAGGTTTGTTACATATCTATACATGTGCCATGTTAGGAGATATACCTAACGTAAATGATGAATTAATGGGTGCAGCACACCAACATGGACTGCCTTTTAAAGTTCTTTTGAATTGGACAATGTCCCTGGCCACCCAGAACCCATGAGTTCAACACCAAAGGTATCAAAATGGTCTGTAATACTTGCCCCCAAACACAATGTTTCTAATTCAGCCCCTAAGTCAGGGGGTTATAAGGACCTTTAAGGCCCATTACACATAGTACTCTGTTGGAAAGGACTGTCAACGCTATGGAAGAGAATCCTGATAGAACATCAAGAAAGTCTGGGAGGATTACACCATTGAAGATGCCACTGTTGTTATGGAAAAAGCCATTGAGCCCCAAACAATAGATTCCTGCTGGAGAAAACTGCATCCAGATGTTGTGCATGACTTCACAGGATTTACGACAGAGCCAATCAAGGAGATCATGAAAGAGATTGTGGATATGGCAAAGAAGGTGGGGGAAGGGTCCCAAGATATGGATCTTGGAGAAATTCAAGAGCTAACAGACATCACACCAGAGGAATTAACAGAAGACAACTTGATGAAGGTGAGTGCTTCTGAACCAGTGCCAGAAAAGAAGGAATAGAAGGGGAAGAAGACACAGAAGCAGGGCCAGAAAACAAACTGACATTAGACCATCTGGCAGAAGAGTTCCAACTATTCAAGACTGCTTTTGACTTCTTTTATGACATGAACTCTTCAGTGATACAGGCACTGAAACTAAAGCAAATGGAAGAAAAATTGGTACCATATAGAAACATTTTTAAAGACATGAAAAGGCAAAAAAAATCAGAAATCACCATGTGTTTTCATAAAGCTACACCGAGTGTGCCTGCCTCCCCTTCTACAATCTCCACCTCTTCTTCCCTGCCACGCTTAAGACAGCAAGACCAACTCCTCCTCCTCTTTCTCTTCCTCAGCCACTTAACATCAAGAAGAAAAAGATGGAGGTCTTTATCATGATCCACTTTAACTTAATGAATAGTAAATATATTTTCCTTTTGATTTTCTTAATAACATTTTCTTTTCTCTAGCTTACTTTGTTGTAGGAATACAGTATAAAATACATATACAAGGTATGTGTTAATCAACTGTTTTAATGCTATTGGTAAGGTCAATAGTAGACTATCAGTAGTTAAGTTCTTGGTGAGTCCAAAATTATATGTGGATTTTAGACTAAGTGAAGAGGAGAGGTCGGCACCTGTAACCCTCATGTTGTTCAAGGGCCCATTGTGTTTTTATTTCCTCTTCTTCCTTATGCTACAAAAAGTAGCATAAAATAGATATCCTTTTGTCCAATTCACAGGGATCTGAATGTTTCTTTTTAAGCTATCATGAATAAGAAGTTCAGGAAATCTCTATGGATTATCTAGCCACAAGAGAACCAGAAACATCAAAATTAAAATTTTTTGGACTTGGCTGTGACATGAAAGTTAAAAAAATTTTTTAAATTAAAATTTATTTGTGAGTTATATATTTTTAACCTTACAAGATATAATTAAGATGAAATGGTCTGAAGATGCTTCCATTTTCTTTAGTCAAATATGTTTGTATTAATTGTAAAGTCAACTCTCTCCAGAAGATATAATCATCTATGTGCCATACACTATTGGCTTTGTCTACAATACTGTCACTAAGTGATTATAATTAAGCCCTCCCATTTGCATCAAATGTGAAGGCTGTGTTCACAACAGTAGTAAAATTTGGTTTCACTGGAAATTAAAAAATTCTAAAGTAAAAAAAATGAAATGGGCTGAGTACAAATCTCTCTTAATTTAGTTTTGACAATAAAATAAATTCCATAGTTTTCCTATTTTATTAGCTTAATATTTGTCATGTTAATATTGAGTGTCAAACTGATTGAAGGATACAAAGTATTGATCCTGGGTGTGTCGGTGAGGGTGTTGCCAAAGGAGATTAACTTTGAGTCGGTGGGCTGGGAAAGGCAGACCTACCCTTAATCTGAGTGAGCACAATCTAATTAGCTGCCAGTCTAGCCAGCTAGAATAAAATGCAGGCAGAAAAATGTGAAAAGAGAGACTGGCCTACCCTTCCAGGCTACATCTTTCTCCCATGCTGGATGCTTCCTGCCCTAAAACATTGGACTCCAAGTTCTTCAGTTTACTGGCTATCCTTGCTCCTCAGCTTGCAGATGGCCTATTGTGGGACCTTGTGATTGTGTGAGTTAATACTTAGTAAACTCCCCTTTATATATATAAATCTATTCCATTAGTTCCATCCCTCTAGAGAACCCTAATACAATATTTAACTTCAGGGCAATTTTTTTTTAAGAGATCTCTTTTAAAAAAAAAAAAAAAAAAAGAGATGGGGTTTTTCTCTGTTGCTCAGGCTGGAGTGCAGTGGCACGATCATAGCTCACTGTAGCCTCAAACTCCTGGGCTGAAGCGATCCCCCTGCCTCAGCCTCCCAAGTAGCTGGGACTCAGACATGCGCTACCATGCCTGGCTAATTTTGTTTATTTTATTTTTTGTAAAGACAGAGTCTCGTTATGTTGCCCAGGCTGGTCTCAAACTCCTGAGCTAAAGCAATCCTCCCACCTCAGCATCTCAAAGCATTGGGATTACAGACGTGAGCCACCATGCCCAGCTCTAGGGCAGTTTTCTCCAGTAATATATTAAGAAAACACAGCAGGAGCTGTGTTAAAAATTAATAATTTTATAATCAGACATTTGTAAACATGTTAAGCTAATGGGAGTTCTTGATACAATTTCATGTTCTCTTCTAGTAACAAACGCTGTTTGCACAGAAAAAGTCATACAGAATTCTATTAAGTGGTATCTATTTTCTCCTGAAAAACTAGATACAAATTCTAAGAATTTATGTATGATGTCAATTCCACATAAACATCTTAATTTTGGCTATTAACTAGCAAAAAGCAAGAATTGATTTAAATTATTCTGGTGAAGTGGGCAATAGCTCAGGGACTACCAAGAAAGAATTAAATATAAATGTAACCACACATCTTTATAATAGAATGATTTATATTCCTTTGGGTATATACTCAGTAATGGGATTGCTGGGTCGAATGGTATTTCTGACTTTAGATCTTTGAGGATTCCTCACACTGTCCCATCAGTGATAGACGGGATGAAGAAAATGTGGTACATACACACTATGGAATAGTCTGCAGCCATAGAAAAGAATGAGATCATGTCCTCTGCAGGAACATTCATGTAGCTGGAGGCCATTATCCTTAGCAAACTAATGCAGGAAGAGAAAGCCAAATTCTGCATGTTCTCACTTATAAGTGGGAGCTAAATGATGAGAACACACGGATGCATAGAGGGGAACAACACACACTGGGGCCTATTGGAGGGTGGAGGATGGGAAGAGGGAAAAGATCAGGGAAAACAACTAATGGGTACTAGGCTTAATACCTGAGTGATGAAATAATCTGTACCACAAACCCCCACAACACAAGTTTACCTATGTAACAAACCTGCACAAGTACCCCTGAACTTAAAAGTTAAAAATAAATAAGTAAATAAATAAATAACTGTAACCATACTGGATCTATATATAAATAGCTATTCACATTCCACATATAGAAGTAATAAAGACATGGGCAAGAGGACCAAATTAAAATATTCCAGCTCATTCTTAATGTGCAAAGAGGCAAAACTTCAAAACTCCAACAGCACTCTATGTCCTCCAGGTGCTCCTTGTTCTCACTCAAACTGAAAACGGCCAGTGAATCTTGACCTGCACTGTTTAACTGGATGATGGCAGTTGAGTCTTCCTAGGCCATTCTCCTGTCTCCTTTTTTTCTTTCTAAAACCAGGCCAGCTCATTAGAGTGGATTATCTTCTGTTAGAATTGGAATTGAACTTGTCTTCTGATAGGTTTTTTTTGTTTTGTTTTGTTTTGTTTTGAGGCAGGGTCTTATTCTGTTACCAAGGCTGGAGTACAGTAGTACGATCATAGCTCACTGCAGCTTCAAATTCCTAGTTTCAAGCAATCCTCCTGCCTCAGCCGCCTGTGTAGCTGGGACTACAGGTGTGCACCACCATGCCCGGCTAATTTTCTTTCTTTCTTCCTTTCTTTCTTTTTTTTTTTTTTTCCAGTAGAGACGAGGCCTCACTATGTTGCCCAGGCTGGTCTTGAACTCCTGGGCTCAAGCGATCCTCCTGTTTTGGCCTCCCAAAGTGCTAGGATTATAGGTGTGAGCCACTGTGCCCAGCCTTTTTTTTTTTCAAGGAATCCTAAATATATCTGCCAAGAAGTAAAACAGGAGAGCAGATCACATCCAACTATGCAGCACAAACTGGCCACACTAAGGTGATTCAAACACAGCATATGAA